>NC_000023.11:19410215-19713245 GCF_000001405.40 Homo sapiens
ATAGAAATAATAAGCATAGAATAAACACACAGTGAGTGGCTTTTCATCTTCTGTCAACATAGTAGGCAAACTCTAAAACAAGCATGGGACTAGCCCACCTAAGTTGAGTGACTTGCAAAAATGTTGGGAGAGGCAAGACTGCGACAGACACCTTTCAGCATTCATCAGTCTTCCTTTTCTCCCTGAACATAGAGCTGAACTACAATTCCCAGCCTCCCTTGCAGCTAGAGAGATATACAGTGGAGTTTTGGCCAATGGGATGTGAGCAGGAATGCTGTGCATCACCTGCAGGCCTGACTCAAAAACTCCACAGCAACCCTCTATTTCCTCTTTCCCCATCCACTGCAAGATGGAATGCCCCCCACCGCCACCCTCTGCAACCTGGATATGACATGAGGCATAGATAAACTTTTATCATGTTAAGATATTGAGATTTGGGGGCTGTTTGTTTTAGAAGCTAGCCTACCATGACTAATAAAAAAACTAACTGGGATTTCAAACAGCACCCAAGTTGCACTTACAAACAAAAACTAACTCGGTCCCCTCCCTTCACTACCACTACACTTTGCACAAAGCTAAGCCTGAGAAGGAACATCTGAAACTCCAGTTTTGGAAAATCCATAGGCAATAACATCAATACATCACAATTGCAGAAAATAATTTTAAGTAGGAAAATCCATTTGGGCCAGGCGTGGTGGCTTACACCTGTAATCCCAGCGCTCTGGGAGGCCGAGGTGTGGGGGCGATCACTTGAGGTCAGGAGTTCGAGATCAGCCTGGCCAACATGCTGAAACCCCGTCTCTACTAAAAATACAAAAATGAGCTGAGCATGGTAGCACACGCCTGTAGTCCCAGCAACTCAGGAGGCTGAGATGGGACAATCAGTTGAACCTGGGAGGCAGAGGTTCCAGTGAGCCAAAATCACTCCACTGCACTCCAGCCTAGGTGACAGAATGAGACCCTGCCTCAAAAAAAAAAAAAAATTCCATTTGGTTGGCCTGAGGAATGTCACAAGTGACCAACTAAGCCACCCAGGGAAGAAAAGTATGAGAACCATGTGACTGAGCATTTGGCTCAAGAGAACTGCCATGAATAGGCACATGACTAGTTTCTTGCCATCCTGGAGCAATGACAACAGGAACAGACTGGGAAGATGGTTTCCGATGGGAGAAGTTTTAGTCATACGTGTTGATCAAGCACCTACTATGTATGTGCTAGGCAAAGTACTAATACTGAAGACACAGCAGAGAACCACAAAGTTCCTGCCCTCATGGGCCTTGCATGTGAGTGAAGAGAGATGGACAATAGATTAAATAGTAAAATCATACCATGGGGGGCGGTGAAAAGTGTTATGAAGACAAATAAAGTAGGGAAGGGCATTAAGATAGGGCAGGGGGTCACGTTGTTCAACAGGATGTTCAGGGTAGGCGTCGCTGATGACTTCTGAACAGAAAGCTAAAGTGGGGGAAGAAGGAAGCCACGTGGATGCCTGGGGGAAGAGTTCCAGGCAGAGGGAACAGCAAGTGCAAAGGCCCTGAGGAGGGGTGTGCCTGGCACGTTCGGGGACCAACAAAGAGGCAAATATGGCTACAGTGGAGTGAGCGGGATGGGAGTAGAAGAGGAGGTTGGAGAGCTCATGGGCAAATCATGCAGGACTTCTAGGCCACCCTCGGGATGTCAGCTTTGACTCTGCGTGAGACAGGAAGCCACTGGAGGCTTCTCATAAGAGGGTAGGAGAATATGAAAGCCAGCAAATCACATCCAACTGCATAGAAAGGCTAAGTGTACTTCAGAGGAGACATGAGTCCAAAGTCATGCAGAGAGGATAGTGGCAGACAGCAGGAGTCGGCCTTTGGATTCAGGCACAGAAATGGGAGCCAGGGCAGACTCAAGAGTCTTGTCTAACCCACAGCCACCTGCAGGAGGCTGCACATATACAGAAAGCTTAGCCACATGAGTTTCCAAAGACTTCCCCAATGGCAGGTCTATTCCACGGTGGCTTTAGAGAACTTCTTGATTTGGGAGGAACATTTACTAGTTAAGTAAACAACACATTTTATGTAATAATCAACAGGCATTTGTTCAGGAGTGGGTAACTGTTCCATAGCTCCTACAGCTACAAACATACAAGTCATGTATGGGCATTCTTAGGATGTTCTTCTGTGCATGATACAGGCAATTGGTAGCCTACAGACACTCAGCGGAAGGAATGAAGGAGTGGTTAAAGATGACTTTGCAAAAGCTAGGACTTGGATAATCGGAAGAAGGAAATCCCAAAAGGAACAAGGATGGAAATGAAAGGGTAGACAGGAGCTCCCGCAGGGACAGCTCAGGGGCGAGTAAGAGGACAGCCTGACTGGCACTGAGGGCTGAAGAGAAAGAGGAAGGGAGGGGGCAGGATTATATAGGGAGGGACTTGAACACTTAGTAAAAGAGTCTGAGTTTTATCTGGAAAGCCACAGGATCCAGTAATAGTTGAGGAATATCAAGAAAGCCAGTATAAGTGCTTCTAAAAATATATTACTATTTTATTTTTCTAGAGACAGGGTCTCACTGTTGCCCAGGCTCGAGTGCAGTGGTGCAATGATAGCTCACTGTGGCCTCGACCTCCCAGGTTCAAGCGATCCTCCCACTTCAGCCTCCCAAGTAGTTGGGACTACAGGTGTGCACCACCACACCCGGCTAATTTTTTAAATTTATTTTTTATAGAGACGGGGTTTTGATGTGTCACCCAGGCTGGTCTTGAACTCCTGGGCTCAAGCAACCCGCCTGCCTTGGCCTCCAAAAGTGTTGGGACTACAGCTGTGAAACAACACACCAGCCTGTATCCTCTACCCACTTCCCTAAGGTTTAACTATAAAAAAACAAACCAACCTGTATTTGTTTTAATGTTTTTATACACACACACACACACACACACACACACACTCCCCCACCCCCACACCTCACCACATGCCCACACACACACATGCCCACACACACACAAAATGGAAAAACCTACTGTCTCTCATCTGTGATGATACTCTCTCATATATTCTCATAATTCAGAAGTTAAACATGGGTGCCTTTTCCTTCAAATACTACCATCTAGACTCTCCTATTTGAAAACTGATTAAATTGCTTGTGATTTTTCCTCCTTACCATTTCTGTGGGTGAGACATGCCATAAAGAAACTGTTCTCTCCTCGGCTTCATTGTTTATGGAAACATAAGAAGGCTGGTACACTTTGGTTGGCTCTATGACCAGAACCTGAAACAAGAACAGATGCCTGTTAACGTACATGGGTAGAAAACATAGCGCACCCTGCCCAGCGAGGAGGCGGGGAGGTCCGTACTCAATATATCCTCACTGAGGGCCAGGCACAGTGGCTCACGCCTGTAATCCCAGCACTTTGGGAGGTTGAGGTCGGAGGATCACTTGAGCCCAGGAGTTCAAGGACAACATATTGAGATGCCATCTCTTGGGGGGGGGGGTGGGGAAGATGAAAGGAGATAAAAAAAGAGGTGATAGCCCATCAGTAAGGTGTTACTTTGTTAAAAGAGAGGAGGGGAGGGGAGAGAGGGAGAAGAGGGTGAGGAGGAGGAGAGTGGGGAGAGAAAAGGTGGGGAGAAAGAACAGAAGGGGACGAAAAAGAGAAAAGGGGAAAAGGAGAGAAGAAGGAGGCCAAAGGAAGAAAATCGGGAGAGAAGGAGGAGGGCACTTTGGGAGGCCAAAGCAGGCGGATCACTTGAGGTCAGGAGTTCGAGACCAGCCTGGCCAACGTGGTGAAGCCCTGTCTCTACTAAAAATACAAAAATTAGATGGGTGTGGTGGTATACACCTGTAATCCCAGCTACTCAGGAGGCTGAGGCAGGAGAATCACTTGAACCCAGGAGGCGGAGGTTGCAGTGAGCCGAGGTTGCACCACTGCACGAGACTCCGTCTCAAAAAAAGAAAAAAAAAAAAAAAAGAGGAGGGGAAGAGAAAGAGGAGGGGTGAGATGAGGAGGGAGAGAGGGAATAAATCTCCAAAACAAATAAAACAACATGTTTAAGATCACTAAACCTGGTTAGAGATTACGCGGTTGTCTGCTCCATTATTTTTTTGTACCTTTCAGTAGGTTTGAAATATTTCATAACTAAAAAAAGATTTTAAAATGTATTATTAACCGGCAACAAAATAATTATCATAATCATTTCAAACAATATTTTATTAGATGCTTAATGAAATTCTTGGAAATGGCATGTTCACAAATTCTCAACGCATAAATATGGAACACAATTATCTGAAGTTCAATTTCCAAGACATTCACATATTTCACTCATGACTCTAAGACGGTCATAACATTAAAACAAAAACTCAAGGAAAAGCTAAAAGCAATTTTGCCTTTTTGGTAACTTTTAAATATCAATTAGTGGCCTTAGAGGCAAACCAAAGCTTAACAGGAAACCACGCTGAATTCCAAGTTTCCACTCGTGGTGCTACATTGTTTTAGAGGAAAGTTTGTCCACTTTGGCACTAGTGACATTTTGGGCTGGATAATTCTTTATTGGAGGGGGCTGTCCTGTGCATTGTGGGATGTTCAACAGCATCCCTGGTCTCTATCCAGCAGATGCCAGTAGTGCCACCTTCTCCCCAAGTCATGACCACCAAAAATGTCTCCGGACATTACCAGATGTACCTTAGGGGGACAAAGTTGCTTCCAATTGAGAATGACTACTATAGAGGATATGGCCAATGATCTATGAGTGAGCTGATCTATCACTTACTGATTTCACATAAGATTGATGTTTATCCCAACATTTAAAATTACTCTACAGTTTTCTTCAGTTCAGAGTATTCAATAGTTAAATAGCACCAATCCCTAGTTTTTTTCCTAATCTTAAAAAAAAATGGATTTAGCATATCTTACTGGAAATCTGAGTCCATTAGTGACTTCATTTGTTGCCTCAAAAATTATATCTAACCAGAAGTTCAGCCGCTCTTGCCTGGGCGAGTGTTCAATAATGGTTTTCTTGAAGCGCCGAATTAGTAACAAGTTCTGAACTAATGATCGCAGGTACCTGGAAAAATCACAAACAGCAATATATTGGATTCCTAAAGAAACTGAATTCAATTCAAGTCCCTTTAAAAGAAGCTTTCCAAAAGCTTTTATTCACTTAAATTCATATTATGTCATGAGTGCTTCATAAACGACTGCTCAGCAGCCACAAAACTAATTAAGAAAACACGAGCAGTAGGCAAAGTAAGTCCATCCAACAAAATAACACAACGTGGCTTTTTACCAACATTGTGCTAACCCCAATTTTAGTACCTACTGCCTAAAATGTGGAGATTGGAAAGCATGTGGTAACTGTTTTAAATAACAAGGGCAGGCACAGCTGACTCTTGAACAACACAGGTATGAACTGCGCAGCTCCACTTATACATGGATTTTTTTTCCCAATAGATACATTGGAAAATGTTCTGGAGACGTGCGACAATTTGAAAAACTTTGCAGATAAACTGTGAAGCCTAGAAATATAAAAAAAAAAATTAGAAAAAGCTAGGTATGCCATGAACACATAAAATATATGTAGGTACTGGTCCATTTTATCATTTACTACCCAACATATATACAAATCTCTTACAAAAAGTTAAAATGTACCAAAACTTACACACACACTTACAGACTGTATATGGCACCATTCCCAGTCAAGAAAAATATAAACAAATGTAAAGATGTGGTATTATATCAAAACTGCATAAAATTAACTGTAGTGCATACTGCACTACTGTAAGAATTTCATAGCCACCTCCTGTTGCTATTGTGGTGAGCTCCTGTTGTAAGTATCTGCTTAAAACTCCACCATGTGGCCAGGTGCGGTGGCTCACACCTGTAATCCCAGCACTTTGGGAGGCCTAGGTGGGCAGATGACCTGAGGTCAGGAGTCCAAGACCAGCCTGGCCAACATGGTGAAATCCTGTCTCTACTAAAAATACAAAAATTAGCAGGATGCGGTGGCAGGCGTCTATAGTCCCAACTACTTGGGAGGCTGAGGCAGAAGGAATGCTTGAAGCTGAGAGACGGAGGTTGCAGTGAGCTGAGATTGTGCCACTGCACTCCAGCCTGGGCAACAGAGCGAGACTCTGTCTCAAAAACAAACAACCAAAAAAAAAAAACTTCCACCGTGTGAGACTGATCATTTTTGCATGAGAAGTTCGTCTCTCCAGTAAATTGCAGATCATAGTAAAAAGTGATCACTCACGGTTCTCGTGCATTCTTCATTGTATTTAGTGTGACACCATAAACAATGAATAACACCATGGGACCCATAGAGAGTGCCACTAGTGATACTGGAAATGCTCCCAAGAAGCCGAGAAAAGTCATGACATTACCAGAAAAAGTTGAATTGCTTGATATGTATTGCAGATTGAGTTCTGCAGTTACGGCTGCTGCCATTTCAAGATAAATGAAGCCAGCCTAAAAATCGTAGGAGAAACAGAAAAGGAAATTCATGAAGCCGTCACTGCAGTTGTCAGTGGTTGCGAAAATCCTGCACTTTTTGCAAAATATAAAATACAAAATATTGTTTATGTTATTGGTAAGGCTTCCAGTCAACAGTAGGCTATTCGTAGTTAAGTTTTTGGTGAATTTTCAACTGAGCCCCTAACTCCCACATTGTTCAAGGGTCAGCTGTAGTTCAAAGTTCAAAGCAATTACAAAATGACAAAATTTCAAACTCATTTTCTTTTTAATTAAACATGTTATTTTGAGGTAATTTTAGATTTACATGAAGTGCTAAGAACCAATACAGAGAGAACCCATATATCTTTGACCAGGTTTACTCCAATGGTAGCATCTTACAAAACTATAGTACAGTTTTTGGTAGAGCCAAGATGGCTGAATACGAACAACTCCAGTCGACAGCCCCCAGCATGAGCGATGCAGAAGACGGGTGATTTCTGCATTTCCAACTGAGGTACCAGGTACATCTCACTGGGGAGTGTTGGAAAGTGGGTGCAGGACAGGGGGTGCAGCGCACCAAGCGTGAGCTAAAGCAGGGCGAGGCACTGCCTCACCCGGGAAGCACAAGGGGTCAGGGAATTCCCTTTCCTAGTCAAAGCAAGGGGTGACAGACGGCACCTGGAAAATCGGGTCGCTCCCACCCTAATACTGCGCTTTTCCAATGGTCTTAGCAAATGGCACACCAGGAGATTATATCCCGCGCCTGGCTCAGAGGGTCCTACGCCCAGAGCCTCACTCATTGCTAGCACAGCAGTCTGAGATCAAACTGCAAGGCGGCAGTGAGGCTGGGGGAGGGGCGCCCACCACTGCCGAGGCTTGAGTAGGTAAACAAAGCCTCCGGGAAGCTCGAACTGGGTGGAGCCCACCTCAGCTCAAGGAGGCCTGCCTGCCTCTCTAGACTCCACCTCTGGGGGCAGGGCACAGCCAGACAAAAGGCATCAGAATCCTCTGCAGACTTAAATGTCCCGGTCTGACAGCTTTGAAGAGAGTAGTGGTTCTCCCAGCACGCAGCTCGAGATCTGAGAATGGACAGACTGCCTCCTCAAGTGGGTCCCTGACCCCCAAGTAGCCTAACTGGGAGGCACCCCCCAGTAGGGGCAGACTGACACCTCACACGGCTGGGTACTCCTCTGAGACAAAACTTCCAGAGGAATGATCAGGCAACAACATCTGCTGTTCACCAATATCCGCTGTTCTGCAGCCTCTGCTGCTGATACCCAGGCAAACAGGGTCTGGAGTGGACCTCCAGCAAACTCCAACAGACCTGCAGCTGAGGGTCCTGAGTGTTAGAAGGAAAACTAACAAACAGAAAGGACATCCACACCAAAACCCCATCTGTACGTCACCTTCATCAAAGACCAAAGGTAGATAAAACCACAAAGATGGGGAAGAAACAGAGCAGAAAAACTGGAAACTCTAAAAATCAGAGCACCTCTCCTCCTCCAAAGGAACGCAGCTCCTCACCAGCAATGGAACAAAGCTGGACGGAGAATGACTTTGACGAGTTAAGAGAAGAAGACTTCAGACAATCAAACTACTCCGAGCTAAAGGAGGAAGTTCGAACCCATGGCAAAGAAGTTAAAAACCTTGAAAAAAAATTAGACAAACGGCTAACTAGAATAACCAATGCAGAGAAGTCCTTAAAGGACCTGATGGAGCTGAAAACCAAGGCACAAGAACTATGTGATGAATGCACAAGCCTCGGTAGCCGATTCGATCAACTGGAAGAAAGGGTATCAGTGATGGAAGATCAAATGAATGAAATGAAGTGAGAAGTTTAGAGAAAAAAAGAATAAAAATAAACGAACAAAGCCACCAAGAAATATGGGACTATGTGAAAAGACCAAATCTACATCTGATTGGTGTACCTGAAAGTGACAGAGAGAATGGAACCAAGCTGGAAAACACTCTGCAGGACAGTATCTAGGAGAACTTCCCCAAACTAGCAAGGCAGGCCAACATTCAAATTCAGGAAATACAGAGAACACCACAAAGATACTCCTCGAGAAGAGCAACTCCAAGACACATAATTGTCAGATTCACCAAAGTTGAAATGAAGGAAAAAATGTTAAGGGAAGCCAGAGAGAGAGGTCAGGTTACCCACAAAGGGAAGCCCATCAGACTAACAGCTGATCTCTCTGCAGAAACTCTACAAGCCAGAAGAGAGTGGGGGCCAATATTCAACATTCTTAAAGAAAAGAATTTTCAACCCAGAATTTCATATCCAGCCAAACTAAGCTTCATAAGTGAAGGAGAAATAAAATCCTTTACAGACAAGCAAATGCTGAGACATTTTCTCACCACCAGGCCTGCCCTAAAAGAGCTCCTGAAGGAAGCACTAAACATGGAAAGGAACAACCAGTACCAGCCACTGCAAAAACATGCCAAATTGTAAAGACCATCAAGGCTAGGAAGAAACTGCATCAACTAATGAGCAAAATAACCAGCTAACATCATAATGACAGAATCAAATTCACACATAACAATTTTAACCTTAAATATAAATGGGCTAAATGCCCCAATTAAAAGACACAGACTGGCAAATTGGATAAAGAGTCAAGACCCATCAGTGTGCTGTATTCAGGAAACCCATCTCACGTGCAGAGACACACATAGGCTCAAAATAAACGGATGGAGGAAGATCTACCAAGCAAATGGAAAACAAAAAAAGGCAGGGGTTGCAATCCTAGTCTCTGATAAAACAGACTTTAAACCAACAAAGATCAAAAGAGACAAAGAAGGCCATTACATAATGGTAAAGGGATCAATTCAACAAGAAGAGCTAACTATCCTAAATATATATGCACCCAATACAGGAACACCCACATTCATAAAGCAAGTCCTTAGAGACCTACAAAGAGACTTAGACTCCCACACAATAATAATGGGAGACTTTAACACCCCACTGTCAACATTAGACAGATCCACGAGACAGAAAGTTAACAAGGATATCCAGGAATTGAACTCAGCTCTGCACCAAGCAGACCTAATAGACATCTACAGAACTCTCCACCCCAAATCAACAGAATATACATTCTTCTCAGCACCACACTGCACTTATTTCAAAATTGACCACATAGTTGGAAGTAAAGCACTCCTTAGCAAATGTGAAAGAACAGAAATTATAACAAACTCTCTCTCAGACCACAGTGCAATCAAACTAGTACTCATGATTAAGAAACTCACTCAAAACCGCTCAACTACATGGAAACTGAACAACCTACTCCTGAATGACTACTGGGTACATAACGAAATGAAGGCAGAAATAAAGATGTTCTTTGAAACCAATGAGAAAAAAGACACAACATACCAGAATCTCTGGGACACATTCAAAGTAGTGTGTAGAGGGAAATTTATAGCACTAAATGCCCACAAGAGAAAGCAGGAAGATCCAAAATTGACACCCTAACATCACAATTACAAGAACTAGAGAAGCAAGAGCAAACACATTCAAAAGCTAGCAGAAGGCAAGAAATAACTAAGATCAGAGCAGAACTGAAGGAAATAGAGACACAAAAAACCCTTCAAAAAAATCAATGAATCCAGGAGCTGGTTTTTTGAAAAGATCAACAAAATTGATAGACTGCTAGCAAGACTAATAAAGAAAAGAGAGAAGAATCAAACAGATGCAATAAAAAATGATAAAGGGGATATCACCACTGATCCCACAGAAATACAAACTACCATCAGAGAATACTACAAACACCTCTACGCAAATAAACTAGAAAATCTAGAAGAAATGGATAAATTCCTCGACACATACACCCTCCCAAGACTAAACCAGGAAGAAGTTGAATCTCTGAATAGACCAATAACAGGCTCTGAAATTGAGGCAATAATAGCTTACCAACCAAAAAAAGTCCAGGACCAGATGAATTCACAGCCGAATTCTACCAGAGGTACAATGAGGAGCTGGTACCATTCCTTCTGAAACTATTCCAATCAATAGAAAAAGAGGGAATCCTCCCTAACTCATTTTATGAGGCCAGCATCATCCTGATACCAAAGCCTGGCAGAGACACAACCAAAAAAGAGAATTTTAGACCAATATCCTTGATGAACATCAATGCAAAAATCCTCAATAAAGTACTGGCAAACGGAATCCAGCAGCATATCAAAAGCTTATCCACCATGATCAAGTGGGCTTCATCCCTGGGATGCAAGGCTGGTTCAACACATGCAAATCAATAAATGTAATCCAGCATATAAACAGAACCAAAGAGAAAAACCACATGATTATCTCAATAGATGCAGAAAAGGCCTTTGACAAAATTCAACAACGCTTCATGCTAAAAACTCTCAATACATTAGGTATTGATGGGACGTATCTCAAAATAATAAGAGGTATCTATGACAAACCCACAGCCAATATCATACTGAATGGGCAAAAACTGGAAGCATTCCCTTTGAAAACTGGCACAAGACAGGGATGCCCTCTCTCACCGCTCCTATTCAACATAGTGTTGGAAGTTCTGGCCAGGGTAATCAGGCAGGAGAAGGAAATAAAGGGTATTCAATTAGGAAAAGAGGAAGTCAAATTGTCCCTGTTTGCAGATGACATGATTGGATATCTAGAAAACCCCATCGTCTCGCCCAAAATCTCAAGCTGATAAGCAACTTCAGCAAAGTCTCAGGATACAAAATCAATGTGCAAAAATCACAAGCATTCTTATACACCACTAACAGACAAACAGAGAGCCAAATCATGAGTGAACTCCCATTCACAATTGCTTCAAAGAGAATAAAATACCTAGGAATCCAACTTACAAGGGATGTGAAGGACCTCTTCAAGGAGAACTACAAACCACTGCTCAACGAAATAAAAGAGGATACAAGGAAACGGAAGAACTTTCCATGCTCCTGGGTAGGAAGAATCAATATCGTGAAAATGGCCATACTGCCCAAGGTAATTTATAGATTCAATGCCATCCCCATCAAGCTACCAATGACTTTCTTCATGGAATTGGAAAAAACTACTTTAAAGTTCATATGGAACCAAAAAAGAGCCTGCATTGCCAAGACAATCCTAAGCCAAAAGAACAAAGCTGGAGGCATCACACTACCTGACTTCAAACTATACTACAAGGCTACGGTAACCAAAACAGCATGCTACTGGTACCAAAACAGAGATATAGACCAATGGAACAGAACAGAGCCCTCAGAAATAATGCCGCATAGCTACAACTATCTGATCTGTGACAAACCTGACAAAAACAAGCAATGGGGAAAGGAGTCCCTATTTAATAAATGGTGCTGGGAAAACTGGCTAGCCATATGGAGAAAGCTGAAACTGGATCCCTTCCTTACACCTTATGCAAAAATTAATTCAAGATGGATTAAAGACTTACATGTTAGACCTAAAACCATAAAAACCCTAGAAGAAAACCTAGGCAATACCATTCAGGACATAGGCATGGGCAAGGACTTCATGTCTAAAACACCAAAAGCAATGGCAACAAAAGCCAAAATTGACAAATGGGATCTAATTAAACTAAAGAGCTTCTGCACAGCAAAAGAAACTACCATCAGAGTGAACATGCAACCTACAGAATGGGAGAAAATTTTTGCAATCTACTCATCTGACAAATGGCTAATATCCAGAATCTACAATAAACTCCAACAAATTTACAAGAAAAAAACAAACAATCCCATCAAAAAGTGGGCAAAGAATATGAACAGACACTTCTCAAAAAAAGACATTTATGCAGCCAAAAGACACATGAAAAAATGATCATCACTGGCCATCAGAAAAATGCAAACCAAAACTACAATGAGATACCATCTCACACCAGTTAGAATGGCGATCATTAAAAAGTCAGGAAACAACAGGTGCTGGAGAGGATGTGGAGAAATAGGAACACTTTTACACTGTTGGTGGGACTGTAAACTAATTCAACCATTGTAGAAGTCAGTGTGGCAATTCCTCAGACATCTAGAACTAGTAATACCATTTGACCCAGCCATCCCATTACTGGGTATATACCCAAAGGATTATAAATCATGCTGCTATAAAGACTCATGCACAGGTATGTTTATAGTGGCACTATTCACAATAGCAAACACTTGGAACCAAGCCAAATGTCCAACAACGATAGACTGAATTAAGAAAATGTGGCACATATACACCATGGAATACTATACAGCCATAAAAAAGGACGAGTTCATGTCCTTTGTAGGGACATGGATGAAGCTGGAAACCATCATTCTCAGCAAACTATCACAAGGACAAAAAACCAAACACCACATGTTCTCACTCATAGGTGGGAATTGAACAATGAGAACACATGGACACAGGAAGGGGAACACCACACACCGGGGCCTGTTATGGGGTGGGGGCGGGGGAGGGTTAGCATTAGGAGATATATCTAATGTTAAATGATGAGTTAATGGGTGCAGCACACCAACATGGCACATGTATAGATATGTAAGTAACCTGCACGTTGTGCACATGTACCCTAAAACTTAAAGTATAATAAGAAAAAAAGAAAAAAAAGAAAAAAAAAGAACTATAGTACTGTATCACAACCGGGATGTTGTCACTGATACAAGGCAAGTTAGAGAAATTTCCATCCCCACAGGGACCCCTTGTGTTGCCTTCCCACCATCACGCCTACCTCCCTCCCATCCCACCCCCTCCCTTACTTCTGGCAATCACTAGTCAAACTCACTGTCTTTTATTTTTTGAAATATTAGAATCTGACTAGGTAGATTTTGATGTTATGACATCTTGACTCTGACCACACCTTTGCTCTTTTCAGGCAAACTGAACTTTTTGGAATATAGTTGCCAGGCAGTGGTGGTCACAACCTCTTTGGTACTAAACGGAATGGTTCAACTGAAAGCATCATAGTATTATTTTGCTCTTTAAGGATAAAAGCTGGAGCTATCCTGGGAAGATAGGCCAGCTAGACTCCAACCGACTTGCTTGGGCACTCAGCAGGCCTGTGTTGTCCCAACTCCACACATTCAAAAGAAAGATCTGGCCCTGGACTGGCTATTGGGAGATCACCTCTAAGCCCTTGGGATATACTGCCAGCTAAGAGCATCTCTGTTTATCTGGGACCTTGGGCCATCCCAGATAGTCTATGCTAACGATATGATTCATCTTCGGGGCCCTGGGCCACACTGTATCAGTTCGACCTCTAGAGAGGTTGGAGCTGAGGTATTAATATCAGCTGCATGAAGACTCCATGCCCACATGACCCATCCCCAATAAAAACCCTGGACATTAAGGCTCAATGAGCTTTACTGGTTGGCAAGATTTCATGCATGTTGTCACACATTTTTGCTGGGAGAATTAAGCACTATTCACATGACTCCACTGGGAAAGGACAACTGGAAGCTTGCACGTGGTCTCTCCTGGACTCTACCCTATGTACCTTTCTGCCTTTGCTGATTTTAATCTGTATCCTTTCATTGTAATAAACCATAACTAAGAGTGTAACAGCTTTTCTGAGTTCTGTGAGTCCTTCCAGCAAATCATGTATATATACACACACACACACACATATATACACACATATATGTACACACATATATATACATATATATACACATATATATACACACATATATACACACATATATATACACATATATATACACACATATATATACATATATATATATATTTTTTTATGCTTTAAGTTCTAGGGTAAATGTGTGCAACATGCAGGTTTGTTACCACAATTCTAACGGAGCTTCATGTCTATGGGGAAATCCAATACTGTCCACCCCTCCTGGGCCTTTCCCTACAAGTCACATGCCAAACACATATTTTTAATTAAAACAAGATCATATAGAACAGTGGTTCTCAAAGTGTGGTCACCAGAGCAGCAGCAGCAGCTTGTAATTTGTAAGTGCAAATTCTCAGGCGTCCACCCCAGACCTACTGGGCCAGAAATTCTGAGAGTGGGCCCAGCAATCTGTGTTTTCTTTCTTTATTTTACCTATTTATTTTTGAGACAGGGTCTCACTCTGTCACCCAGGCTGGATTGCAGTTGTGCAATCACAGCTCGCTGCAGCCTTGACCTCCCAGGCTCAAGCGATCCTTCTACCTCTGCCTTCCCGAGTAGCTGGGACCACAGGCGTGCACCACCATGCCTGGCTATTTTTTTTTTTTTTTGTAGACACTGGGTCTCACTCTATTACCCAGTCTGGTCTCAAGCTACTGGGCTCAAGCAATCCTCCCACCTCGGCCTCCGAGAGTGCCAGGATTACAGGTATAAGTCACTACACCCAGTCTGTGTTTTAATCAACATAGGTTGATTCTGACACACAACAGAATTTGAGAACCACTGATACAGAAAAACTTACCCGGGGACTGGCTTTTCTTACTCTACAACAAACCACGAACACACTTCCACATCTCCAAACATTCTTTCCTGCACATTTAAATGGCCGTGTAAGGCTGTTGCTGTGCCACCGTTTTATTTACCATACCCTATTATTGTTCTTTTAGTTCCAGTTTTCATTTGTGATAAACATTTTCTTGGTGTGCTTTTTTCATTTTATTATATGCTTTCTCACAAATGCATAATACATACTAGTAGCCAAGAGTGTTTTTCTCTTGAGGACCTAGACAACCTGCAGAAATTAATAGAATAGAAGGCCTAATCTCAGGGGTGGAGCAGGCAGGGATATATTCTGTGTGGATCTGTCTTTCCCTCCCTTCACATAAAAGCAAGGGAATTCTCAGAGCAGTTGTGTCTGTGCTAACTTTGCTTTAATGAAAAGTCAGAAGGAGAAACATAGTGATTATAAGGAAGACATTTCAGAACAAGATCATGTATTGAGATGGGTGATGACAACACACAGACACAACTCACCAGACTGGAGGTTTCAGTTTGAACAACCTCTCTGCTGCCTGGACGGCTTTCCCGACATCATGGGCCAGCATGCTGACGCTGAAGAACTGACCCACATCCCAGTAATTGTTCATTTTCTCCAAGCTCCCTTTTCTTCCCAACAAACTGTTCAGCCGGACACCTTAAGAATTTGAATTTTTGATAGTCAGAATAATCTTTTTTAGTTTCTGTCATACTGAGGATAAGCAGGTATTTTATTTTGGCTGCTGTCTCAGGTGTGCTATAGGAAAAGTAACTGATTGTTCCTTTTGAAATATAATTCTAGTAGTACGGGCACGGTGGCTCACGCCTGTAATCCCAGCACTTTGGGAGGCTGAGGTAGGCGGATCACTTGAGGTCAAGAGTTCGAGACCAGCCTGTCCACCATGGTGAAACCCCATCTCTACTAAAAATACAAAAAAAATTAGCTGGGCGTGGTGGTGGGCACCTGTAATCCCAGCTACTCAGGAGGCTGAGGCAGGAGAATTGCTTGAACTCGGGAGGCGGAGGTTGCAGTGAGCCAAGATCACACCACTACACTCCAGCCTGGGCAACCGAGCAAGACTCTGTCTCAAAAAAAGAATAGAAATATAATGATATAATGCTAGTTATTTCAACATAACTTTTAATGCCAAACTTGTATAATCAAAGCAACAACATCTGCAATAATAAGCAGCTTTACCTATTTTCCTTAGTTCCAAGGAAGTTTCAAATTGTTGTCCAGCAACAATCAGCAAAACTGCAAGATTAATTCCCGAATAGAGGGATGACTGGAGTTCAAACCCTTTGCGATACCTATAATTACAGAACCACCAAAGTATTATTATATTACAACAAAAAATGTTTAAATAATGGTATAAACCAACTTTCTCATGAAAAGTTTTCTTTCTCTAAATTTGTTGTTGCCCATTCCCCTCGCCTCCCACCACCACCTTTACCAACAGCCACATGCAGCTCTCTAGTAACTTTAAAAATGTCTTAATAGGCCAGGCACCGTGGCTCATGCCTGTAATCCCAGCACTTTGGGAGGCCGAGGCACGTGGACCACTTGAGGCCAGGAGTTTAAGGCCAGCCTGGCCAAAACGGTGAAACCCCATCTCTGCAAAAAAACTACAAAAATTAGCTGGGTGTGGTGGTGTGTGCCTGTAATCCCAGCTACTCGGGAGGCTGAGGCAGGAGAATTAGCTTGAACCCGGGAGGTGGAACCTGCAGTGAGCCAAGATCGTGCCACTGCACTCCAGCCTGGGTGACAGAGCGAGAATCTGTCTCCAAAAAAAAAAAAAAAAAAAAAAAAAGTCATAATAGCAACACAGTAACTTACACTAGGGAGTTTTAATTTTTTTTTGCTCATAGGATTTTTATTATAAAAGCCTCAGGGACTATATAAAATAGGGAAATCATCATGAAGTACACAAAAGAAATTTAAAATCAATTCTAATCCTACTCCCAAAAGATCACCACGATTTGATGTCTGGAGTACAGTGGTGTAATCATAGTTCACTGCAGCCTGAAACTCCTGCATCTAAGCAATCCTTCCACCTCAGCCTCCCAAGCAGCTAGGACCACAGGTTTGTGCCATCATGCACACACCTATGCATTTTTTTTTTCATTTTTTAAAACACAGGGTCTCACTCTGTCACCCAGGCTGGAGTGCAATGGCACAATCATAGCTGCAGCCTTGAACCCCTGGGCTCAAGCGATCCTCCCACCTCAGCCTCCCAAGTAGCTGGGATTACAGACATGAGCCACCCTGCCCACCTAAACCTTGTTTCTAAAGTTGGATTCCAATTATGCATTGAGTATTTTTTATTACATCGAAATGGCATCAATGGTAGGCCATTTCTCTGCAAGCTGTTTGTTTGCTTTTAACAATATGGAGTTGTTTTTTCATGCAGGAAGCCGTATTGCCAAAATCCTGGATCCCAAATAACTATAGGAGCAGTGGCAAAGTGAGGCCAGGGACAGGGATCTACTATATCAGGATAAGCAACAGGATACAAAATTGGGAATCCTATTTTTACACCAAAGGTTAACAGTGACATTTTCACTCTCATCTTTTTCTATACATGAAAAGTTCATTTCTGTTCTATGAACGAGTATGAAAATTATAGGCAGGAAAAAAAGAACTCAATGAAGTAATGACACAAATGTCTTTAAGTGGCACCATTTATACCAAAGACTTGCTAGTAGTAATTTTGTCACTTATGTGATGGCAAGAGAATTCAACAACAAAATATTAATTCTTGAAAGGAGAAGTTATCATTGAAGTCAGTTAAAATATGGCATTATCAATTCTGAGGCATAATACAAATACCCTCAGATCAGAGGACACCGAGAAAGTCCTTCCTACCTTAGTCAACAAAATTCAACCCTTTTTTTCCTGTGTGTTTTGGGAATTTTAAATTCTACATCCTTCTAGATGTGACTGTTTTATTTTCTTCTACTATGAAAAGTCATACTGAGAAGAGGGCAGAAAGGGTTGCTCCTCCAGAAGTCAAGCAGGCCCAACTTAGGGGCAGAGAAGATCTGAACTCCAGGCAGGACCATAGTTCCAGATTCACCACTAACCAGCCCTGTGGTCTTGGACCAGCTCCCTACCTCCCTGAGCCATATGCTCCGTGTCTGCACTGGAGAGTGTGGGTTAGATGATATCCAAGATAGATCTTATCCACAGCCACCACGCCCTGAGCAGAAGACGAAGCTTCATTTGCTTCTGCACCTACCGCCACCACCTTCTGAAGCCGCTGGAGAAAAACTCCTAGGACTTTCTTGAAGGAACCAAAGGCAGTGATTTTCTGACCTGGGGACTGAATTCCCCACCACCATAGTGGGAACACAGTTTTCTGTTTTGGCTTTACCAAACATTAACTTCCCTTCGATACCCTGAGTGACTCCTCTCCACCACATGGTGCATTAGGAACTACTGGAAATTTAAAAAAAGAAAATGAGGTCATTATGTTCCAAGGACTTACACTATGGTGGAAGGGAATAAGATCTACACATAATTAGTGACAATGTAAGCAAGAATATGGTATCTTAAAATCACACAAATTCAAGTCTGGAGGAACTCACAGAAGACATATAGGGCTATCTCACCTAGATACTTGAGATATGGCATAAAAATAAAGAGAAATGAGGCCGGGTGTGGTGGCTCACGCCTGTAATACCAGCACTTCGAGAGGCCGAGGTAGGTGGATTGCCTGAGGTCAGGAGTTTGAGACCAGTCTGGCCAACATGGTGAAACCCCATCTCTATTAAAAATACAAAAAAATTAGCCGGGCATGGTGGCATGTGCCTGTAATCCCAGCTATTCAGGAGGCTGAGGCAGGGGAATTGCTTGAACCAGGGAGGTGGAGGTTGCAGTGAGCCGAGATCACACCACTGCACTCCAGCCTGGGTGACAGAGTGAGACTCAGTCTCAAAAAAAGAAAAAAAAAGGGCAAGAGAAATGAAACAGCAGTGATTTGGAAAGGGAGCCCTCAGCATAGAAAACAGGAACAGAGACAGGAGTTTGGAAAACTCCTTAGGAACTACAGTTTAGTTGGACACACACCAGGTAGTGGGAAACAAGGCTAGAGGTAGGTTGGAGAAAGTGTTCAGGACACCTAGAATGGTGATCTGAGAGTCTGAATTTTTATATAGCAGGGAGCAGGGAGCCATGGTGGGTTCTTGAGCTTTAGGAAGAATAAGCTATAAATCTGTGAAGGATAGACTGAGCAGACAGCAAGCAGGGAGTCTACTTGGGTACTGTTAGAACATTCCTGGCAAGAAAGTTAAAAAGAAAATGGCAGTGACTGGGGGCAGTGGTGATGGGAAAGGACTGGCAAGCAGTGAAAGAAGGCTCGCAGAAGGGCTGCAAATGGGGCCTGACTGGACGGGGAGGTAAGTGAGCAAAATGAATCCAACACTGACTGAAAGTTTAGACCTAGGAGGGTAGAGAATAGTAGTAAGAAAGTAAGACATTGGAAGCCATACCTTGTGGAGAAGAGTAAATGACTTCAGCCTTCAAAATGTTGAGTCTGAAATATCAACATCATCTTGAGGTAGAACAGGTGGACAAAGGGGGGGAGGTGTAAGGCCATCACTTAGGATGTTGGGTTGGAGAGCTCCAGCTAAGGGTCCCTAGGTGTGAGAGTGGCTGGGATTGTCAGAGAAGTAAGTGTGGATGGAGAGAAGGTGGGGAGGACAGAGCCTCCTGTGTGTATGAAAGGAAGAGAGAGAGAGAGAGAGAGAGAGAGAGAGAGAGAGAGAGAGAGAGAGAGAGAGAGAGAGAGGAAGCAGTTAGAATTGAATGAAAGCAGAACAGCAATGTCAAGAGCTCTTATGATGGAAATGAATGATGTGGGCCTGTTGGTTCCACCTTCGGAATATATCCTGCATCCAACTTTCTCAACATTTTTGTCCCCACCACCCTGGCTCAAGCCACCACCAGCTCTCCCCTGAATTACTGCTATATTCTCCTGTTCCCTGCTTCTGTCCTTGTCCCTGTGATAGACTGTTTAATGGCCACAAATTCCTCCCATCGCAATATGCATGCACCTTTGCAATGCAACTTTGCTATTCCTCCTAGCCAGAGGTGGAGCACATTCCTCCACCCTTTTGAATGTGGGCGGACCTTGTGATTTGCTTTGACCAATAGCATGTGGCAGAAGTAACCACGTGTGAGTTCCCGAACCTAAGCCTCTAGAGGCTTTGCTGCTCCCTTGTTCACTCTCTTAGAGTTCTGCATACCAGGTAAGAAAGCTGGTCTACCAGGATTAGAACCACATGGTGGAGAGCTAAGGTACAGTATCAGTAGCCAACACCAGCTGCCAAATGTGTACGGGGTCATTTGGATCTTCCAGCCACACCTGACCCTACAGCTGACTTCAGTTTTAGAAGCCAGCCCAGGTGAAGCCAGCAGAAGAAGTGCCTGGCAAAGCCACAGAATCATGAAAAATCATAATCATTGCTGTTCGAAGCTGCTAAGTTTTGGGGTTGTTACGCAGCAAGTGATAGCTGATACACTCCCTAAAATATATTCTTTGCATAACAGTGAGTACTCTTGTTAAAATGCATGTCCAATCTTGTCACTCCTCTGCTCAAACCCTCCATTTGATGTTCCTTCTCACTCAGAGCAAGAAGGTCTTACCCTCTTCCTGTTTCATGTTGCTCTCCACTCACCCCTTGCTTAGTGCTGACCATCCTGGAGTGTGCCTGCCATGCTTCATCCTCAGAGTCTCTGCCCTTGCTGTTTCCTCCACCAAGAACACTTTCTCCAGTTATCTGTGAAGTTCACTCCCTTATCACTTTTCTATCTTTAGGCACCTTCACTGACTACCCTATTTAAAATTGCAGACCACCCCTCCGAGCCCTCCTTTATCCCCTTCCCTGCTTAACCTTTCCCCATAGCCCTCAGATGACATCCTAATGTGTCACTTTCTTTAACTTCCCTCACCAGCAATGCAAGGCCCCCAAGGGCAGGATTCACGTCCGTTGTGTCTGTATCCCCACCACCTAGAAAAGTTTCTGGCACACAGTAAGCCATCACTGAACATTGTTAAATAAATGAATGAATAAGTGAATGAATGAACAGATCACTGGGAAGATGATGCCCTGGTGGTGGTGGACAAGGCTCTGGAAGTGGGAGCTCGGAAGGAGTGTGCTGGGCCTCCTTCTTGGCCCATAAACAAGTGTACCTGTGGGAAGAGTGTGACCAGTAGAAAACCCTGTTTCTCATGGTTTTCTCTCAAAAAGGGAATCTGAAAATTCCCAGACCACATTTACTACAAATGTTTGCTCCCTGCCAACAGACAGACATATACATAAGGAAGAGATGCACATCCTTAGCCTATGCGATTCTGTTCCTTGAAGAGATGCAAGTGCTCATAACTCGGGCTGAGGGTTTACCACTCAATGGCGCTGTCGCGGCTGGTGTCATCTTTGCAGTCTGAATCCAAGAAGATGTCCTTGTAGATCCTCCCACACAGGCAGAACATGTCGGGGCCCGGGTGATCACAGCTCTGCAGAACCTGGAGCATGATCTGCAGAGCCTTCTCACGGTCACCTGTGCTGTTTCTCCTGAAAGATAGATGTTATAAGGTCACAAATGAATCAATCAAGACAATGGAGTAGAGGCCAGGTGCAGTGGCTCCCACCTGTAATCCCAGCACTTTGGGAGGCCGAAGCGGGTAGATCATTTGAGGTCAGGAGTTCAACACCAGCCTGGCCAACATGGTGAAAACCTGTCTCTACTAAAAATACAAGTAGCCGGGTGGTAGTGGCCCACGCCTGTAATCCCAGCTACTTGGGAGTATGAGGCAGGAGAATCACTTGAAACTGGGAGGCAGAGGTTGCAGTGAACCAAGATCATGCCACTGTACTCCAGTCTGGGCGACAGAGTGAGACCCTGCTTTTTTTTTTTTTTTTTTTTTTAAAAAGACAGTGAAATACATATACGCATTCATCATGCTGAAAGACAGGTGCAAGGATGCTGTACTTTAACAGAAAAATTATTTCTAAATAATAGTTTTCATTTTCCAATGTAGCCACTGCTTAAGATCCACACCAGTAAACCTTATACAATTACACTCAGTCCCTACTTGATTCTATCTCAACAAGTAAATCATAAGGAAATGAAAAAATAAGTGAAGAGGAAACCTATATAATAAAAAAGACTTAAGAGTCATATCAACTAAATGCAACATACATAGTCTGGACTGTGATTCAAACAAATCCACTATAAAACATATGAGGCTGGGTACAGTGGCTCACACCTGTAATCCCAGCACTTTGGGAGGCCAAGGCGGGTGGATCACTTAAGGTCAGGAATTCGAGACCAGCCTGGCTAACATGGTGAAACCCTGCCTCTACAAAAATTAGCCAGGTGTGGTGGCAGGCACCTGTAGTCCCAGCTACTTGGGAGGCTGAGGCAGGAGAATCACTTGAACCCAGGAGGCAGAGGTGGCAGTGAGCCGAGATTGTGCCACTGCACTCCAGCCTGGGTGACAGAGTGAGACTCTGTCTCAACAAAAAAAAAAAAAAGAAAGAAAAGAAAAGGAAAGACAATTGGGAAAATTTGAGCACTGACAGAAAAACTGTTAATTTTTAGGTATGATAATATAAAACCTAAAAACTGTTCATTTTTAGGTATGATAATGTAATCATGACTATGTTTTGTAAGTGCCCTTAACCTTTTTTTTTTTTTTGAGACAGTCTCGCTTTGTCGCCCAGGCTGGAGTGCAGTGGCATGATCTCAACTCATTGCAACCTCCACCTCCTGAGTTCAAGCAATTCTTGTGCCTCAGCCTTCCAACGTAGCTGGGATTACAGGCATGCACCACCACGCCCAACTAATTTTTGTAATGTTAATAGAGGTTTCACCATGTTGGCCAGGCTAGTCTTGAACTCCTGACTTCAGGTGATCCACCCGCCTTGGCCTCCCAAAGTTCTGGGATTACAGGCGTGAGACACCGTGCCCAGCCAAGTGTCCTTAGCTTTTAAAGATACACACTTAAATATCTGGGGATAAAATGGTATGTCTTTGCTTTGTAATAAATCCAGCATTGGGGTATAAAAGAGTGGGTGGGGGCAAAGGGGAACAAAATTGGCCATGCAATGATAATTATCAAAGTGGATATGGGGTAGATGGGGGTTTATTATTGTGATGGTTAATTTTATGTGTCAGCTTGACTGGGCTAAGGAAGACCAGAAAGCTAGTAAAACGTTATTTCTGGGTATGTCTATGAGGGTGTTTCTGGATAAGATTAGCATCTGAATCAAGAGTCTGAGTAAAGAAGACCACCCTCACCAATGCAGGTGGCATCACGCAATCCATTGAGGGTACCAAGAGAACAAAAAGGCCAAGGAAGAGTGAATTTTCTTTTTTTGAACTGGGAAATTCATCATCTCCTGCCCTTAGACATCAGAGTTCCTGGATCTTGGACCTTCTGGCTTCAGGACTTACCCCAACAGCATCCCTGGTTCTCAGGCCTTTGGACTCAGACCAAATCACACCACAAGCATTCCTGGTTCTCCAGCTTGCATGGGACTTGCCAGCCTCTAGAATCACCTGAGGCAATTCTCATAATCCATCTCTTCCTCTAGATCTCTATACATCCTATTGGTTTGTTCCTCTGGAGAACCCTGCCTAAGATAATTACACTATTCCCTACTTTTAAATATATTTGTGATTTTACATGATAAAAACAAAAACAAAAACAAAACAGGTACCCATCCTGACCCAACGATTCCACTTCTAGAATCTGTAATATGTACATCTTTTTTCAAGAATTTTTTGAACAAAGATGTTTGTTATGGCACTGCTTGTAATAGTAATGAACTGGAGATGACTCAGATGTCCATTAACGGAAGAACAGCAAAATATATTTTGCAACAACCAGACTACAGAATAACGTAATCATTATAAAGGGACAGATCCACGTGTAATTACCCAGAGGAACATCCGTAACAGTAACATCTCATGGAAAAAACCTGAACTAAATGAAAAGCATGACCCCATTCTTTGAAATAAACACATTCACATGTTAATGTACATAGACAAAAGTCTGTAAGGATACATATTAAAATGTTCAGAAAATCATTGCTGGGATTTATACAAGGTGGTCCTGGGTATATTTTATTAATAACCATTCTAATAAGTGAATAAATTATTCTTTTTAATTTCTTGGTAATAGGTTTTTTTTGTTTTTTTTTTGAGATGGAGTCTCACTCTGTCACCCAGCCTGGAGTGTGGTGGCACAATCTCAGCTCACTGCAACTCTGCCTCTCAGGTTCAAGCGATTCTTCCACCTCAGCCTCCCAAGTAGCTAGGATTACAGGTGTGCACCACCACACCCAGCTAATTTTTTAATTTTTTTTTTTTTTTTTAAGGAGAAATGGGGTTTAACCATGTTGGCCAGGCTGGTCTTGAACTCATGATCTCAGGTGATCCACCCGCCTCGGCCTCCCAAAGTGCTGGGATTACAGGCGTGAGCCACTGCGCCCGGCCACAATAGGCTCTTTTATGTTTTCTTTCCTGAGGACATGCACCTCAAAAACTACTGCATCATCCCAGATGTCAAATTAGTATCTAAAATGGCCAGACTTTCTCAACCGGGGTTCCATGACAGAATTAATCCCTGGAAAAAATTATTTGATTATTTGAGTGACTATTTTTTCAGTGCTCCCAAGGATGGTACGTAGCCAGCCTCATTCCGGATGCAGAAGAGAAATTCAATCACTTCATACAATAGATGCCAGCGGGCATTAGGACTTAATTCTCTTGTGGAACCCAACCTGGGTTGGAAAGGGCTAATCTAGACACTTGGCGACCTTCTGGAAACCTGTAATAATTAAGCCTGTATTTTGACTCGGACTTTTTCCATTTTCTACCTTGATCCTGTTCTAACATATTTTATCTTTCCTCTTTTTGTCATATAGAATCTAATTGAACTAACCTGCAAACTGGATCTCTTGTTGCACAGCCATTGTATAATATTCTTTAATTTTTAAGAGCCAACAGATACCAACTCAAATTTACTAGAGCATTTAAATAATTTCTAATGTCTGTGGCAAGAATATGAAAAAGATTGAAACTTTTATGAGGCACAACATTTCTACATCTGTAATTAGCCAACTTTTGAGGTGTGAAATATTCATGATTCTGAAAAGAATGTACTAAACTCAATAAACTCACTTGAATGCTTTTTTTTTTTTTTTCTCTTTGAGACAGGGTCGCCCAGGCTGGAGTGCAGTGGTACGATCTCGGTTCACTACAGCCTCAACCTCCCAGGCTCAAGCGATCCACCCACCCCAGCCTCCCAAGTAGCTGTGACTACAGGCACGTACTACCACACCTGGCTAATTTGTGTAGTTTTTGTAGAGACGGGGTTTCACCATGTTGCCCAAGCTAATGCCTAATTAGTGATATGAGCTCAGGTTTGTTTGGATTTTAGTTTTTTGGACCAGTTACATCAAGATTTCCCTTGAATTTTCTCATTAACTTGAAATTTACCCTTGTTACTCAAAACAAAAAGTCTTTTGAGTATAAACAAAACAAAAATCAAACATTTGAAAAAATTAAAAGCAAAGAGATTTTCAGCTTAAAAGCCACTTTAAGACAGGTGTTAAATAGCTAATCCCTTTAGTGGTTAATAATCAGCTTTTGGATCTGCTTATCATTTCCAGATCCCAAGGTATCCAAGAACAAGCCTACAGATAAAAACTCCTATGTTGAATCAGCCAGCAACATCTGTTTCTGGCAATTAAGGCCATTTCACAATTAAGAGAAGGAAACTTTGACAGTGGGTCTGAATCTTGGCTGCATATTAGAATCACCTGGGAGGCTGGGCGTGGTGGCTCACGCCTGTAATCCCAGCACTTTGGGAGGCCAAGGCGGGCAGATTACCTGAGGTCAGGAGTTCGAGACCAGCCTGGCCAACATGGTGAAACCCTGTCTCCACTAAAAATACAAAAATTAGCAGGGCATGGTGGCAGGTGCCTGCAGTCCCAGCTACTCGGGAGGCTGAGATAGGAGAATCACTTGAACCCAGGAGGCGGAGGTTGCAGTGAACCGAGATCGCACCATTGTCCTCCAGTCTGGGCAACAAGAGGGAAACGCCATGTCAAAAAAAAAAAAAAGAAAGAAAGAAAAAAAAAATTCAATCACCTAGGAGCTTAAATCTGAATCTCTGGAGACCCAGACATCAGTGCTTCTCATGCTGGACTTTCTGCGTCAGTGGGTTGGCATCATTGCTGAATCCACCACTCCCTTCTCACTCCTTGTCCTATTTCACATACATGTGCATTTGACAACCGTGCACCCCTTCCTCCTTGGACTACTTTTATCATCTGATTTGCAGGACACCACACTCGCCCGATTTTCTCCTACTTTAGTCCATCTCTCTGATCTTTTCACATTGGAGTGTCCCTTGGCAGTACCCTTGGACATTTCATCTTTCTTGGTAACTACCCTAGATCCCTTGATCATCCATTGCCATGACTTTTCAAACCATCCATATTTTGATGACTTCCAAATTTCTATCTCCAGCCTAGGCCTCTCCCCTAAAATCCAGACTCACATATCCAACTGCCCTCTCAGCAACTCATTTGCATGTTGATACCTCAAACTTAACGTGTCCCAAATCAAACTTTTTTTTGTCCCCCTCAGACAGAGTCTCAACTCTGTCATCCAGGCTGGAATGGTGTGATGCATTCTCAGCTCACTGCAACCTCTAACTCACAGGCTGAAGCGACTCTCATGCCTCAGCCTCCCAAGTAGCTGGGATTACAGGCGTGCACCACCAGGCCCAGCTAATTTTTGCATTTTTAGTAGAAACAGCGTTTAGCCATGATGACCAGGGTGGTCTTGAACTCCTGGCCTCAAGTGATCTGCCCACCTTGGCCTCCTCAAGTGCTGGGATTACAAGTGTGCACCACCATGGCTGGCCCCAAATCAAACTCTTGATTGTCCCATCAAACCTGTTCTTCTACAGTCTTCCTCTTCTTGTTAAATGGCCAATCCATTCTTCCTCTTACTCAGGCCAAAAACTTTGCAGTCATGTTTGGTTCCTCTAACACCATTTATTGGACCAGGAGATTCCACTGGCTTTTATTTCAAACTACATCTGAAATTGACCCACTCCTCATAAAGCCCACCCTTACCACTCTGGTCCAAGCCATGTCATTTCCTGCTTCCACACTTACCTCTCTACTATCTAGTCTCAACACAGAAGTCATAGTGATCCTCTGCGCTGTAAGGCAGGTCATGTCATCCTTCGACTCAAAACTCACCAGTGGCTCCCATCTTAGAGCAAACACCAATTTTCTTCCAATGGCCTGTAAGGATCTACAAGATGTGGTCCTAGTTATTTCTCCAACCTCATCTCTTACCACTCCTGTGCCCCGATCACCTACTATGCTCCAGCTACACAAGCTTCCTTGCTGTTCCACATGCTGATCCCTCTACCTGAAATGATCTTCCCCCACATACCACATGGTATGTTCCCTTGCCTCTTTCTGATCTTTGCTCCATGTCACTTTCTAATAGGTGTGGTCTTCTCTGAGCACTCAACTTAAAATTACAATCTTCCCATCCTACTTACTGGCTACCCTATCACCCTAAACTGTTTTAATACATTTAGGTTTTTTTTATTCTATCTCCCCATTTTAGAATGCAAGCTCCGAGAGGGTGGAGACTTTTTGGGTCTGATTTGTTAACTACTGTACTTAGAACTGGATCTGGCACAAAGTAGGTGATCAATAAGTGTCTGTTAAATGAATGACTAACTGAGCAGTTATTGTAGTGACATGGAGAGATCTCTAAGCATCGATTACTATGTGAAAAAAACAACAGTATACCTCCTGTGTGGTCCTATAGTTTAAAAACTCTGCAGTATGACATATTTTCACAGTATGTAAAGTACATAGAAAATTGTCTCCAAGGATATTACACCAAACTGACAAGACAGGTTACTTCCGGAATATGGACGGGACAAGAGATTAGAGTTTAGAGGGATAACTGCTTTAAATGGATTGTTTTTCAGTTTTTCACAGTAATATACAAACATATTCATCTATTATCACTTTTGTTTTTTTGAGGCAGGGTCTTGCTCTGTTGCCCAAGTGGAATGCACTGAGTGGTGTGATCACGGCTCACTGTAGGCTCAAGCTCCTGGGCTCAAGTGAAACTCCTGCCTCAGAGTGCTGGGAATACAGGCACGCATGACCACACCTAGCTTTTATTTTTATTTATTTATTTGGTAGAGATGGGGTCTCACTATGTGGCCCAGGCTGATCTCAAACTCCTAGGCTCAAGTGATCCTCTCGCCTTGGCCTCCCAAAGTGCTGAGACTGCAGGCATGAGCCAACACATCTATTACTTATGTAAAAAATGCACAGAATAAAAACACAACACTGGATTGGGAATCATATAGAGCTAGATCCTGGCTATTTTCACACCATTTATTACCCAATTGAATTTTGAGGAGGGCACTTAGCCCTTCTGTGCCTCAGTCCTTCACCTGAAGTGTCTGACTTTGCTTACCTCAAAGCATTGCCATGAGCTATGGGTGTGCCAGAGCACTGACTTGCCATCAACCATCCTGTCTCCCTGGCCCTCTTTTCTATACTGTGTGTCTGTAAGAGGAAATTCATAGGGCAAGAGACAAATAGAATCCCAATAAATCCTCCTTCTAAGCCAGCCCTGAGCTTTAACACACAAAAGGTCTCATTAGACCAGTGTCCTTTCTAGAATAAACTTTGTGTTGGGTCACCTGTCAAAAACCTTACAAGAGACTTCTGCTTCCAATTAAGATGTAGAAGAATGTGAAAGGTCTTCACTCCTGTAGTGACAATAAAAACCCCAACAAATGTAAAAATCACACTGAGTCCGGGCACAGTGGCTCATGCCTGTAATCCCAGCACTTTGGGAGGCCGAGACGGGCAGATCACTTGAGGTCAGGAGTTTGAGACCAGTCTGGCCAACATGGTGAAACCCTGTCTCTACAAAAATACAAAAATTAGCCAGGTGTGGTGGTAGGTGCCTGTAATCCTAGCCAGTCGGGAGTCTGAGGCAGGAGAATTGCTCAAACCCAGAAGGTGAAGGTTGCAGTGAGTAGAGGTCGTGCCACCGGCCCTCACTCTCCCTCTCACCATATGAGCTGCCTGCTCCGCCTTCACCTTCTGCCATGAATAAAACCTGCCTGAGACCTCCCCAGAAGCTGAGCAGACACCAATGCCATGCTTGTACAGTCTGCAGAACTGTGAGCCAATTAAACCTGTTTTCTTTATAAATCACCCAGTCTCTGGTATTTCTTTATAGCAATATGAGAACGGCCTAACACAGGGATATAATATTCTATATCTTGATTGTGGTGGTAGTTTCATGGGTGTGTTTATTTGGCCAAACTCATCAAATCGTGCACTTAAAATTTTAGTTTATTGTATGGTGGTTTTTTGAGACAGGATCTCACTGTCACCCAGGTTGGAATACTGTGGCATGGTCATAGCTCAACCACAGCCTTCAACTCCCAGCCTCAAGCAATCCTCCCATCTCAGCCTCCTGAGTAGCTGGGACTATAGGCGTACACCACCAAGGCAAGATAATTTTTTCATTTTTATTTTATAGACAGAGTCTCACTGTGTTGTCCAGGCTGGTCTCAAACTCCTGGCCTCAAGTGATCCTCCCACCTCGGCCTGCCAAAGTACTAGGATTACAGGCATGAGTCACAGTGCCCGGCCTATGGTATGTAAGTTACACCTTATTAAAGCTGACTTTAAAAATACTAGAAACTGAGCAGTAATTCTGAATAGTGTCCTACTGGGGCAATCACTGGGGTCTGCCCTCAAATGCATTCTTGGCCTTTCTGCAGCCCTGCTTTGTGTTACAGGGGAGCTGACTCCTCTAGGCTGCTGTGCTCAGCTGACAGCAACCGGTGGGAGGCACTGGGGGCAGAGGGTGAGGCCCTGGAGGATGGGATGGAAGAAGCCAGCGCAGTTTCTTCTCCCACTTTTTCTTGGTGTGCATGGCCACTCCAGCAATAGCCACATCTCTTTGTTAGACCCAGCTCCCACCAGGCTGGCTCACGATTGTTCCAGGTGATCCTGGCACCTGGGCTCTGGTAACATCACCTCTTCCCTGGGTCCCTCCAGCCAAGCGGGTGACAGCAGCTTCCTGCTGATGCTAACTTCAGGGCTGCCTCATCATTTCCGATTGGTTTGTCAGCTCTTCTATCACCTGTGTAACCAATTTCCTACATTAAGTTTCTTCTATTTTAAATACTTAGAGTGGTCTTTGTTTCCCGATTGGACCCTGACAAATACACACCTACCACAAGAAAGCAGGTGCCCTGCTCTGGCCAGATGCCTCGTATTTACATACATGGAAGGGAACAACTAGAAGCGACCTGTGTCTTAGTGTGAACAATGTTCAGAGTCAAATAAACGTACAGATCCGAATAGTTGTTTTTCTACTCTACAAATAGGACCCAGTTATGTATCAGGCACAATCACCATGAAATCATCCACCCTAGCTGCCATCATCCCAACCTTTCCCAGTCTCCTGGGATGGCAAAGCACCACCTGTGAAGGCCAGGGTCTACAGTGGGCTGATAGGCCCTCTGATGGGGCTGGGCATTTCCCAGGCTGGCTTTCCCATTCACACAAAGGCAGCAGGAGCTGAAGAGTGGCCTTGCCTGAACTCTCTGTCCTGCTCTGTGACATGTCACCAGGAATCTCCACGCTGATAGATCCAGTTAAACTCTACTCCTTATTTGCAAGTTGTAGCAGCATCACCAAGCCCCATTTCTTTTTTTCCTGGGCACTCAGCCAGACCACATTTCCCAAGTTCCCTTGAAGTGAGATTAGGACACGAGACTGACTTGTGGCCGATGAAACATGGAAAGAAGTAATGAACATCACTTCCTGAGCAGGCTCCTACAACCCTCTCTAGTACAGTCAAAAGTGCAAACAACTCAAATGCCCATCAACTGATGAATTAATAAAGTGTGGCCTATCTGTACAATGGAATATTAAGCCAAAAAAAGGAATGAAGTCCTGACACATGATACCACATGGATGAACCTTGAAGACAGTATGCTAAGGAAGCCAGACACACACAAAACACATATTGTATGATTCCATTTATATGAAATGGCCAGAACAGGCAAAGCCATAGAGACAGAAAAGAGACTAGTGTTTTCCTCAGGCTAGAGAGTGAGGCGGAAGAAGAGGGGGTACCCATTAACAGGTTGCCAAAATGGATCAGTGATTGCTTAGGAATAGGGGGGGAAGAATTGAGGGAAGCTGGGAAGTGGGGTTAAGTGGTAATGGGTATGGGCTTTTGGTGGCGGGGGGAGGATGATGAAAACATTCTAAAACTGATCGTAGTGATGGTTGTACAACTCCGAATATGCTAAAAAAACCCACCGACTTGTACACTTTAAATGGGTTGTTTTTTGGGTCTTTGAGACAGGGTTTGGGTCCGTCGTCCAGGCTGGAGTGCAGTGGCACGATCTCACTGCATCCTCCGACTCCAGGGCTCAAGCCATCCCGAGTAGCTGGGAATATAGGCATGCACCATAATGCCTGGTTAATTTTTTTGTATTTTTTTGTAAAGACAGGGTTTTGCCATGTTGCCCAAGCTAGTCTCGAACTCCTGAACTCAAGCCATCCGCCTGCCTTGGCCCCGCAAAGTGCTGGGATTACAGGTGTGAGCCAATGCATCCAGCCAAAATGGGTTAATTGTATGGTATGAGAATTACATCTCAGCAAAGCTGTTCCAAACACAGATACAAAACCTCTCTAACAAGTCACCATGCTCTTTTCCTATCATCTGGCTGAAAGGAGATCTGAGGATCCAGGAGAGGGCAGAGCCTCAAGATGTAAGGAGACTGAGTTCACCAAGAAATCACCTGAAGAAGAGACTGCCCAGCCAGGATACATCCACATTGGAATAGTGCATGAGTGAAAAGAAACTTCCATCATGTGAAGTCACTGAAATTGTGGGGCTGTCTGTTACAACAGTTACACTAGCCTAATACACAAGTCAACACCACCGAGGCGGCAGGGGTTCCCTCGGTCAGGAAGATCTGTTCCCCTCTGAGTTTTTATCAAATCCCTTTTTTAGCAGACACCAGGGATTCTCACGCTAGGAAGACTTCCATCACCACTGACCCTGACCTAGCCCATGTGGACTCCTCTACTTTTCTGCATTCCCTGCTTTGGGCCACACCCTACTTCAATGGTTATCTTTGGGTAGTGGTATCAACGGTAATTATGTTTTTATATTTTTCTGTATACAATGAGTATGTCTGACTTGGATGTTTTTGTTTTTAAGCACAGACTCACATATAAATAAAGAAAATACAATACGTTTACTTTCTACTACCAAACTTTAAATTAACTGTAGCACCCAGACACTCATTATGTGGCTCTCTTCTAATACTATACCACAGTTGATCATTAGTCACTTCTTCATTCACTTACCCATTCAACAATTTTTTTTTTTTTTTTTGAGGCAGAGTCTCACTCTGTCGCCCAGATTGGAGTACAGTGGTGCGATCTCGACTCACTGCAACCTCTGCCTCCTGGGTTCAAGTGATTCTCCTGCCTCAGCCTCCCAAGTAGCTGGGACTACAGGCATGTATTACCATGCCTGGCTTTTATTTTATTATTATTATTATTATTATCATTATTATTATTATTATTATTTTGAGATGGACTCTGACTCTGTTGCCCAGGCTGGAGTGCAGTGACACAATCTCGGCTCACTGCAATCTCCACTTCCCGGGTTCAGTTGATTCTCCTGCCTCAGCCTCCCGAGTACCTGGGATTACAGGTGCGCACCACCACACCTGGGTAATTTTTTATATTTTTAGTAGAGACGGGGTTTCACCATGTTGGCCAGGCTGGTCTCAAACTCCTGACCTCAAGTGATCCACCTGCCTCGACCTCCCAAAGTGCTGGGATGACAGGCATGAGCCACCATGCCCGGCTTTTTTTTTTTTTTTTTTTTTTTTTTTTGAGATGGAGTCTCGCTCTGTCGCCCAGACTGGACTGCAGTGGCACAATCTCAGCTCACTGCAACTTCCGCCTCCCGGGTTCAAGTGATTCTCATGCCTCAGCCTTCTGAGTAGCTGGGATTACAGGTATGTGCCACCATGCCTGGCTCATTTTTGTATTTTTAGTAGAAACGGGGTTTTACCATGTAGACCAGGCTGGTCTCAAACTCCTGACCTCAAGTGATCTGCCTGCCTCGACCTCCCAAAGTGCTGGGATGACAGGCATGAGCCACTGCGCCCAACCCCATTCAACAAATCTTTACTGAGTGCCTACTCTGTGGGTGGCACAATGTTACTAGGCACTGGCTATATCACGGCCTAGTATACACCATGGCCCCTGCCCCCTCAGGCTTATAGTACAGCAGGAGGGATGATAGGTATTAAGCAAGTAAACACAGAAATGGAGTGCTATAAAGGGAAATAGCAAGCGCTATGAGAATGAGTAACAATAGGAACATCCTTTCCAGACTTGGTATTCTTTGCAACATCAGCTTTTCTCAGAAAGAGACACTGAAACTAGACCCTGAAGGATCATCAGCTTCAGTCAGGTAAGCAATGAGGGAACGAGTATTCTGGGCGGGGGCACAGCATATGCTAACATCCACAGCTGAGAACAGCCTGCTGCCCTAAGACTGAAGGCGGATGAGGGCAGCTAGAGAGGAGCAAACCGGGAGGGACGGGCCAGGCCACATGGAGTCATTTCTATTCCTCTTATGCCAAGTTTCTCAAAGGCTCTGCCTAATCAAGGAACTTCCTACTCCAAAGGACTCAGGAGCTATTCTCCAGGTTTCATATGTCACTCCAAATGGCTTTCCAGATTCTAGCTCCTCCCAAGAAGCCTTCCCCCAAATACCCAAGTAATAGCCATTTTTCCATAAATGTGCTCCACTTACCGGGCCATCCTCACACCCCCAGCTGCACAGGAAAACTAGCACATGGATAGTTCCTTCATGTCTCCTGAATCCTTTTCTGCACATTCCTGCCATCCATGAATAATCCCCCAAGGGCTGGCTGCTGGTGAGAACTTCCTTTCATCTGACTTGCTGAGCAACTATTCTTTAAAACCTCAAGAAAAGTGGCATTGTTGTTAAAATAATATTTAGTGCATGTCACCTAAGATCACCACGAGACCTATTCTAGTGTGCTGCTAAGAGTAAGCGTCTAGGTCATTTTTCATAGGAATTTTCTCATCTCATACAGGTCCTCTGATGGTTATCACTGATGTTTCCTTTGGCTTGATGGCAGAGCCAAGATCGCCATCTGTTCTTAAAGGGAGGGATCACAGGAGAGTTTTCTCTCTACAGTGATTCTCCTGAGCTGCTGTGAGGAGAAGCCAAATCTACGTGTGCAAAATCCAGAGATACGCCACTAAAACTTTTCTACCTGCTCAGAACGATATTCGTTGGCCGCTCAATCACGCATTAAAAAAATAGAACCACTTTTGAATAAAGAAATATCTCAAGGAAAAATCTTCAATACAGTAGCCAGGCAACTATGGCATCAATACCTCTGGTAACAGATCTCGAAGTGTACATATTTTAGATCATTCCTGGCATCTTCTGCAGAGCAGAACAAACTACAAGAAACTAAAATTAAATTCTCCCCAGAATTCTGTACAAAACAGAACACAGGAAGACTCAGAAGCTCCTCAGAAATTGATATTTCAAGAAAAACAGTTGATCAGAAAAAGAAGGCATTAGAGATTTAAAACAACATCAACTCCCACAAGGGCAGTAGGTGCGAAAGACACACAATGGCCTGATAGCATCCCACTGCCACTCACCTGTAGGCTTGATGGGTCCCAGTGCCACTGCCATTCTCCCTCTCCCCACTACCCCTGGGAGTGTCCCACCCCCAGGGCAGCCCTCAACCAGTGATGGCTGAGAGTTAGTGGATAGGTCCCCAGCTTCCTCGTCCACTGGATGAGACAACTCTATATGTTGTTCTATAGAGAATGTTCTATAAAGCCTCCCCAAACTCCTCAACACTATACAGCCTCAGTTTCCCACACAGTGGTCATCTGCTCATTAATATACCCTCTACTGCCTTTCTTCTTTTCCCTATCTCATTTCCCTGTCTCCCTTCTGAAACTTCCTAGGCTCATCTCCCAAATAAACTATCTGCCCCCAAATTCGTATCTCAGGGGCTGTTTTGGGGTGGGGGGAGACCTAGATTATGACTCTAGACATGTATTAAAAGTTTTTATTAAGAAAAATTAGGGGCCAGGCATGGTGGCTCATGCCTGTAATCCCAGCACTTTGGGAGGCTGAGGTGGGTGGATCACTTGAAGCCAGGAGTTCAAGACCAGCCTGGCCAACATAGTGAAACCTCGTCACTACTAAAAGTAGAAAAATTAGCCAGTGTGGTGACGGACGTCTGTAATTTCAGCTACTCGGGGGGCTGAGGCAGGAGAATCGCTTGAACCGAGGAGGCAGAGGTTGCAGTGAGCTGAGATCACACCACTGCACTCCAACCTGGGCGACAGAGTGAGACTCTGTCTCAAAAAAAAAAAAAAAAAAAATTAGTGATGGAAATATCAAACTAAAATTGCTTTTAAAATTAATCAGCCAAAGGCCAGGTGTAGCGGCTCACGCCTGTAATCCAAGCACTTTGGGAGGCTGAGGCGGGTGGATCACCCTCATGAGGTCAGGAGTTCGAGACCAGCCCGGCCAACATAGCGAAAGCCAATATCTACTAAAAATACAAAAATTAGCCAGGCGTGGTGTCAGGTGCCTGTAGTCCCAGCTACTCGGGAGGCTGAAGCAGGAGAACTGCTCGAACCCGGGAGGCAGAGATTGCAGTGAGCTGAGATCATGCCATTGTACTGCAGCCTGGGCGACAAGAGCGAAACTCCATCTCAAAAATCAATAAATAAATAAATAAATAAATAAATAAATATTAATCAGCCAGCAACAGCAACAAAACTAGACAGAGACTAGCTGAGGTAGTGGGCAAATAATTTGAGGAAAATTTGGCATTTGGCCGTGAAATAAACTGTATGTGTGCCTTTTAGTTCACTTAACCTGCGTTCTAACAAAATCTTTTATTGTTTAAGGAAAAACTCCGTTATTATAACGTGTTACTAGGAAGCAAAGTGAGAAAGCACACAGAGTAGGTTTTCCTCTCCCTGGGAACGGTGACGTAATTGAGTTTACAACAACAAATAGGACTGAGATAGATCGCTGATAGGATAAAGAATCCATCATAAAGCAAGGTCTTAAAGGATCTGTCTCTAATCATTCAACTAATAAAATGATGCTTCAAGTTATAGACTCAGAACTTTTGAAAGGAGAGCAATATTCAAAATCATCTGGTCCAAATCACTCTCTCTCTCTCTCTTTAAAAAAGATGACTATAAGGTCTAGGTCTAGGAAAGTTTGGTGACCTGCCTAAGGCCATGCAGATAGTGGTGGAGTCGTAACCTGGCTCATGTCAGTCCAGTTTACAAAACCTTCAGTAATTACTCCCTAGGGACTACAGAACAAAATTCAAATTCCTTAGCTTATCAGTCAAGGTCCTTAACCCCTGGGGCCAACCTCCCTCCTCAGCCATCTATTTCTCCCTATCACCTAAATAAACCCTTCAGTCAGGCTAAACTGGACTGTTCACTGTAGTCAGAGCCCATCTTAACCTCCGGTCTTATCAAACATCAACCACTGAAATACACGGGGTGGCATCGGGTGAACTTGTAATCTGGCACCTGGAGTACAACTAAAGAGACAACCTCAACTGGAACTGGTACCCAGCCTACAGCCTTCCCTTCCTTTTTTTAAAAAAATTATTTATTTATATATTTTAAAAATTAATTAGGTAATTTATTTTTTAAACTTAATGATTTATTGATTGAGACAGGGCCTGGCTCTGTGGCCCAGGCTGGAACGCAGTGGTACAATCATAGCTCACTGCAGCCTTGACCTCCTGGGCTCATGCGCTACTCCTGCCTCAGTCTCCTGAGTAGCTGGGACTATAGTTGTACACCACCACACCGGCTAATTTTTAAATTTTGTTTTGTAGAGACGGGGTCTTGCTATGTTGCTCAGGCTGGTCTCAGACTCCTGACCTCAGGAGTTGCTGGGATTACAGGTGCAAGCCACTGTGCTTGGCCCTTTTTATTTCTTGTCTTCTGTATGTCCACTTCTACTAATTCCTGGGAAGTAAAGTGACTTGCCCACAGATACCCAGCTAGTTAGGAGGAGAACTGGGATAGAATACAGGCTGCCTAAATCTCAAACCAACACTTTTCCTACAACACAAAGTCCTTTCTTTACAAGTCCTTCAACACAGGCATAAACGTATCCTCCCTACATTGCTGAAATAAGAGCTGTGATATACTACAAAGTGTTCAAACACACTGAAACACAACTGTTCTGAATCTTAAGTGAAGCATTATCCAAACTCACTTACTGATAATATTTCATCTAAAGTAAAATGTGAATTGCCATCCTGAATTTAGAAGGGGGTTATACAGGGTTGATTTAGTGGCCCTTCTGTCTCTTTAGAAACTCACCCACGAGGCCGGGCGCGGTGGCTCACGCCTGTAATCCCAGCACTTTGGGAGGCCGAGGCAGGCAGATCACGAGGTCAGGAGATGGAGACCATCCCGGCTAAAAGCGGTGAAACCCCGTCTCTACTAAAAATACAAAAAATTAGCCGGGCGTAGTGGCGGGCGCCTGTAGTCCCAGCTACTTGGGAGGCTGAGGCAGGAGAATGGCGTGAACCCGGGAGGCGGAGCTTGCAGTGAGCCGAGATCCCGCCACTGCACTCCAGCCTGGGCGACAGAGCGAGACTCCGTCTCAAAAAAAAAAAAAAAAAAAAAAGAAACCCACGAAAATCTGAAAGGATGTCTCCCACCTTCTCTTTATCAATGTCCTTATCTCAAGGACAACAGCGACAGGGATGAACGCATGTGAAGTCTCTCAACACCCGCTCTAAGGTGTAGGAGGCTGAATCTACAGGAAAGTCAATGTTTCCTAAGTGGAACTGTGGCTTTTCTCATTTGTTTGAAATCCTCAGGCAGCGGGCGAGAAGGCAGCTTTTCCAGGGTTAGTGTCTCCTGAACTTCCAGTTTGGTCTTCCTGACTCAACGTGGCAACGAGGACTTCACAATGCAGCTAACAGGGAATGTCCACATGCGATTGATTCAGAGTGCCAAGCGGAGGCCCTGGTAGCAACTTACATGGGTCAGGATTTTCCTCAGGAATGGTTAATAATTAACGGTTTACCCTGCATGTCAAAATGTATTACAAATAAATTCCCAGTCCTTATGTCCTCAACTGATATCTGAGGCTGGTAACTGCAATACATGCTACCATGAGCCTCAAAACAATCAAGTGAGCAATTGGCAGGGCTGTTAACAGTGTTAACCAATTTTCTGGATGCCCAGTCACAAAGATATGTTAAAACAATGTCTCCTGTATTTGACTTTACTGTTATGGGGGAAAAAATACCTTAAACCACTGGAGGAAGGTCCCCCCCTGTCCCCGAAAAAAAATTATACATGAGAAAAACATAAGGAACTGTGTTCTTAAATCTCATTGATGAAAAAATTTGATGTCAGGTATGGAAAAATTTTATTTTAAAGTCCTTTACGCATTGTATTCATTAGTCTTAGCTCTCTCAGTGTTGCATTTTCTTAGGCTGATAGAAAACTTGGTCATAACATTGTTTTCAGTTCAGACTATCATTGGAGATGACCTAACACTGGTGGTTGGAATTCTCTGGTGGGAAATAGAAGGGCAATTAACATTCATCCAACATTATCTAGGCACCAGACACTATGCTAATATTTTACTTATGATATTATTTAATTTTTAAAGCCTCAAATTAATTCCCACCATTCTACTTTTTTTTCCCAGCAGTCCAGTCCACAGTTTTGTGGGTTGTAAACAGTAGAGCAGTTTTGGAGTATTTCTCAAACCATTCCCCAAGTTGAATGCTCTCTGGGTGACCAACAGCCAGTTAAGAGCTCTGGGCCACTTTTTGGCCACATTACAAGCAGTTTTTCTTGTCTACTTTAAGCAACCATAATTCCTACAGACTAAGCCACTTGGCACTCGCCCTGTTGACTCTGTAATCTTTTTATGTAACACTAGGTTATCTCCCGATTAGAATTAAGAAGTGTAAATGAGGGATAAATGGAGGAGCTATCAAACTTTTATGAACTGCCTTCTAGCTGCCAGGGGCCGTGCAGTCATTTGCATATGGCATATCTTATTTAGGCATCACCATCCTGGTTTACAGATGAACAAATTCAGGCTGAAGGAGTTTAATTAGCTTGACAACATCATATTGTTGGTGATGCAAATGTCAAAGCGTGCACTTTTTCTATACCTCAAATGCCTCCCTGTAAATCAGTGGTCTCAACCAGAAGGGATTTTTGTCCCCTATGGGACATTTATCAATGTCTAGAGACATTTTTGGTTGTTACATTGGGTGAGGTGCGGGGGGAGTGGTATTGGCATCTAGTGGGTAAAGACGAGGGATGTTGCTAAACATCTTACTATACATAGGACAGCCCCCATGACAGAGAGTTATCCAGCTCCAAATATCAATAGTGCCAAGGTGAAGAAACCCACTCTAAATCAATAAACTTTGAATTTACCAAACGATCGCTTTTTTCTGCAAATACCTATATTCAGATCAACCCTGTCCCACGCAAAATAGTCATCTCAGAGGGCCAGAGACTTATTAGAACGATGTTCTGGTGCTAAAAGCACTTCTATAAATTTCTCTTAAGAATTTTTTTTCAGAGCCAAAGGTATGTTATTTTAAATATTGTCTGTGGTGGCAATCTCTGTATTTTGCTAGTAGTTTTGGTATTTGGAAATGGTCAAAAGTTATCCCTCAAACCTGGTAGAAAAAATATGGGTGATCAAGCTACACAGTAATAGTAAGAGCAATAGCCAAGCACCTGCTTCGTGCCAGGAGTACTCCAAGTGATACTACATGGTAGATGTCAGTATCACATTTTATAAATGGGGACACCAACGTTTGAGGAGGTTAAATTACTTGACCACGGCCATAACAATAAAGTACAGAAGCAGGAACTGGAACCCAAATCTGTCTTCAGAACCCATTGGAATGATATTGATTTCCTATGTGCCTTGAAAGCTAGCAATTCCAAATTAGCTGGGCATGGTGGCATGTGCCTACTTAGGAGGCTGAGGTGGGAGGATCACTTGAGCCCAGAAAGTCAAGGTTGCAATGAGCCATCATCACACCACTGCACTCTAGCCTGGACAACAGAGGAGAGGAGGAGAAGAGGACAGGAGAAAAGGGAGAGGAGACGAAAAAAATAAAGAAAGCTGGCAATTCCAAAGAAAAAAATTCCTCTCTGACTGATGCCATAATATTCTGAATAAAGGCAGCATTGCCAAAATCAATGCAGAACACTGCAGTGAAATTCATTTGAATCAAACAAATTCACTTGTTTGTATAAGTTCAGGTGTGTGTGAGAGAGAAATATACACGTGTAATTTTTTATTTTTATTTTACCTTTAAGCTCTGTTGGACTTGAAAACGTGATTTTTTAAAAAATCACCTGTTAACTTCAGTCACCCCTCATGAACCCTCTTCCTTTACACACAGCCCTTCTACTGACACATAAATAAGTTAGTAAATAAAGGAGGAAGGACAAAAAGGAGGGAACTGAAGAAGGAAACAGAAAAGGAAGATATCACGGGCTCAAGGAGGCCAGTGAGGAGCAATGAAGACAGAGCCCTTTAAGCAAATATTTTTTTAAAAGATAACATGTATTATTGGCAAGGCCACTGCTCAGAAGATAAGATGGTTCATTTATCAAAAAAAAAAAATACAACTGGCTTTTTGTTATAAAAAGTATACATGTGGCAAGGATTTCATGGGTATGACATTGAAAGCACAGGCAACAAAGCAGGATTAGATAAATGAGACATCCGGCCGGGTGCAGTGGCTCACGCCTGTAACCCTGGCACTTTGGGAAGCCGAGGCAGGTGGATTACTTGAGGTCAGGAGTTCGAGACCAGCCTTGCCAACAGGGCGAAACCCCATCTCTACTAAAAATACAAAAATTAGCTGGCGTGGTGGTGGGTGCCGGTAATCCCAGCTACTCGGGAGGCTGAGGCAGGAGAATTGCTTGAACCCGGGAGGTGGAGGCTGCCTTGAGCGGAAGTCACACCACTGCACTCCAGCCTGGGCAACAGAGTCAGTTTCCAAAAAAAAAAAAAAAAGAAGAAGATCAGATAAATGAGACATCAAACTTAAAAACTTTTGGGCATCAAAGGATACAATCAACAGAGTGAAAAGTCAACCTATACAATATAGGAAAACAGTTACAAATTGTATATTTGATCGGGAGTCAATAGCCAGAATATATATATATAAAAAAAAAAACCCTCCTACAACTCAACAACAACAAAAATCAAATAACCTTTTAAAAAATTGGGCAAAGAACTTGAATAGACATTTCTCCAAAGATAATATACAAATGGCCAACAAGCAGATGAAAAGATGCTCAGTGTCACTAATCAGAGAAACGTCCATTGAAACTACAATAGGCTATCATCTTATACGCATTAGGGCAGCTAATAAAAAAAAAAAGGAAAACAGAAAATAAGTGTTGGCAAGGATTGGAGAAACTGTACACCGCTGGTGAGATGTAAATGGGGCAGGCACGATGGAAAACAATTTACAGATTCCTCAAAAAATTAAAAATATGCCAGGCATGGTGGTTCATGCCTGTAATCTCAGCACTTTGGGAGGTTGAGATAGGTGGATCACTTGAGGTCAGGGGTTCTAGACCAGCCTAGGAAACATGGCAAAATCCCATCTCTACCAAAAAACATTCGCCAGGTGTGGTGGTGTGCACCTGTAGTCCCAGCTACTCAGGTGGCTGAAGCAGGAGAATCACTTGAACCTGGGAGGTGGAGGTTGCAGTGAGCCAAGATCATGCCACTGCACTCCAGCCTGGGTGACAGAGCAGGATTCTGTCAGAGAAGAGAAGAGAAGAGAAGAGAAGAGAAGAGAAGAGAAGAGAAGAGAAGAGAAGAGAAGAGAAGAGAAGAGAAGAGAAGAGAAGAGAAGAGAAGAGAAGAGAAGAGAAGAGAAGAGAAGAGAAGAGAAGAGAAGAGAAGAGAAGAGAAGAGAAGAGAAGAGAAGAGAAGAGAAGAGAAGAGAAGAGAAGAGAAGAGAAGAGAAGAGAAGAGAAGAGAAGAGAAGAGAAGAGAAGAGAAGAGAAGAGAAGAGAAGAGAAGAGAAGAGAAGAGAAGAGAAGAGAAGAGAAGAGAAAGAGAAGAGAAGAGAAGAGAAGAGAGAAAAGAAAAGAGAAAAGAAAAGAAAAGAAAAGAAAAGAAAAGAAGAAAGAAAAAGAAAAAGAAAAAAATTAAAAATAGGACTACCATATGATCCAACAATTTTACTTCTGGGCATATATCCAAAAGAATTGGAAGCAGGGTCTAGAAGAAATATTTGCACACTATGTTAATAGTAGCACTATCCACAATACTCAAGAGGTAACCTAAATGTCCATCGACAGATGAATGGATAAACAAAATGTGGTCTGTACATACAATGGATTATTCACCCTTGAAAAGGAAGTTCTGACACATGCTACAACCATGAATGAACCTTGAGGACATTACACTAAGTGAAATAAAGCAGTCAGAGAAAGACAAACCCTGTACAAGGTTGTTCAACCAGCGGCCCATATGGTCCATGATGGCTTTGAATGCAGCCCAATACCAATGCGTAAACTTTCTTAAAACATTATGAGGTTTTCTTGCAATTTTTTTTTTTTTAGCTCATCAGCAATGGTTAGTGTATTTTATGTATGGTCCAAGACAATTCTTCTTCCAATGTGGCCCAGGGAAGCCAAAAGATTGGACAGTAGTGCTGTACGATTTCACTTATATGAGGTACCTGGGATAGTCACAGTCACAGAAACAGAAGAATGGTGGTTGCTAGGGACTGGGGAAGGGAGCAACGGGCAGCTGTTTAATGAATGTGTGCATAGTTTCAGATTTACAAAATGAAAACTTCTAGAGCCCCGTTTCACCATATGTGAACATATTTAACAGTACTGAACTATATGCTTAAAAGTGGTTAAGATGGTAAATTTTATATGTATTTTTTTGCTACAATAAACACCAAACCAAGGCCGGGCACAGTGGCTCATGTCTGTAATCCCAGCACTTTGGGAGGCTGAGGCGGGTGGATTACTTGAGGTCAGGAGTTTGAGACCAGCCTGGCCAACACGGTGAAACCTCGTCTCTACTAAAATACAAATATTAGCCAGGCGTGGTGATGCGCACCTGTAATCCCAGCTACTCAGGGGGCTAAGGCAGCAGAATCGCTTGAACCCGGGAGGCGAAGGTTGCAGTGAGCCAAGATTACGCCATTGCACTCCAGCCTGGGCGACAGAGTGAGCGTCTCAGGCCAAAAAAAAAAAAAAAAGTAGTATATGCAGTGTGCTGTGGTAACATTAGGGAGGGAGTTCTGGTTCCAGATCTCTTATTGACCAAGTGTTACATTTTGGGCCCTTGCCTTTTTCTTTGTTTGTTTCTTTCTCCTCTCCAAAACAAAGGATTTGGACTAAATGATTCCTTTTAAGTTGGCAGATTTTGTGGTTCTCTTCACTAGAAAAGCAACAAGTATGTATCCTTCTTTCACAAGATGCTTTTAGGAGCCTGGAGACAATGCATTAGAAAAGTGGGAAGATGTCATCATTTTTCTACATTTGACAAACATGTCATAAAGAATGCTACTTATATCCACATGGAAATTAAGACAGCGAAATCAAACAGCGAACATCAACAGAAGAGACAAAAGGAGGCTCGTGGCTACTGTAGAGATGACGAGCTCACTCTGCCCTCTCGGCTGGGAAGCTCAGAGACTAAGGCTCAGGTGAATACAGTAGGTTCTGGAACAAGCATGCAGCCCCTCTGGTGTGGGCTGGATTCAGTCACGTTCATCTCATGTCCCCTGCACACATTTCTAGGGTCTGCAGAGCATTCTCATCTAGCACTCCCCTTATTTACAGAACGACATATTAGACATTCCAGTCAGTGCGTCACACATCCAACTGCCCTGCCACTTGCTGAGTAATTCAAAGAGGTAAATTTTGCCAGAGTTGGTAGTCTCGATCCAAAGATGCTGGAAGTAGAATATGAGCACATGCCTTCTATTTTGCGACTGGCAAGTTCTATTTTGTTTTGAACCTGGGACTTTGATTCTGATTTTCTTCTTCTAGACCATCCAGCTCACTGGCTGGATCCCTGGTCAGAATATTCTGACTACATTCATATATCTAATAAAGCCCCATTTGTAAAAGCAACAGCAAATACAAATCACTCATAAAATATTCCATGCCATCAAGCAGCAAGCAGTTTAACTGCTCAGTGGAAACTTGAAGTAGCTTTGAATGGGCTTCTGAACGCAGTGGAGTGGAAGGTATCAGGGAAAGCTGACCGGCTCGAGCCAGCTTTCCCACTAACAGGGAGCCCTTGACATCTGAGGGTCGAAAGTCATCCATTACTGCCAACCTTCAGTAACTCATTTCTGGCCATGATTTGCTCCACTTCCTGAGAGCTAAAGGTCAACCTTCATGCAGGAAAACTCATTTCTTGTCCATCACTATTTTCCCCTTTACAGATACAAAGTAATGCCATAAACTCGCTCAAAACTATATATACCAGTTAGGTATCTCTTATCCAAAATGCTCGGGACCAGAAGTGCTTTGGATTTGCAGTATTTCAGATTTTGGAATGTTTACATTATACTTACGAGTTAAGCATCCCTAATTTGAAATACAAAATGCTCCAATGAGCATTTCCTTTGAGCATCATGTTGGCGCTCAAAAAGTTTTGGATTTAGGAGCACTTTTCAATTCAGATTTTCAGATTAGAGATGCTCAATGTGTAATGCAAACTCCTACTATGTTGACGGCTGGCCAACTTAAGCCTAAAGCAAAAATGTGAAATTCAGGATCAGATTACATGTGTAAATGAAGCAAGTATTGCAATCCCATAGAAAATCCTTAGTTTGTTGGAGAAAATGAGGTTCTCAGTGTTGGAGACCCCGTCTGGCCCTATTAAACAGAGCCACTGTCTAACAGGAGATAATCAGACTAGAAGGAAAAGACCCATCAAAGAGAAAGGTGGCTATCTGGTGTGCAATCCCAGCCATTCTGCTTCCAAACGGGAAACGTATTCATCTCAGGATCACCTCATCCTGCTATACCTGTTTCTCCTAAATACCAATTTTCTATGTCTTTTTTTCTTTTTTCTTTTTTTTTTTTTTGAAACAGGGTCTCCATTCTGCCACCCAGGCTGGAGTGCAATGGTGCAATCATGGCTCACTACAGCATCAACTTCCCAGGATCAAGCAAGCCGCCTACCTTAGCCTCCTGAGTAGCTGAGAGACTACAAGCACAAGCCATCATGCCTGGCTAATTTTTTTTTTTTTTTTTTTTTTTTTTTGTAGAGACGGGGTTTTGCCATGTTGCCCAGGCTGGTCTTGAACTCCTGAGCTCAAGTGATCTGCCCGCCTCGGCCTCCCAAAGTGCTGGGATTACAAGCATGAGCCACTGCGGCCGGCCCCAATTTTCCATTTCAAATCTTGTTTTACTCTTTTGTTATTTTGAGAAAATGGCAATCTATTATTTCATTCTCTGTCTGACAACGGTTACCTCTACTATGTCTGGGAAAAAGACTTAGTGATGAGTAACTTAAAAGGCCCTTATAGTTTTTATTTAACAAACCAATTTTTTACAGCACTTACAGTGTGCCAGGCACTCTCCCAAGAACCTCAGGCGTGATGGCTCATTTAATGGTTATTAATCAAGCACAGGTAAATATAAATAAGAATGGAGCTTACTATGTCGGGGGAACAAAGTTACAAGACTTTATCAGGCTTAATGAAGACTGGCCGTCATTCACAACAATGCATCCTTGGGATGCTGGGTTTAAAGGCTGCTGGGGAGAGAGCAGGTGCATTTCCACAGAGACCATGAAGCTTTCTCCCAAAAAGGAATCAGAATCCTACCACTGTTTGCCGATGTCTACTACAAGCACATGCTATATACCCGAGAAATGTATCCATATGTGTAGAAAAAGCATGTACAGCAATGTCCATAGCAGCGCTGTTCTCAGTATCCCCAAACCGCAAACAACCTAGAGGCCCATCAGCAGTAAAACAGATGATTGTGGCATACCTATACCAAGGACTACGCGACGGCAATGAGAACGAACAAACCACTAATACACACAACCGCATAGATGAATCTCGCGAACACGACGATGAATGACACAAAAGAGTACACACTGTGTGATTCCGTTTATGTGAAGTCAAGGACAAGCCAAACTCATCTATGGAGACAGAGGCTGTAACAGTGGTCACCTATGGAGGGGTTAAGGATTGCCTGCAAAGGAGCACAAGGGAACTTCTGGGGTGATGGAAATGTTTTCTTTTTTGATGGGAGTGTTGTTTCCATGTGTATAGCCAATTATCAAACACAAATCATATACTTAAGATCTGTGCATTTCACTGACTGCAAATTTTACCGATTTAAAAAAGAGATGTGACCTCGTATGTGTTACAAGATATGTGAAGCCGGGGGTGCCTGTTTTGATGCCGTCATAAGCTATTAGGATGGATTGATGTGTTCAATCTCACAGCTAGAATGTGTATGCCAAATACAAAGTCCCTGAGGACAAAGACTGGACCTTGTCCATCTTCATAACCTTGGCATTTAGCACGTGACCTGGCTCATACCCGATGTTGAATGAAAGAAGGAAGCACAATTCAATGGGTGGCATGTTTCAAAACCTGTACGTACATTATCGTTCTTACCTATTCAGTGCAAACGCATAGTGGAATTTAATGTTATGCTGATCGGCCAAATCACACGTAGGCAGCATCTCCAGTGTTTCCACCAGCTTCACCATCGCATCATAGTCCTGTTGGCAAGAGGTCCCAAAGTGAGCAAGAGAGGAAACACAGCTCTTCACTGATTTTTCTGAATTGTTATAAACAGGAGACAGCCTCCGCACTTAAAGACAGGCCCTTCCTTACAAAGGGCATTTAGTGAAGTTACTTGTAGCCTTTAATAGGAGGGAAAAAGACCAGAAAATAAGATGGATGAGAGAGAGAAGAACAGAGAAGGAATCCCTGCTATCAAAGGGCATGAAGCATCCAAAGGCAACAAAAGTAAATGAGGCCAGCAGCCAGGAAACAGCTGAGTGTAGGAGAGTTAACAACATCAGCAGAGGCTGGGCGTGGTGGCTCACACCTGTAATCTCAGCACTTTGAGAGGCGGAGGTGGGTGGATCACTTGAAGTCAGGAGTTCGAGACTAGCCTGGCCAACATGGTGAAACCCTGTCTCTACTAAAAATACAAAATATAGCTGGGCATGGTGGCGGGCGCCTGGAATCCCAGCTACTCGAGAGGCTGAGGCAGGAGAATTGATTGAACCTGAGAGGCGGAGGTTGCAGTGAGCCAAGATTGTGCCACTGCATTCCAGGCTGGGCAACAGAGCAAGACTCCGTCTGTCTCAAAATCAAAAACAAAATAAAAAAACAGTATCAGCAGAGATGTGTGTTAAAGTGAGCTGGACAAATACACACAAGCAAACTTCCAGTCAAAGCACATAGATTCCAGTCTTTCCTATTTTGCCAGAATCAAATACATTAATCTAAACTAGTGTTTCTCAACCTTGGGACTAGTGACGTTTCTGGACCATAATTCTCTGTTGTGGGAGCTGTCCTGGGCACTGTAGGATGCTGGCCTTGACCCACTGGAAGCCACAGCACACCACCCACCTCATGCCCCACACACGCACTTAGTTTTTACAACTGAAAATGTCTCCAGACACTGCCAAAAAAGTCCTTGGGTTGAGAACCACTGCTCTAAACTCTGCATAATTACCTGGAGAAAAATTGCGACCATGCTTGTCTCAGCCAAGTCCCCTCTTAGCAGTGCCGCCTGTTACTCTTTCAGCCAGGCTTAGAATCGTTGGAACTGGCCAACTTGCTGACAGCCAGCCATGGTCAGCAGAACAGGGCTTCCCACTGAAATGCCATGCCTGTCCTGTGGCTCTGCGCCTTGATGCTGCTGCCCCAGGAGGGAGAAGGCAGGGTATTCCAAGAACCTCTTGGCCCACCTTTGAGCATGAATGGAAGGTTATGAAAAGAAGGGATACATGAAGGGAAGGACAAAAAGCAGCAGCTCGAGGGAAGAAAGGCTTCAAGAAAAGTCATTCCCATGTTCTTGTCCTGGGAGACAAGACCTAATCATTATCATCCCTAGTAGCAACTGCTATTAAAATCAGCTAGCTGGCCAGGCACGGTGGCTCACGCCTGTAATCCCAGCACTCTGGGAGGCCAAGGCAGATGGATCACCTGAGGTCAGGAGTTTGAGATCAGCCTGCCCAACATGGTGAAACCCCATCCCTACTAAAAATTAAAAAAGTTAGCCAGGCAAGGTGGCAGGCACCTGTAATTCCAGCTACTGGGAAGGCTGAGGCAGGAGAACTGCTTGAACCTGGGAGTCGGAGGTTGCAGTGAGCTGAGATCACACCACTGCACTCCAGCCTGGGTAACAGAGCAAGACTGTGTCTCAATAAATAAATAAATAAATAAAAATTTGAAAAACAGAAATAAAATCAGCTAGCTGCATCTGTTTATCACCAGGGGCAGGAGTTCCTTACTGGTTGACTCTGTTTTGGTCCAGGTCATAAGTGGACGCCTCCATCACTTCAATTTAAAGACTTCTAGCCAACAACTCTCAACATGGCTTTGTGGAATTCTATGAGTAAGGTACGTGATCCTGTGTTCCTCCAAAGGAAAGGAAGCCAAGACATCCTTAGAGATGGCTCAATGGCATTCAACTTGGAGAGAGGAAACGCTCAATTTCCTTCACGGAACCACAGACCAAAAGACCAGTCTCAGAACTCTCCAGTAGCTTCTGATGCTTGTCTCAGAATAAACATCTACATTCCCTGGGTCCTGAATGTGTTTCTGCTACTCCTGTTCTCCCTGTCACTGATGTATGGTGGTAAACAAAGGAGGAAGTGACAAAAGCCTAAAGGAAGTTGCACAGCAGAGGGGTTAGGAACAAGGACAACGGAGCATCAGTCTCAGTCTGAATCCTGACCTAACCAACTGCTGTGTGACCTCGGGCAAGTTACTTAACCGCTCTGTGCCTCAGTTTCCTCATGTGTAAAATGTGGATAATCAGAGTACACATATCCCACATAGGGTTGTTAAGAGGATTAAATGAATTCAGGTTTGTCAAAGGGCTTGGTACAATGCCTAGTGTAAAGTTCATATAAACTTAAATTCTTGGCTCCTTCTGCCAAACAGTCCTGTTTATGACATCTCTTCTTGTCGGAGTGGTCACACCAGCCCCGATGTGACAAAACCTTCTCCAAAATTTCCACCACAACAGATAAGCTGGATGACCTATGACCTAGCCACATACCATTTGTCTATAAAACGGCCACCTCTGGCCGGGCACAGTGGCTCATGCCTGCAATCCCAGCACTTTGGGAGGCCGAGGCGGGTGGATCACCTGAGGTCAGGAGTTTAAGACCAGCCTGACCAACATGGTGAAAACCCTGTCTCTACTAAAAATATAAAGTTATCTGGGCATGGTGGCGCATGCCTGTAATCACAGCTACTCAGGAGGCTGAGGCAGGAGAACAGCTTGAACCCGGGAGGCTGAGGTTGCAGTGAGCCGAGATCGCACCATTGCACTCCAGCCTGGGCAACAAGAGCAAAACTCCATCTCAAAAAAGAAAACAAAAAAGAAGAACAAAACCCAGCCACTTCACCACATACTGAGTATACAAATACTTCACAAGACGTTCCTCAAGCCAAGGAAGAACGTAGCATACGTGAGCCTCGGCTAGGTGGATTTCATACCTGGATATCACGGTAGGACAGGAGTAAGTTAATGATGATGTCTGAGGTCAGAACCTCAGTATTATCCATGCGGAGCTTGATCCGAGCTAGCTCCTTCGCCAGTTCCTCACCTTGGTATTTCTCTCTGGCTTTCCGGATGTCATTTAACAAGGTTTCTTTGTAATAAACACTATAGAAAGAAAAACACAAAATCCTCCAGTCACATCTGCACGCACCCAGGACTGTCTTGCGCCCAAAATGGTTCTCATTGACCTGACTTAGGCTAACACATAGGGACCTCGGCCCAGACCTGAGCCTCCCTGCACCAGCAAACAGAAGATGCTTTCTACTTATTCACATTTTATAGACCAATGAATGACAAGTAAAAATCAGTTCATTCAACCTTGAAGATACTTTCAAAGGTGACTCCCATCTGTACTTGGACAACACACAGAACTTGCAGCCAACCAAACCCACTGTCTCCGGCATTTTCAAACATATAGAGGGTGAGAAGTTACCTTCCTTGTGTATTTATTTTCGCCACTAGTAACAAAGCCAAACGGAGCTCCAAAACCCATGAAACATACATGAGAATGACTTGAAAATGAATTTCTCTATCAGGTGTCTCTCATTAGTAGTCATGAAGCTTTCCCCAATTGAGGTGAGGGCTGGAAACTGGTGTTGAGTCCCTGAGCAATACAAGATGGGACACACAGAGGTCATGCCTGGAAACTTACAGACAGCCTTGCTCTCCTCACCATATTGAATGGCCAGATGTTCTGTTTTTTTGTTTTTTTGTTTTTTTTTTTTTATTTTTATTTATTTTTTTGAGACGGAGTCTCCCTCTGTTGCCCAGGCTGGAGTGCAGTGGTGCAATCTCAGCTCACTGCAACCTCCGCCTCCCTGGTTCAAGCGATTCTCCTGCCTCAGCCTCCCAAGTAGCTGGGACTATAGGCATGTGCCACTACACCTGGCTAATTTTTGTATTGCTATTAGAGACAGGGTTTCTTTCCTTTTTTTTTTTTCTTTTTCTTAAGACAGAGTCTCGCACTTTCGCCCAGGCTGGAGTGCAGTGGCACAATCTCGGCTCACTGCAAGCTCCGCCTCCTGGGTTCATGCCATTCTCTTGCCTCAGCCTCCTGAGTAGCTGGGACCATAGGCGCCCGCCACCATGCCCAGTTAAATTTTTGTATTTTTAGTAGAGATGAGGTTTCACCATGTTAGCCAGGATGGTCTCGATCTCCTGACCTCGTGATCCACCCGCCTCGGCCTCCCAAAGTGCTGGGATTACAGGCGTGAGCCACTGCACCCAGCCAGAACGGGGTTTCACCATGTTGGCCAGGCTGGTCTCAAACTCCTGGACTCAAGTGATCCACCTGCCTCAGCCTTCCAAAGTGCTGGGATTACAGGCGTGAGCCACCATGCCTGGACCCAAGAATAGTTTTCTAATGGAAAACACAAAACTTCCCTCAGGTGAGCAGCTAGATAAGCACGAGGAAGCTTAAAAACACTTAAAGCAGTTAAATTCACGCTGGAATATCACCATAGTCTCTTGAAGAGCCAATGCTATTATCTGGTATTTGGTTTAAAACCTTGAAAAATGACCTAACTTGGTATACATAAGTTGAGTTACAACAACCATAGATTGATTTAAAATATCTTGTCTATTTTCCATAGGAATTTTTAAGTGGAGGTAGGACACTGCCAAGCAGTAATACTGTCGTCCCATTAAGAAGCTGAAATGGGGCCAGGCATAGTGGCTCAGGCCTATAATCTCAGCACTTTTGGAGGCCAAGGCAAGAGGATCACCCGAGCTTAGGAGTTCAAGACCAGCCTGGCCAACGTGGTGAAACCCCGTCTCTACTAAAAATACAAAAACTAACTGGGCTTGGTGGTGGGTGCCTGTAATCCCAGCTACTTCGGAGGTCGAGGCAGGAGAATCGCTCGAACCCGGGAGGCAGAGGTTGCAGTGAACTGAGATCGCACGACTGCACTCCAGCCTGGGCGACAGAGTGAGACTTGGTCTAAAACACACACACACACACACACACACACACACACACACACACACACACAAAACAAAGCTGAAATGGACTAACTGCAGAGTGTAAAATTAGGCTGTTCATTAAAAAGAGAGTAAGCTAAATTTAATAATAGTCTTCAAAGAGAGAAAAACAACATGAGATACGATAAGAACAAATGGTGCCTACTTTCAATAATTACAAAACAATGCCAAATATGTGTACATACAGTACATAACCTGGTCCAATGCTCACAAGAGGACCTCCATTAACATTTAAAGAATGAAGTGACGCACACAGCAGGGGTTCTGATAGAAAAATATCAATGCATTGCTTTAGTTTTCTATTTCCTTTTTTGTTAATTGCCATCATCCCAATAATGAACAAAATTAGCAGATTCTGCCAGTGTTTAAAATTCTGTCACTAATTGAATGAGTCATTAAGTTGGATGCCAGCCATTGCACATTTGGTGGACTATAAAGGCACTGAAGCTATTAAAGTGTTATTAGGTTAGCCCGATAAGTAAAAAGTTATACTTCAGCCTTATTTTTCAAGGGTAATTCTGAAAAATAATTTTAATAAACTAAGAAACCTAAGAAGAACAGTACCTTTTAGGTAAATTAAACACTGGTTTGAGTATGGCTTGGGGACATCAGATATGTAATAAGCATGCAGCCATTTCTGCCCCTGTAACCAAGGAAGATGTTGCTGATCAATGAGCACTTGGAAATGGCTTCCAAGCCATTCCAGCACAGGACTCAAAATAGACTTTATAAATCTATCAGAGCTGGCGCTTGAGCTCAAAACTTCCTTTCCATCTGTGTTATAGATGTTTTAAACTATAAGCACCACTTCCCCTCCTACTAACTGTTGTCAGACACTGCCAGTTCAGAGGGTGGAATCCACCAATAGGTATTTCAAGCCCTTTGAAACTAAATGAAATCACAAGAGTTGTTTGCCTACTGATACATACACACACTGAGTGAGAAACAAACTTGAATCCATGTCTTGCAAAGACCTAAATCATCTGGCAGATCTAGCCAGTCTACCTCCTTGTCAGACTTGAAAATATGGTATTGGGAGAGCTTTCTATAAAACTTCACTCAAGTGTTTGTTTTGCAATCAGACAACAGTTAGCAAGGCATGACTGCATGAGGTTTTCCAGGAATGTGCCACAAAATGTCCCCCATTTGCTCTCTGTGTTGGCATGTGGTCACACATGTTTAGGTTTCTAATCTCCTTTTCCATTAAAGTCTGTAGAAGAAGGTCTGTATCCAGGGAAGAGGTGACGGGATAGAAAAGGAGACCATTAATAAGTGTCTCCCTTGTACCAACACTACAATAGAACACTCCGCAGTTCAGGGTGCCACTATTTGAGCCACAGTGTGACAGGAGGTCCTCTACATTTCATTTCAGGTCAGCTCTGCCAGTGTTTGGGATTTTCATTTGTTTTGGAAGGACAAATCCTTCTCCTTGTGACACAACTTACAGGAATAAATCCTTTAAATTGGCTGCAAGCAAAATAACTGGATCCTTTGGTTAAGAAGAATAATTTTTCTTTTACTTTCACAATAATAACATCTGAAGGTATGGTTTCTTGAGCACTGAGGCTCCAATAGGTGAGCTGACTATTTCAGTGCTACACAGGTAGGAATCATCTAAGCCAAGATTCCAATCTAAACCTATTCACTTCTGCATATTTCACCTCACCTAACCTAAATCTAAAGAGAACACAGCACAGTACATCCTGAGGATAGCTGCAGCTCCACTCAACGCACGAAGGCTTTTAAAGCACGAGAGCGTAAGGTCAGAATGACCTTGCTGAGATATATGAAGAGCCCCAACAGCCACGCGAGTGTAAAGCCATGCTCAGAAATCATCTTGAAACACAGGATCTCAGAGCTGAAAGAGATCGTTAAAAAAAAAAAAATCACTGACAACTTCCTATAAGTTGTCTTATCTAGAAGAGACAGAACAATCAGAGAGAAGAGAAGTTACATGTCAAGATCAAACAGGGAGTCAGGGCCAGACACGGGCTCAATCCCGACTTCTTAACTCCAGTTCTATTCTCTTTTGGTTTCATTTCAGTGGCCCAGCTAAGTGAGCCAGTAAGGGACAATAGTGGGTTCTCCAGCAACTCTGTTCATTTGAAGGTGTACCGCTTCCCTGAAAGAAATGGGGACATCTTGGTGAGTCTCCAGGGGTTACTGGTGGCAGATGGGAATTACCATGAGGTCACGTGGATGTCCTTAAGGAGGCTAATGAACCTGTCCACCAAAGGCATGCACAGCGGGCCCAGGATGTTGTCCCAGTTGGGCTGCATGTACTCGGAGGCTCGTCTCTGGGCATCACTCTCGCAGCAAAAATAATCAGCGCACGGTGTCACGATGTATGGGATGAAATAATAATTTCCACTGGATGCCTGGAAAAAAGAAACAAAGATGTTCCAGAAAGTAACTTATGTGGAAGTGTAGGCTCTGGGCAGGTGGCGCCTGGTGGGACAGGCATGGAGAAAATACTTGAGGATGAAAACAATTCGTTCAATACGACTATGGATCTATTAGGCACAAAACAGGAAACCGCTCGATTTCAAAAGCTCTACCACGTAGATATATGACAAAAATTTGGTTTCAAATACTGAACTGATCTGTATGTATCTCTGAACTTCACTGGCAGAAATTTTAGGGTTTTAAATCTCAGAAATCACATTGTTTCATTATATGTGCCCAAAACCAGAGGGAACATGAACCTCCTGATAAGCAAGGATTGCAACATGGCATATTGTTTTTTCTTTCAGCATAGATGAAAAAGGCATATTATTTGATCATTTAACTATAGGTGAGCTATTATAAACTTTGTGGAATAAAAATTGTTTTGTAGGAAGCATATATTAATATAATGAGTCTCAGATCTCTTCTGCTTTTTGAGACAGGGTCTTGCTCTGTCACCTAGACTGAAGTGCAGTGGCGCGAACATGGCTCACTGCAGCCTCAACCTCCCAGGCTCAAACAACCCTCCCACCTCAGCCTCCCTAGTAGCTGGGACTAAAGGTGCGTGCCACCATGCTCAGCTAATATTTCTATTATTTTGTAGAGATTGGGGTTTTGCCATGTTGCCCAGGCTGGTCTCAAACTTCAGGGCTCAAACAATCCGCCCACCTCAACCTCCCAAAGTGCTGGGACTACAGGCTTGAGCCACCATATCTGGCCTAAATTTCGTATTTTTACGTGTCCTGAAATCATCATCTTACTTTGTTATTTTCCAACCATTAATAAGTGTAAGAACCATTCTTAGCTCCCAGGACATACAGAAACAGGTGACGAGTCAATGTTGTCTTAGACAAAGCTTCTGATATTCTATTATCCCTGAAAATAGGGTTGGTTTTCTGAGAATACTTACATCCTGCTGCAAAGCAGCAGCTGGAGACCATCCTTGTGGGTACCAGCTATTGGTATTAAGTCTGTCAAAACACAAATACTGGCCAGGCGCGGTGGCTCACGCCTGTAATCCCAGCACTTTGGAAGGCAGAGGCGAGTGGATTATTTGAGGTCAGGAGTTTGAGACCAGCCTGGCCAACATGGTGAAACCCCATCTCTACTTAAAAAAAAAAAAAAAAAAAATTAACCGGGTGTGGTAGCACATGCCTGTAGTCCCAGCTACTCAGGAGGCTGAGGCAGGAGAATCACTTGAACCCAGGAGGCGGAGGTTGCATTGAGCCTAGATCGCACCACTGCCCTCCAGCCTGGGCAACAGAGCGAGACTACATCAAAAACAAAACAAAACAAAACCAAAACCCACAAATACCAGTGTTGTAAGTAGAAAGGGTAAAAATTCAGGTGTGTAGGGGTGTGTGTGTGTGTGTGTGTGTGTGTGTGTGTGTGATAAGTGGGGTAGCAGGCTCCTATCTACTTCTTCACAGCCACTAGGAATTGCCTACCCCACAGGAACAAAGACTCTCTGTTCCCTGTGGCACTTTTTTCTTTTTTTGAGACAAGGTCTTGCTCTGTCACCCAGGCTGCAGTGCGGTGGCACAATCACAGCTTACTGCAGTCTCAAACTCCTGGGCTCAAGCGATCCTCCTGCCTTGGCCTCCCAAAGGGTTGGGATTACAGGTGTGAGCCACTGCACCTGGCCTTGTAATACTTTCAAGTTCTTAAAGAGACTCAAATCATTCAGCATTAAGGTTTTGGTAAGTTAGAGGTAAATTTCTCCCTCATCCATGCCAAGAAAGCCATGTTCCTAGACTAAATTAAATGCCATTTACATATTCAAAAGTTAAACTTTCTTTCTTCCACCTTGATATGGTTAGGCTTTGTGTCCCTACCCAAATCTCATCTTGAATTGTAATCCCCGTAATCCCCATGTGTCAAGGTAGAGACCAGGTGGAGGTAACTTGATCATCAGGGGCGGTTTCTCCCATGCTGTTCTCCTGATAGTGAGTGAGTTCTCATGAGACCCGATGGTTTTATAAGGGGCTCTTCCCCCTTCGCTAGGCACTTCTCCTTCCTGCCGCCTTGTGAAGAAGGTATCTTGCCTGCGGCTCCCCCTTCCACCATGATTGTAAGTTTCCTGAGGCCTCCCCAGCCATGCTGAACTGTGAGTGAATTAAACCTGTTTCCTTTACAAATTACCCAGTCTTGGACAGTTCTTTATAGCAGTATGAAAATGGACTAATACACACCTGAAATTGGTTGATGTTATGGTCAAAGACTTCCTAGTTCAGACAGAGGGAGAAAAGGACTGTGTAGATCAGTGAGGTCTAGAAGGAAAAATACCTTTGAAGAAACATCATTTGTTATTTTCAAAAAGTTAAAGTTGGACTGGAAGTGTAAGGAGCTTCCCAGATCCTATCCCCAGAAAGACAACCATAACTGATGAAAATTCTTTTTAAACAGCCATTTAAAGCAAGCTTGTCCAACCGGGGCCCATGGACCACATATGGCCCAGGATGGCTTTGAATGTGGCCCAACACAAATTTGTAAACTTTCTTAAAACATTATGAGATTTACACACAAACTTTTTTTTTAATAGCTCATCAGCTATTGTTAGTGTATTTTACATGTGGCCCAAACAATTCTTCTTCCTCCAATGTGGCCCAGCAAAGCCAAAAGACTGAACACCCCTGATTTAAAGTCTCTATAAGTTGTCCTGAGGGCATGTAGCAAATGGAAAAACATTTTATTCAAGAAAATCTAAATCTTGTTAGTAAGATTCTGCAGCATTTGGGCCATAAACTGCTCCCCCGCCCCCACACCCAGCCCAGACTGACTGAAGTTCTACTCTAAGTAGGTGTGGCCAAGACAAAAGGGCTCCCTCTTGTCCCTGGTCCAGAGTCACTGTTTCTCCTTAGAAGACCAGGCCACCAACATTCTTATTCCTCGCAGCCTGATATTGTAGAAGCTCTATTCCAGGCAAGTGTGGTCAAGATGACCAGGGCTCCCTTGCTCTACCCAGCCTACACCTGTAGGGTAGAAGCTCTACCCTAGGCAAAACAGGCTAAGAGACTGGGCGCAGTGGCTCACACCTGTAATCCCAGCACTTTGGGAGGCCGAGGTGGATGGATCACAAGGACAGGAGTTAGAGACCAGCCTGGCCAACATGGTGAAACCCCCTCTCTACTAAAAATACAAAAATTAGCCAGGTGTGGTGGCAGGCGCCTGTAATCCCAGCTACTTGGGAGGCTGAGGCAGGAGAATTGCTTAAACCCGGGAGGCAGAGGTTGCAGTGAAACCTACGTGGGAGGTTGAGGCAGGAGAATTGCTTAAACCCGGAAGGCAGAGGTTGCAGTGAACCGAGATCGTACCACTGCACTCCAACATGGGCAACAGAGCAAGACTCCGTCTCAAAACAAAACAAAAACAAAGAAACAAACAAAAAACAGGCCAAGAATGCTGAAACTTGATTGTCCCTGCCCCAGCTCCCTCACAGAATGAAGGTTCTATGCCAAGAGAGGCAAGCTGAGAAGACTAGAGGCTGTTGCCCCCAGCCAGCACCCCACTCACAGAGCAGAGTGTCACCCCAAGAGAAACAGACTGCTGTTTCCACTGCCATCTCCACAGCAGTGGTACAGAGCTCTGACCAGGAGAAAGGCAGGCTGTAAGAACTGCAGCTCTTCACAAGGAGAGTGACTTCATGCAGAATGTGCCATGGGGAAGTTTAAGCTCATGAGTGCTGTACAAAACATTATGGAGATTTTGGTGGCTGGCAATTAAGAGAAGGCTGGTAGCTCTGTGATAGGAATATGTAAAGGGTAGACCAGCTAGAAGTTTAACAGAGAGAAATGGGAAAGAGACAGCTAGGAGGAACCTTCCTGAGGTCAGACCAAGCCTTAGGGATTAGTTTTAAGGACTATTCCTGCAAAACTTTAATTGTATCAAACTGTGGAACAATTATGCCTCAAGGTATTGTCAAAAGCAATAGAACAATCAGCTAAGGAGGGAGACTAACAACTCAGTGTAGTACCAGTTGTGTAAGACCAATACAGAAGATTAGTCAGAAACTTAACAGGGAGATCAGGGAAACAGACAGTCAAAGAGAGCCTAGCTGCAACTACTGTCATTCCTGGGTGAGGATACAAGAGTCAGAATAACTGTGCGCATGCCCAAGAGTGTGCCCTTTAAGAAGTGACATCATATGAACTTTAAAGTAGTTTTTTCCAATTCTGTGAAGAAAGTCATTGGTAGCTTGATGGGGATGGCATTGAATCTATAAATTACCTTGGGCAGTATGGCCATTTTCACGATATTGATTCTTCCTACCCATGAGCATGGAATGTTCTTCCATTTGTTTGTATCCTCTTTTATTTCACTGAGCAGTGGTTTGTAGATCTCCTTGAAGAGGCCTTTCACATCCCTTGTAAGTTGGATTCCTAGGTATTTTATTCTCTTTGAAGCAATTGTGAATGGGAGTTCACTCATGATTTGGCTCTCTGTCTGTTATTGGCGTATAAGAATGCTTGTGATTTTTGCACAATGATTTTGTATCCTGAGACTTTGCTGAAGTTGCTTATCAGCTTAAGGAGATTTTGGGCTGAGATGATGGGGTTTTGTAGATATACAATCATGTCATCTGCAAACAGGGATAATTTGACTTCCTTTTTTCCTAATTGAATGCCCTAAGCCAAAAGAACAAAGCTGGAGGCATCACGCTACCTGACTTCAAACTATACTACAAGGCTACGGTAACCAAAACAGCATGGTACTGGTACCAAAACAGAGATATAGACCAATGGAACAGAACAGAGCCCTCAGAAATAATGCCGCATAGCTACAACTATCTGATCTTTGACAAACCTGACAAAAACAAGCAATGGGGAAAGGAGTCCCTATTTAATAAATGGTGCTGGGAAAACTGGCTAGCCATATGGAGAAAGCTGAAACTGGATCCCTTCCTTACACCTTATACACAAATTAATTCAAGATGGATTAGAGACTTACATGTTAGACCTAAAACCATAAAAACCCTAGAAGAAAACCTAGGCAATACCTTTCAGGACATAGGCATGGGCAAGGACTTCATGTCTAAAACACCAAAAGCAATGGCAACAAAAGCCAAAATTGACAAATGGGATCTAATTAAACTAAAGAGCTTCTGCACAGCAAAAGAAACTACCATCAGAGTGAACAGGCAACCTACAGAATGGGAGAAAATTTTTGCAATCTACTCATCTGACAAATGGCTAATATCCAGAATCTACAATGAACTCAAACAAATTTACAAGAAAAAAACAAACAACCCCATCAACAAGTGGGCGAAGGATATGAACAGACACTTCTCAAAAGAAGACATTTATGCAGCCAAAAGACACATGAAAAAACGCTCATCATCACTGGCCATCAGAGAAATGCAAATCAAAACCACAATGAGATACCATCTCACACCAGTTAGAATGGCAATCATTAAAAAGTCAGGAAACAACAGGTGCTGGAGAGGATGTGGAGAAATAGGAACACTTTTACACTGGTGGTGGGACTGTAAACTAGTTCAACCATTGTGGAAGTCAGTGTGGCGATTCCTCAGGGATCTAGAACTAGAAATACCATTTGACCCAGCCATCCCATTACTGGGTATATACCTAAAGGATTATAAACCATGCTGCTATAAAGACACATGCACATGTATGTTTATTGCGGCACTATTCACAATAGCAAAGACTTGGAACCAAGCCAAATGTCCAACAACGATAGACTGGACTAAGAAAATGTGGCACATATACACCATGGAATACTATGCAGCCATAAAAAAGGATGAGTTCATGTCCTTTGTAGGGACATGGATGAAGCTGGAAACCATCATTCTCAGCAAACTATCACAAGGACAAAAAATCAAACACCACATGTTCTCACTCTTAGGTGGGAAATGAACAATGAGAACACATGGACACAGGAAGGGGAACATCACACACCGGAGAATGTTGTGGGGTGGGGGGAGCAGGGAGGGATAGCATTAGGTGCTATACCTAATGCTAAATGACGAGTTAATAGGTGCAGCACACCAACATGGCAAATGTATACATATGTAACAAACCTGCACGTTGTGCACATGTACCCTAAAACTTAAATTAAAAAAAAAAAAAGAAGTGACATCAGAGGCTGCCCATTGCAGAAAAATAGACTTCACTGAACTAGTCAAGTCATGAAACAAATAAACAAGTAAACAACAAAAACAACATGCCCCGGAGGCAGAAGGGAGAAAGATCAGTATCTGGAGTTTCTACAATATATTATCTGAAATGTCCAGTTGTCAACAAAAAATACAAAACATGCAAATACAGGACAGTGTGATCCACATATGGGAAAAACAGTAGGCAATGCTAACTGCCTTTGAAAGGACCCAGATATTAAATGTAGCAGACAATGACTTGAAAGCAGATATTACAAATACGTTCAAAGAACTAAGGGAAACCATACTTAAAGAATTAAAGGAAGGTATTATAACAGTATCTCAAACACAGAAGATAAAGAAAAATTACCAAAAAAAAGGAGGGGGGGTAGGAATTCTGAAGTTGAAAAGTACAACAGCCAAAATGAAAAATTCACTCAGGAGGCTCAACAGGCAATTTGAGTGGCAGAAGAAATAATCAGCAAACTTGAAGATAGAAAAATAGAGATATGCAATCTGAAGAACAAGACAGAAAAAGAAAAAATGAACAAAGTCTTAAAGGAACATGGGACAGCATTAAGTGCACCAACATATGTGACACCTAATATGAGTCCCAGAAGAAGAGGAGAGAAAGGAGCAGAAAAATACTCAAAGAAATAATTGCTGAAAACTTCCTAAATATGATTTTTTTTTTTTGAGATGGAGTTTCACTCTTGTTGCCCAGGTTGGAGTGCAATGGCACGATCTTGGATCACCACAACCTCCGTCTACCAGGTTAAAGTAATTCTCCTGCCTCAGCCTCCTGTGTAGCTGGGATTAAGGCATGCACCACCACACCAGCTAATTTTGTATTTTTAGTAGAGACAGGGTTTCTCCATGTTGGTCAGGCTGGTCTTGAACTCCCAACCTCAGGTGATCCACCCACCTCGGTCTCCCAAAGTGCTGGGATTACAGGCATGAGCCACCGTGCCCGGCCCCAGATATCATTTTTTAAAAAATTAAATCTACATATCCAAGAAGCCAAATGAACTCCAAGTGGGATAAAGGCAAAGAGGTCCACACCCAGATGTGTCAGTTAACTTTGAAAGATAAAGAGTGAAAATCCTGAAAGCAGCAAGAGAAAAATGTTTTGTCATATACAAGAGAATTCCAGTAAGATTAATGTCTGACTTTTCATTAGAAACAACGAAGGCCACGGGATGACATATTCAAAGTGCTGAAAGAAAAAAAAAGTCAGCCAAGAATTTTATATCCACTAAAACTATCTTTCAAAAATGAAGATGAAATATGAACACTTTCAGATCAACAAAAGCTGAGATAATGCTAGCAGACCCATCTTACAAAAATACTAAAGGGGCCGGGCGCGGTGGCTCACGCCTGTAATCCCAGCACTTTGGGAGGCCAAGGTGGGTGGATCACGAGGCCAGGAGATTGAGACCATCCTGGCTAACACAGTGAAACCCCATCTCTACTAAAAAAATACAAAACATTAGCCGGGCGTAGTGGCAGGCTCCTGTAGTCCCAGCTACTCCGGAGGCTGAGGGAGAAGAATGGCATGAACCTGGGAGGTGGAGCTTGCAGTGAGCTGAGATCGCGCCACAGCACTCCAGCCTGGGCCATAGAGCGAGACTCTGTCTCAAAAATAATAATAATAATAATAATAATAATAATAATAATAATAATAAAGAAATTTCTTCAGGCTGAAAGCAAATGACACCAGATAGTAATTTGAATTCACGTGATAAAAAACAAAGAATACCAGTAAAGGTAGTTATGCATGCAATTATAAAAGATAGTATAATTGCAAATTTCCTCTTTTCTTCTCTTAACTGGTTTAAAAAGCAGTTGCAGAAAATGATGTTTATAATCATGTGTTGCGGCTTATACAGAAATGTAATACATTTGAAAATAACAGCAAAAGGATATTGGTAGGAACAAGGCTATATTGGAATAAGGAAATGACACCAAATGGTAACTTGAATCCACAGGAACAAATGAAAAGTATCAGAAATGGTAAATAAAAAGGTTAATATAACTCTCTCTCTCCCCCTACCTACATTCTCTTTTATTCTGTTTCTTTAAAAGACATAATACAAAAATACTTATTACAATTAAATAACCCTGAGCTTCTGTAACAGGTAGGTAAATTGAAGATACAAGAATCTAACCTATTTGTAAAGAATTGTTATATGTCTTACAACTGTCTCCAAAACAAACATTTCTGCTGAAATTTTGACGTTATTCCTTTAGCAAACCTAGTCCTCCCAAATATTACAAGAGTCAACTTTGCCCCAGAGTTCTGATCAAATCCTAAATAATGAGGTGTGAAAAACTGGATTTTGACAAACATGGTAAATGCCATCACAAGTTCTTTGGTGAAAAAGAAATACTGTTCAAGAAGGCAGAGCACTAGCAGCAGAAACTGATGAAGTCTACCCCCCAGTCAGCAGAGGATCTGATCCACGGAGCAAACGTTTAGCCATAGTTAGAGAAAAATAAGGAGAAAGAAAAGAAATGCATGAACTCTGAAACCAGTTGAGTGAGTTTAATGAACAGGACTGAGGAGACAGCAGGAATCCGGAGACTTTGGGAAGGTAAAAATACTTCCTTTGGGAAAGTCTTCCAGAAAGTTTAAGAAATTTGGCAGAAATTGGGACTAACAACTACATTTTAAAAAGGAATTAATAGACTTCCAAGTGAAAGCACAAGCTCTTAAGTACAGTACTTTTGTTCTTACAAAGAGGAAGAATAAACCTAAACATCTTCAAGTGATGGAACACATTCAGACTCTTGTTGGTCAAGAGACCAGAAATTAAAAATAAAAACAATGATTACCATAACACATGTTCAATAGCAAACTAGGATCAGCTATTTGTAGTTGTTACATTTATAAGTGGAAACATCTCAAGAATCCAGCTCATTAAAACAAATTTAACAAACGCAGTTTAGTTTCCTACATAAAGAGGTATTTGAACCAGTATGCTAACCACATTAAAATGTAAAGTCCTATTCTAAACACTCTCCAAATATTTCCAAAACGGTGATTCTGATATAGTAAGTGAAGTCAGAGGCCCAAGGAAAAGCCACTAGTCTCTGACAGCGTGGGGATAGGAAGCGGAGGAATTTTTCCTCTAAAGGTTTTAGTTCCTGACCTAGCAATTGCCATTTCCAGAACTACTACCATCTACAAATATCACCACCATGAAAAGACTGTCCTATGTCATCACTCAATTAAATAATAGGTGCTTTTAATAAGGACTCATTACAAAAGCTTAATTATATAGTCTTAAGTGCCATAATTTTAAATGCCTGCCTAATACACCATCTGGTAAATATATATAGGATACTTAACCATTCTTCTATTGCCTAACTTTGTTTGTTTTGAAATTTCCTTACTGTAAGTGTCACTGAGATGAACATCTTTGCATATGGCATCTTTGTACTGTGATCTTTTCCTAAGGATATCTTCCCAGGAGTAAAATTACTAGAACAAATTTAAGGTTCTTAATATATGTTGACCAAACTGCTGTCATAAAGGATGGAGCAATTTACACTCCCACCCACAGTGTATAAGGGCATGCTAATTTATTCGTCCTCTCAGCTGAACTGGATAGTATTGTTTTTCACATTTGTGAAGTGTGGTGAACAAGAAATACTTTATCAATATAGAAACAAAGTATCATCTCAACTCAAGCATAGCAATGTAGTAAAGAATTCAGAGGGCCAAGGATTGAATTCCAGCTCCATCCCATCCTAAATGGATGACCCTGAAAAATGTACTCATCTATCTAAACCTCAGTTTTCTCATCTTTAAGAGGGAGATGATAATAGTGTCAGCCTCATTAGATGATAGAGGCTTAATCATGGCCATTTTTTTTTGCACAAATATTCTCTATGTGCAATAGTTCTAGAAGGGACTAGGAGTTCTAAACCTGAGATCCAGTCATTCTTGGAGGTTGGGGGGGGGGGTCTGTGAACTTGAAAGAGAAAAAAATTACATCATTGCCATCATTTGCCCTCAACTGAAACATAACATTTCCCTCACTTAGGGAATGTAGGTAACATACCCTAGTAGTAGACTTGAGACTTGAGACTTTGTTGGTAACAGGAGTCACAGACTTTTTCATATCACATTACAGTTCCTGCGGAGATCTCAGAATAACTTTTATGCCCATCACTACTCCAAATATTATGACAGTTTTTAAGATCTGCTGTTTGATCTCATTATTTAAGACATTAGTAAAGAAGCACATAATTATATATAACTTTAAAATATTTTGATAACTGTATTTTGATATGAAGGGTCTCCTTTGTAATTCTTTGTATTTAAACACTTTAAAACAGTGGTCCCCAACCTTTTTGGCACCAGGGACTGGTTTCATGGAAAAAAATTTTTCCACGGACCAGGTGGGCAGGGGCAGGGAGGATGGTTTCAGGATGATTCAAGTGCATTACATTTATTGTGCACTTTATTTCTATTATTATTACATTATAATATATAATGAAATAATTATACAACTCACTGTGATGTAGAATCAACAGGACCCCTGAGATTGTTTTCCTACAACTAGACGGTCCCATCTGGGAATGATGGGACACAGTGAGAGATCATCAGGCATGAGTTTCTCATAAGGAGCACACAAACTAGATCCCTCACATGCATAGTTCACAATAGGGTTTATGCTCCTATGAGAATCTAATGCCGCTGCTGATCTGACAGGAGGCAGCGTTCGGGCGGTAATGCGAGCAATGGGGGAGCAGCTATAAATACAGATGAAGCTTTCCTCGCTCGCTGCTCACCTCCTGCTGTGCGGCCCGGTCGGGTGGCCCAGGGGTTGAGGACCCTTGCTTTAAAACATATTCTGGGAAGGGCCCATAGGCTCCTCCAGACTGGCAAAGGGGTCCCGTGACCCCTAAAAGGCTAAAAACCCCCAATCGTGACTCTTAGATGCTTCACGTAGAACATCCTAACTGCAGGCCTAAAATGTCGGACTTCCTTCAGTGGGCTGCACATATAAAGCTCTCCACGAATAAACAGTGCAAGGCCCATCTGCAAACAGCTTCCTAGATTCTTCAGGACAGCCCAGGAGCAGAGCATGTCAGAGCCTCCACTCAATTGTCCATTGGCTTCAATCATGGCCACTAACTAAGGACACCTAGGATTTGCTCCTCAGCTGGCTCCTCCACAGCTGGAATATTAAAACAAATGAAGCTACGCAATACCTGTGGACTATGTACGCTAATGGCAAACTACTAAAAAATTCCAAGGTTTAATAGATAAAGTAGCCTTGGGGTTGGCTATATTTTCCTTCTTTTCCGCAGGCACCCCATGCAAGGCATCCAAAGGTCCAAGAAGGCCAAGAAAGATATACAAGCCAAGGTCCCTCATTACACCAGCACTTATTTTTATTTATGGCTCACAGCAGGTGGCAAAGCTGGTCAACAGCAGCACAGGGTTTATAAATTAATTCTTTGCAGCAAATATGATATGTCTGAGTTTGTACCAGCGAACTTCATAATGAGACTTGTGGCTTGGCCTTCCAGAAAACATCTTTTATAATGATACAAACATTTAATCAGTCAACAAATGGCCAAGTGAGAAGAGGGAAATAAAGTATCTAAGGCAGATAGAAAGCCACTTAACACTACTCAAGATGAACTGATTTCTGAGCACTTTCAGAAGAATGCACATCTCAACTGGTGGCACAATGTGATACTTTGGAGCTTATATCTTTTAACACAAGTGGGTCACAAATACTTAGTGAAAACCGCAACTGAAAAAACACAGAAGATTGTTCCCAGGAAAATTTAGGGAGCAAATGAACAAATACGGGGCAATGGATTTTTTATATTATTTCATGTGACCAGGTATGACAAAGTTAATTTATTGTAGAAGAAAATCCAAGTTGACACAACTCCAAAAAAGATAAGCTTTAGGCTCAACAGATATAATTATTTGTCTAGCCAGCTAGATACATACATATATACATTGTCCAGAAAAATGCAGTGGTTTTCTTTTTAGAGCAACGCAAATAGCATTCTACACTACTCCTTTTCTCTAATTATCTGGTCATAGGAGGAAAAAAATATTCAGAAACTGTATAACAATTTCAACAGGATAATCAGGATACGGTGCCACTTAAAAGTAAACGAAGATATCCCTGCTGGAAACGTGCCATGGAGTGCTAATTAACCTGTTGTGACAGTTGATTTACTTTGTTTACACAACTGAATGGCCATCACAAAGTCACAGGATTATTTCAGAGCTGGCACAAATCTCAAAAGTCACCTCATTAAAATCATCTCATTTAACAGAGGAAGAAACCAAGACCCAGCAGGTTAACCAACTGGCCTACAGATGACCACGGAGCCAGATAATCTCAGGCCCTACCCCTGTCCTCCCAGGATTCTAGTCATTAACTGCCACTTCTGCTTAATTCTGAAATATCCTTAAATAAAGCTGTACAAAGAACTCAACATAAGCAGATGAGTGAATGGCAAATTCTATGGTCTGTGAATTATGTCTCGATTTAAAGAAAATAGATGGGTGCCATGGATATGAAAGACATATCCAGTTGGCAGGTAGAATTAAATATGAATAATTTGGTTCTGACATTGGCCCTGTGAAATCTGACATTACCCCTCTGATATTCAAGAGGTGCAGAGAAAAGTTTTATGGTTCACAGACCCAGAGTACTCCAATTGAAGAGAACACACAGGACCAAGACCACAGGCAGGAACAACAACAACAACAACAACAAAAAGACAAAAAGACTAACAACCTAAGATGAGGCAGAAATAACAGAACATACAAAAATAAAATAAATATGCAAAGGGGCTGGGCATGGTGGCTCATGCCTGTAACCCCGGCACTTTGGGAGGCCAAGGCCAAGGCAGGCAGATCATCTGAGCTCAGGAGTTCAAGACCAGCCTGGCCAACAGGGTTAAACCCCATCTCTACTAAAAACACAAAAATTAGCCGGGCATGGTGGTGGGCACCTATAATCCCAGCTACTCAGGAGGCTGAGGCAGGAGAATCGCTTGAACCTGGGAGGTGGAGGTTGCAATGAGCCAAGATCATGCCACTGCACTCCTGCCTGGGCAACAGAGCAAGAGTGTTAGAAAAAAAAAAAAAAAGAAGAAAAGAAGGGGAAAAGAAAAGAGAAAAGAAAAGAAAAAGGAATGAAGGAAGAAAAGAAGGAGAGGGAGAAGAAAGAGGGAGGGAGGGACGGGGGGAGAGAGGGAGAGGGAGGGAGGGATGGGGAGAGAGGGAGAGAGAGAGAGGGAAGGACAGGGAGAGAGAGAGAGAGAGAGAGAGGGAAGGACAGGGAGACAGAGAGAGAGAGGGAAGGACAGGGAGAGAGAGAGAGGGAAGGACAGGGAGAGAGAGGGGAGAGGGGGGAGAGAGGGGGGAGAGGGGGGGGAGAGGGGGGAGAGAGGGGGAGAGGGGGGAGAGGGGGGAGAGAGGGGGAGAGGGGGGAGAGAGGGGGAGAGGGGGGAGAGAGGGGGGAGAGAGGGGGAGAGGGGGGAGAGGGGGAGAGGGGGAGAGAGGGGGAGAGAGGGGGGAAGGGGGGGAGGGTAAGGGGGAGAGAGAGAGAGAGGGAAGGAGGGGGAGAGAGAAAGAGGGAGGGAGAGAGAAAGAACCAACTGAGATTTTTACATAATTCATGTTCTGTGAGTAAAATAAAATTCTCCCTATTATGAGATGTAGCTTTCTTGTTTGAAATTGAGTCTTTGCTAATAAAAGTACTAGAAATCTTTTGAACTCAGAAAATCCAAAGGATACAGAAAAGAGAAAAGAAACTTAATTGTCTTTCTACCAAAGCGTCCCTAAGCAATCCATATCATCTTTGATCATTTTGAGTCCTAAGCCATAGGAAACTGAAGGCCTGAGAATGGCAAGAGGAAAAAAACAGGAGAAATTGTTACCCTGACCGAGACCTACACATGTTCCTAAGCCAGAGGAGAGACTTCGAGTATTGAAGACACTGTCTCCAATATTGCCAGTGTCTGTTTTTCAAAGAATTTCTAATTTATTTGGATTATAAAGATAACCATTTTAATGGCAACAATGAGTTTCTCTTAAATCTCACTGGCTTTCCAGAAAAAAAAAATCACCTAAACCAGAGGTCAAGAACCAGATTAGTTTTTTAATAACGTGTTTTTTAATAAGGTTTTTTTTTTTTTTAATAATGTGATCTTAGCTTGGAAATTTAACTCTGCTTTTTAAAAAAACAACTGTGAACTCTGGCTTTAGGACATGACAAATGAAAATAAAGTCCAATGTACTTTTAACAATTCCTTCTGCAAGTGTTGGGTAGAACACCTTGTTTTCTCCCAGTAATTCTCCTGGGGGACAGAGAAGGTGCTTGTCTCCATGGTGCCTCTCTAGCAAGGCTATGCACAGCTTTCAGGTAATTTACCCACCAATTCAGTGGAAAAAAATTATAGCAGTACCTCTAAGCCTTGGAAATGTATTTCTTAGTCTTGGGGTATATATGACACACATACATACACACATTTCTCAAATGAAATAATTATAATGTGGTGGATATGCAGGTATACTACCCAGAACCCCCCAACCCAACCTCAAGGAAGGATGTGTTGCCCCAGTTTCTGGGAGCTCGTTAGGAAGCAGCCCCTTACTGTTAGTCCCTTCTGAACTGTGTCAGTTCCAGAGAGTATCTCATCCAAGCTACATTCCTAGTGATGAAGGACAAATGGAGGAACATAGAGGCCTGGCCATTTCATCCCAACCCAAGACAACTCAGAAAGGCCATTTCAGCTCCAGACCTCCCTCCCAATGTGGTCAGCCAAAGCTGTCATTGAGCCTGCATCTCAGCTGCATGTCTCCCTCTGGCCAGTCCCGCTTCATTTACTCCCCTTCCCCAGCAGCCATCCCAAAGGCATCCCTTAATAAACCTCCTGTACCCTAAACTCAGCCTCAGAGTCTGAGTCTAGAGGAAATCAACCTGCAAAATAAGCTGTAAGTATAAAGGTATGATTATCCTTGCTAAGGAAAATTAAAACAAATGAAGCTACGCAATGCCTATGGACTATGTACACTAGTGGCAAAGTACTAGGAAGTTCCAAGGTTAAACAGATAAAGTAGCCTTGGGGTTGGCTGTATTTTCACTCTTTTACTTTCATAAAGACAGCCTTGATCTGTCACCATATAAACATGTTTTCTCTAAAGTGATAAACTGCAGAAAGTGGCTATCTCTGTCATCTCCAAAGCAGTATAAAATAGTGTAAGAATTAAAATGGATGAAAATACAGGAAAAACCAGAAGCCATTTGTATAGAACTCTGACCAAAAAGTCAATTACATTTTCAACTCAATCAAATACTGAAATATGAAGTGAAATGTAGTGTTGAAGATTTTTGTGACAGGTGTTTTTTTAAAGTCAACCTTGAAAAAGAAATTAAGAAAACAATTCCATTCGCAAGAGTATCCAAAAGAATAAAATACACAGGAGTAAGTGTAACCAAGAAAGTGAAAGACCTGTACATGGAAAACTACAAAATATTGCTGAAATAAATTAAAGAAGACCTAAATAAATGGAAAGACATCCCACATTCACAGATTAGTAGACTTAAAACTATTAAGATGTCAATACCAGCCAAGCAATCTACAGATACGATGCAATCCTTATCAATATTCAATGGCTTTTTTTTTCTCCAGAAATGGAAAAGCTGATCCTCAAATTCATATGGAACTTTGAGAGGCCCCAAATGGCCAAAACAATGTTGAAAAAGAACAAAGTTAGAGGATTCGCACTTCCAAATTTCAAAAATTACTACAAAGCTATAGTAATCAAAATAGTGCAGACTGCAGTGAGCTGTGATTGCACTACTGCACCACAGCTGCGGTGACAGAGTAAGACCCTGTCTCAAAACAAAACAAAAAACAAAGAAAAATAAATTTTTTAAAAAGGGCCGGGTGCGGGCCAGGCACGGTGGCTTGTGCCTGTAATTCCAGCACTTTTGGAGGCCAAGGCAGGTGGATCACCTGAGGTCAGGAGTTCGAGATCAGCCTGGCCAACACTGCAAAACCCGGTCTCTACTTAAAAAAAAAAAAAAAAAAAAAAATTAGCCGTGCGTGGTAGCGGGCACCTGTGATCCCAGCTACTCAGGAGGCTGAGGCAGGAGAATTGCTTGAACCCGGGAGGCAGAGGTTGCAGTGAGCGGAGCCTGTGCACTCCAGCCTGGGCTGGAGTGAAACTCTGTCTCAAAAAAAAAAAAAAGGGCTGGGTATGGTGGCTCATGCCTGTAATCCCAGCACTTTGGGAGGCTGAGGTGGGCAGACTGCTCGAGCCCAGGAGTTTGAGACCAGCCTGGGCAACATGGCAAAACCCCATCTCTACAAAAAATAAAAAAATTAGCTGGGCGTGGTGGTGCACACCTATAATTCCAGGCACTCGGGAGGTTGAGGTGGAAGGAGTACCTGAACCAGGGGAAGTCAAGGCTGTAGTGAGCCATGATCGCACCACTGCACTCCAGCCTGGGTGACAGAGCGAGAACTTGTCTCAAAAAAAAAAAAAAAAAAAAGTTTTAAACCAGTGTGGTATTAGCATAAGAGTAGACACATATGTCAATGGAGTATAATTGAGAGTCCAAAAATAAACCCTTACGTATACAGTCAATTGATTTTGACGAGGGTGGAAAGATGATTCAAAGATGACAAGACAGTTTTTTTTTTTCTTTTTTTTAAGAAACAGTGCTGGGACAACTAGGGATCCAAATGAGAAAGAATGAAGTTGGACATCTACCTCACACCAGACAAAAAAATTAACTCAAAATGGATCAGAGACCTAAATGTAAGAGCTAAAACTATAAAACTTCTAAAAGAAAACATAGGAGTCATACTTCATGACCTTGGTTTGGGCTAAGAGTTCACAGATATACCAAAAGCACGATCCATAAAAGAAATAATTGATAAAACCTCTAATAAGGGCCTTGCTTCCAAAATGTATAGAGAACTCTTACACAGCTTCGTAATAAGAACACAGCCCAATTTTAAACGGGCAAAAGATTTGAACAGACATTTCACCAAAGAAGACTATGAATGACCAATCAGCACATGAAAAGATGCTCAACATTATTAGCCACTAGGGAAATGCAAACTAAAAGTACACTCAGGTATCAGTTCATACTCACTAGAATGGCTATAATAAAAAGACAGATGATATCAAGTATTGGCAAGGATGTGAAGATACTGGACCTCTCACTGCTGGTGGAAATGTAAAATGGTACAGCCACTTTGGAATTGTTTTGACAGTTTCTTAAGAAATTAAAGGTATATTTACCAGCCAGGCACGGTGGCTCACACCTGTAATCCCAGCACTTTGGGAGGCTGAGGCAGGTGGATCACTTGAGGTCAGGAGTTCGAGATCAGCCTGTCCAATATGATGAAATCGCATCTCTACTAAAAATACAAAAAAAATTAGCCAGGCGTGGTGGTGGGCGCCTATAATCCCAGCTACTCAGGAGGCTGAGGCAGGAGAATCACTTGAACCCGGGAGACAGAAGTTGCCGTGAGCCGAAATCGCGCCATTGCACTCCAGCCTGGGCGACAGAGTGAGATTCCAGCTCAAAAAAAAAAAAAAAAAGCCTATATTTACCATATGACTTGGCAATTCCATTCCTAGGTATGTATCCAAGAGGAAAAAAAAAATGTGCCCACACAAAGATTTGCACTCGAATATTCACAGTGGTATTATTCATAATAGCCAGAAAGTAGAAACGATCCAAAAATCCATCTACTAGGGAATGGATAAAATGTGGAATATCTATACAGTAGAATACCATTCAGTAATAAAAAGGAAAGAACTACTGATCCATGCATCCATGATCCTAGTGCATTAAGGATGATCTTCGAAAACATCATCCTAAGTGATAGAAGCCAGATGCAAAAGATCACATATTGTATGGTTCCTTTCACATGAGAAGTCTTGAAAAGGCAAGTCTATAAGACAAAAAGCAGATTAGTTCTTGCCTGGGGCTGGGTGTGGGAAGAGAGATTGTCTGCAAATAAGCATTTTGGGGTCAGGGAAATGCTCTAAAACTAGACTGTGGTACACAACCCACAACTGGCTGCACAATTATGTCATTTATTAAAAATCATTGAATTGTGTGTGCTTAAACTAGGTACATTTTGTGGTATGTAAATTATACCTACATAAAGCATTTCAAAAAAACAAAACAAAACCAGAACACAAGAATATGAGCATCATCTGAAAAAGAGGTGAACACAAAAGGTGATACCATGTTTCCAAAGAGCAAAGAAACCCAGAAGAGCTGCAGGTGGTCCACCCTGAAGTCTGGAGTTTGGCTTCCTGGCCTCGGCATCCCTGCAAAGCAACTGCTCCTAGAAATGGAGACAAATGGCCAGGCAACGTGATCTGTAATCCCAGCTCTTTGGGAGGCCAACGCGGGCGGATCATCTGAGGCCAGGAGTTTGAGACCAGCCTGGCCAACATGGTGAAACCCTGTCTCTACTAAAAAAAAAAAAAATACAAAAATTAGCCGGTCATGGTGGCACATGCCTGTATTCCCAGGTACTCGGGAGGCTGAGGCAGAAGAATCACTCAAACCTGGGAGGCAGAGGTTGCAGTGAGCCAAGATCATGCCACTGCACTCCAGCCTGGGCTACAGGGCAAGACTCCATCTCAAAAAAAAAAAAAAAAAAGAAATGGAGATAAATGTGCCCACTTCGCTGCCACATAAAGCTGAATTCAATACATCATCAAGCACAATTTTATCTTTGTTATTATTATTTTATTACTTTTTATTTTTCCATCTCCCTTTCTGGGTAAAAGTACAATTTTAGAAATATCAAATGACTCCTTGAAAAGAGATCTCAATGCATCTTGGTTTTCACATATTCAGAAATCATTTCAAACACCTGGCTACATGTTCAGGGTGTGGCATCTAATTCGTACCCCTTATTTATAAGACTTCACTGTTCACTAACTATGAGTGTGTGTGTGTGTGTGTGTGTTAATCAAAATCTTTCCAAAATGATCATAAACCCACAATTCCATCAGATTCTGTCTTGGAATCTCTGGGGTCGTATGATCCAGGTGTCTGATTCCAGGGTCACCCCAATCCACATGGAGGGGACAATTGAGCAAATTCTCCTTAGAAGCCACCCAAGTTACTTTGACATTCTATTTTAATGTTTAACCACCATTAGTTGCAAGATGTCCATTCTGCTGATCCAAACCATTTTTCTGTTTACCCTACTTCCATCCCATCTGGAGTGGAAAAAGTAAACGTCTCTTTTCTTTCAGAAAGAGGATAGCATTTGAAGATGACTACTAATGGTACCCCTCAAGGCTTAGTTCCCTTTAGCTTTTCCTCTTAGTGCAATTTTCCACTCATCCCATCACCTGGGATCCTTTTAGTCTTCTGAGTGCTCTAAATTTTCACATCTTGCCAAGCATGACAACCAATACTGGGCACCAAATTCTAACATAATGCCAAATATAGCAAAGAGATTAGCTGCCAAATCCTTTAGAGCAGGGGTCCCCAACCCCCGGGGCCATGGACCAGTACCGGTCAGTGGCCTGTTAGGAACCAGGCCACATAGCAGGAGGTGAGTGGTGGGTGAGCAAGCATTATTGTCTGAACTCCACCTCCTGTCAGATCATTGGTGACATTAGATTCTTACAGGAGTGCAAACCCTATTGTGAACTGCACATGTGAGCGATCTAGGCTGCGTGCTCCTTACGAGAATCTAATGCCTGATAATCTGAGGTCAAGCAGTTTCATCCTGAAACCATCCCCCACCTCTGGTCTGTGGAAAAATTGTCTTCCATGAAACCAGTCCCTGGTGATGAAAAGGTTGGGGACCGCTGCTTTAGAGTAAGTTTATTCCTAAAAAGCAAACAGATACCTAGGAAGAATAGTGCCAAGGTATACTTGGAATTACTAAGAATGTTAAGGAATTCCTGGATGTTTTGGAAGAGGGAGAATGCACCAGGAGGGAGGTATGTAGTGGAATTGTAACAGCGTGACACCAAGTCTCCGGGACGAGAGACTATTTCTGAGTACTGATGCATCCAACAGTGAGGAATGGAGAAAGAAAACGAGTTGTCTTCCTTGCTCCTTGCCTCAACGTAACTCTTGCTGTTTTAAGGAATCAGCATTTCATAGCCATTTCTTGCATTAAATCCAGGTTACATCTTTTTGCTTGTATAACAAATATGGAACTACAGATGTTGAGGGCTAGAAGGTATCAATGAGCAAAACAGCACAGTTCAACATTTCTCATTTTATTGCTGAGGATCCTGAGGCCTAGGCAGGGGTGGAACAACTGACTGCCCAGTGTTACTTAGAGACAGGGCTGCGGCTACAACTGCACCTCCTGGGCCTCAGGCCCAATCTCCTTCGACTTCTTCCCCATTTCTCCACAAATTAGGTAATTTTAAAAATCAAGGCTGGGTGAGGTGGCTCACGCCTGTAATCTCAGCACTTTAGGAGGCCAAGGCAGGCAGATCACTTGAGGTCAGGAGTTCAAGACCAGCCTGGCCAACATTGGGAAACCATGTCTCTACTAAAAGTACAAAAATTAGCCAGGCGTGGTGGTAGGCGCCTATAATCCCAGCTACTCAGGAGGCTGAGACAGGAGAATCGCTTGAACCCTGGAGGCAGAGGTTGCAGTGAGCCAAGATCACACCACTGCACTTCAGCCTGGCTGACAGAGCGAGACTCTGTCTCAAAAAAAAAAAAAAAAAAAAAAAAAAAAAAAGTCAAGCTCTAGGAAGAACAGGAAAGACTCTTACAAGTGGACAACATCAGCATGTAAATGGGACCAAAAAAAGTCACACCTGATCCCATTTCTTTTCCAAAAGGAATCTAAAACCACCGGATGCCTTATCTTACAGGCCTGCTTGTAAAATTCATGCTCCAATAGTAATCACGTGCACTATACCACGTGCTCTGTTTCTGAAACTTATGTCTCAGGTGGGGAGCTCTGTCAGGGTCCTGGGGAAGCCTGGGCCCCCAAGCTGCAGGTTGGGGACTTCTGCAGAGGGCGCCCAGGGGAAAGCTTTGCCTCCTGGGCCCTTTTCTCCCTCTCCTAGGAACTCCAACTGGAATAGGAAGAGAGTCTGTAGGCCTGTTCCTTCTAGAAGAGCTAGCAGGAAGGAGACTAAGGCTGTAAGGTGGGGGACCAAGGGCCTGTCCTGAGTCTAGGTCACGGTTTCTCAAACCACAATGCCATAGGTCTGGAGGGATGGGCAGCTTGGAGTGCACTCAAGGGTACAGGATAACCTTGGCAACATTTCCAAGGCCAAGATCCTTTTAAAACATTTTTAGGGTGGTGATTTCATTATACTATTCAAACCAACGTGGCAATAAAACTATGTAATTTCAGGAACTTTTAAGCCAAATCAGGAGACTTCAGTACATAAATGGGACAGAAGGAAGTAGAATTCCATCCCACTTCTTTTCCGTTTGTGGCAAGAAACTTTTGCCCCATATTAACTGGCATACAACTTCACGTTCCTCCATCATTAGGGAAACTCTGCTTGGGAAGTATGGGAGGTATTGACTCCAGCAAAACGATTACTGGTGGTCCATGGAACATCGACCCAGATCAGAAGGAGTCACCCAGAAGGTTACAGCTCAAAGTCCCAGCAGGTAATGAAGAACATACACTTTCTTGCCTGGCCTTGCCTTGCCTTCTGGCCCACTGCCTCAATGGCTGAGTGGGGCCTGGGGCCGGCCGGTTGAGGCATAGGGAGATTTCTAGCTGTCCTCCTTAGAAACACAACCCACAGGCGTGATTAGAAGTCATCTTGCTACCTGGGCGATTTTCAGGCAAGCATTTTACAAATTGACATTTACATTTAATTTCAGAATTAAAATTCTGAAAATGTTAATACTTACTGTGTTTTTTTGAGTTACCATGTCCTGAAAAGAAAAAGAAAAGATGAATATAGCTTTTTGTAAAACAGCTAATTTCCATAAGCATTAGCCAGCACTCCCCTCTATAAAAGAAATTAATCATGTAAGAATTAATCACATAAAAGCACCCACCTTAGAGCAAGAATTAATCATGTGAAACCTCCCTCTCCAAAAGCTTCAAACACAATGAACCTCTGAATTGCAACATTGATATTCCAAAGAAAATTGATCACCACTGGTTAGTCTCTGGAACTATTAGGGGGCATTTATAAGGATTTCCCCAGAACAGGGCCAATGCTTTTGCCCAAAAGATATTTTGAGCTTCAAGTTTGGGGTGCTGAGTGCCCTGCATCTTGCCTTCCCAGAAAAGAATGTCGGCGATAGCAAGAAAGGGCCCAGAAGGCACCGTGCTATCCCCGGATCTGGAACCACTTCCTGAATCAATCAATGTGAAGGCCACACCACAGTCAGCCTTCCTACAGAAGGGGTGTTGGTAGTAGAATTCCTGACACCCTGCTACAACTGTCTAGGAATGTTCAAATTCAATGACAACAATTCTAGTCAGTAAATTTAGTATGATAATTAGGCAGCCTTTGACTGTCTCATTTACGCACCAACATTTCTGGGGGTGGGGGGGGGGAAGGGCGGAGAAAACACCATAACTAAACAGCTGCCCTGTAAAACATGTTTTATATATTCTCAGATTTTTATTTCCTGATAACAAGTGCAAACTGCTTCTTCTGGTGTTAAATATAACTGACTACCCATTTCCATTTTAGGAAATATTTTTCTGTATTATTAAAAATTAAAACATCTAGTCCATTGAACTTTCCAGAGGGCTTTGCTAAGGCACAGTTGAAGAAACTGTCCTAAATTGAAAAAAAAATTCTAATTTCATGTTTTTCATCAAAATATAGGTTAATAATCTATATCTTTCATACTTGCTAAGTTCTAAATATTCCTAAGCATAGCTACCTTGGTGAAAATCAGTAAAAGAAAAGGTCAATATCTAACTATCTAATGTAATTCACATTGGTTTATAGCCCTGGGGAAACTATTCTACAATGTAAAGTACACTAATAAAAGTTTCTTCTTTCACTGTCATACAAATGACTTATTAAAATACAGTATTTTGCCATAATTACTGAGTACATATCTATGTAAAGTATATATGATGTTTAGCACATACAAGTTACACATCTCAAGCAGGTGGTATTTCTACCAGGAAATAATCTCAAATCCTTACACAACCCAGAAAATCTAGTTAATATTAAATCTCAAGAAACACAATGAAAATGTCCAACTTTGGCATAAAATTGTACTACTATCTACCAGTGATTTTTAATACTGAGGGAACTGAACCTTTAGAAATGATGTCTGTGAAGGCTGACTCTCCAAACCATTGGTTCTCACCCATGGTTGCACATTTGGGAGGTTAAAAAAATCTCCGTGCCTTGGTCCCAACCCCCATCCCCGAGACTGTGATGTAATTGGTCTGGGGTGGGGCCTAGGCATGGGGATATTTACAAGCTCTCCCAGTAATTCTGAAGTGCACTCAAGGCCGAGAAGCACTGCTATAAACAAACTAATTCATTATTCCTAAAATGATTTAACATAGGCCAGGATTTTCTGACTAAAATATTCAACAATATCAATATCCACTGAATTTTGGAATAACTCATGTTAAACATTTCCACTATACAAATGCAAGCATTTTTTAAAAAAATACTATGTTACCCAAAAAAGCTTGTCTCAAACTTGCAAAAATACATTTTAGAAATTCTCAACCATGATTGAGTTGTGCAGGAACACACACGTTTTCAGTTTTGCTTTGCTTTCAGACTGGGGGAAAATAACATCAAAGACTAATTGTGTCTATACTAAAATATTCTGTCCATTTCGGTAACTGTTCAATGTCTTCATATTATTATCCAAGTTGAGAACTGATTTTTATGTGTAGGTTTGGATCCAATTGCTCATGAAGGAATTCAGAACTGATTTTTATGTGTAGGTTTGGATCCAATTGCTCATGAAGGAATTCGGGACAGTGTGTTTGCTTCAATGGAAACTAATAGGAGTGTTTGCCTCCACTTCCCTAACGAGCCCGGAAATGCCCAAGTTGCCTGCAAACGTACGACTGTAGCACAGATGCTCACGAAGTAGCCAGGAAGTCATCTGTGTGAACTAGAATCTGTGGTGGGAAGGAAAGAATTGCACAAGCAAGTCTTTGTTTTTCTCCAACTTCCTGTGCTACTGTGGCATTTCAGCTAGACATATAATTCTGCTTTCCCAAAACAAAGTACTCAGGAGAAGGTGAATACACTGTACCTTCAAAGAGAGAGCAGTGTCGGCATCGGTGTCATGGTACAAGATCACATTATTGGCCATGTCAAAGCTTTCTCGGACTCCAAGATGGTAGAAGAGGGAAGGCTGTCTGGAGACATCGCTCATGTCTACCACAGCAACATCTGCAATGAACAAGGAGAGGACAGGATTAGGGGAGATGATCTGTCTACTTCATCTACTCACTGGTGATCACCAGTGAGGAGCTATAGCAATGTGTATTTCTGTCATCAGCCTGTTAGGTAAAGTAAGGAATGATTTGATTAAAATTACCCTATGAACTGTGGAAGAAATGCAGTAAGAATTTTTTTTAATCCTCTTTCTTCTTCAAAGTGCTGGGAATGTAACCTCACTTAGAACTTGCTGATGGATTTTTAATGTTATTTTTGTTATGACATATCACACATCTGAAGAATATATTTAGCTTATATATGAGGCATAAAGTATAATGCAACGAAAAACCATGTACCTTCTGTGCAGCCCAAGTCAGAGGGTTACCTGCACTCAGGGTCCCATGTGCCCCTCCCTGATCACATCTCCTCCCTCCTGCCCAGAGAGCATTTCTGTCCGGATCTATGTATTTGTCAGTTCCACGCACGTGTGTGTGCGCTATAGAATGAACGTTTGTGTCCCCTCAAGGTTCATGTGTTGAAACCTATCCCCCAATATGATGGTACCTGAAGATGAGGCCTTTGGGAGGTGATTAGGTCATGAGGATGGAGGCCTCATAAATTGGATTAGTGCACTTATAAAAGAGACTCCGGGGAGCTGCTTTCCCCCTTTCATCATTCCAGGACACAGGGAGAAGGTCCTGTCTGTGAACTAGAAAGCAGGTCCTCACCAGACAATGAGTCTGCCGCCACCTTGATGTTGGACTTCCTAGTCTCCATAATTATGAGAAATAAATTTCTGGCTGGGTGCAGTGGCTCATGCCTGTAGTCCTAGCACCTTGGGAGGCCAAGGCAGGTGGACCACCTGAGGTCAGGAGTTCGAGACCAGCCTGTCCAACATAGTGAAACCCCGTCTCTACTAAAAATACAAAAATTAGTTGGGCGTGGTGGCAGGTGCCTGTAATCCCAGCTACTCGGGAGGCTAAGGCAGGAGAATCGCTTGTACCTGGGAGGCAGAGGTTGCAGTGAACTCAGATCGTGCCACTGCACTCCAGCCTGGGCAACAGAGTGAGACTCTGTCTCTAAATAAATAAATAAATTTCTGTTGTTTAGAAGCCATGCCCAGGCATTATGTTACAGCAGTCCAAACAGACTAAGACAATACGTACAGGCATGTATAGGCATTATACACACACACACACACACACACACACACACACACACACACACACATACATACAAAAATTCCTTAACAGTATATTGCTCAGTTTTGCATGTCTTTGAACTTCATATAAATGGTATTGCATTGTATGTATTCTTCAGCTTGCTATTTTTTGGTGGCATTCAACCAATTTGTGCGTTTAGCTCCAGTTCATACGTTTTCGCTTCTGTATAGAATTCTGTTGTGACAGATTTTTATTCATTTCCTATTTCACACTGCTGCAATAAACAGTCCTGTCATAGCTCCTGGCTCACATGTCTACCATCAACTTAACAACATATAACGTGCCCTGGCTGGGCGCAGTGGCTCATGCCTGTAATCCCAACACTTTAGTTGGCCGAGGTGGGCAGAATGCTTGAGCTCAGCAGTTCAAGACCAGCCTGGACAACATGGCGAAACCCCATCTCTATAAAAAATACAAAAAATTAGCCGGGTGTGGTGGTGCGTGCCTGTAGTCCCAGTTATTCAGGAGGCTAAGGTGGGTGGATGGCTGGAGACTGGGAGGTCGAGGTTGCAGTGAGCTGTGATCATGCCACTGCTCTCCAGCCTAAGTGACAGAGTAAGACCTTGTCTCATAAACTAAAAAAAAAAAAAAAATAAAATGCACCCTGGAGTTGCACCCTGTAATAGAGACCTATTCAAAACAGAGGAGCAACTTATTACATGAATAATGAGCATGTTTAAATTACGCTTAGTAGTATGGGGCACCGTTTTAAAACTCAAAACATTCTAGAGGATGTAAGAGTTCCAAGTTTGATGGGAGCTTCCTTACCATGTGCAGTGGAGATATAGGAATGTAGTGTCCAAACTCATGCTCGCACTGCTGTGACTTCTAGAAAGTCACTCAAAATCCCGATGGGACACAACAGAGGCCAGTTGAACAAGGGCGTGAAGAAACATGAAGGCAGGCAGGCAGCATATCAGCACCAGACACCGCTAGCTCTGTAGAGAGGCGCTGGGAACCTGAGGCCAAGTGCCACTAAGCCCCAGAGTGGGCCCTTTATTCTCTTATTTATGGATTGCCTGCTGTATGGCAGGATTCTGATGGGTGCCAGGGATAGAAGTGTCAACAGGGCATAATCACTTTCCTCAAAAGAAAAAACCAACTACAATACAATGTGGGTAACCAGAAGGAAGGGGATGGTTAGGATCACCATGAGGGCAGCCAAAATAAGGGAAACAGTGAACAGAGCACCCCCAGGAGGGCACATAATCCACACCTGAGCGGAGGGCAATCACAGAATGCCTGGAGGAAGGGATACTGTCCATGACCTGAGGCTCTGTAAGAGTCAGGCAGGCAAATGGGATGAGGATATGGGGGATCAAAGGGAAGGAAAGAGCGGTGCATTAACAGAAGCCAGCTAGTGCAAGGGGCCAGCAGCAAGCCAGGGTGTAAGTGTGAAGGCCACCCACATATCACTTCCTGGGGCCACAATACCCCAGAAAACGAGCCTGGAGGTGGAGGGCTGGACCTTCCTTGAGGCAATGGGAAACCTATGGTTGGGTTTTTTAACTTTTTATTTTTACTTACTTATTTATTTTTGAGACAGAGTCTCAAAAATGCATGGGTACGATCTCGGCTCACTGCAACCTCCACCTCCCAGGCTCAAGCTATTCTTGTGCCTTGGCCTCCAGAGTAGCTGGGACTACAGGCATGTGCCACCATGCCCGGCTAATTTTGTCGTATTTTTAGCAGAGATGGGGTTTCACCACGTTGGCCAGGCTGGTCTCAAACTCCTGACCTCAAGCGATCCGCCCACCTCAGCCTCCCAAAGTGCTGGGATTACAGGCGTTAGCCACTGCACCTGGCTACTTTTTTTTTTTTTTTTAAACAGAGATGGGGTCTCACTCTGTTGCCCAGGGTGGTCTTGAACTCCTGGGCTCAGGCAATCCTCCCACCTCGGCCTCTTAGAGTGCTAGGATTACAGCTGTGAGCCACTGCTCCTGGCCTCTTTAAAACTTTTTATTATGCAGAACTACAAATATACATAAAAAGTAGACAGAATAGTATAATGAAATCTCCATACCTCCCACCTCAACAACGATCAACTCAAGGCCGGCTTTGTTTCATCTTTACTACCATCCGCAACATCCACCCCTCCCTCCCTGTGTTATTTTAAAATAAATCCCACCAGACACCACGTTGTTTTATCCCCCAATATTTCAGGATATATCACTAAAAGATGAGAACTCAAAGAAAAAAATAACCATAGTATCAATGTCTCACCTAAAAATATTTTTAAATAATCAAGAGAGTTTTTTAGCAGGAGACTCTCAGAGTCAAATTTACCCTTTAGAGGTCATCTACTAATGAAAGGATGCACGTCTATACTGAGGAAACACTCTACAACCCAGCCTCATCAATTTCTCTCAAATGGGTAATTCCACTCCCCAAAGACATTTGCTTAGAGTCAAGATAATGCGCCACTGCAGCTGAGTAAATTAGACATTCTGCCTATAGGATTGCTTCCTGGACTCTTACTTATCTACATTAAAAATTATATGTTTCAGGCCGGGCGCGGTGGCTCACGCCTGTAATCCCAGCACTTTGGGAGGCGGAGGTGGGTGGATCACCTCAGGTCAGTAGTTTGAGACCAGCCTACCCAACGTGGTGAAATCCCGTCTCTACTAAAAATACAAAAAATTAGCTGGGTGTGGGGTGGGCGCCTGTAATCCCAGCTACTCGGGAGGCTGAGGCAGGAGAATCACTTGAACCTGGGAGGAGGCGGTTGCAGTGAGCCAAGGTTGCACCACTGTACCCCAGCCTGGATGACAAGAGCGAAACTCTGTCTCAAAAGATTTTTTTTAAAATTACATGTTTCATAGTGATGTTATGAAAAAGTAGCAACATAGATATTAATTCCAAGGCCATGGTGACTGTTATAATTAGTTAATAAAGGCAAGGAAGCAAATAGAAACAGACAAAGGGGAATAGCGGAACGGGGCAGAAGGGAGGATAGGGACAGTAGTCCCGAAGTCACACAGCCCATTTTCACAGGCAACCTTGAACGTGGCAGAGGAACTTGTTGCCAAGATTCCATTTTGATCAAGTGACATGAAGTCCTCCCTTCTTTGCCTTCTCAACATTCTGTGCTGGGACCCACCGGCCTACCAAGGATTGGGAGAGACTTTTCACTGTCAATGAAAACAGGACATATTAATACTGCTACTCAAAAAAAAAAAAAAAAAAAATTCTGAGCAATTCATGTTCAATAGGAAAACTGCCTCGAATCTAAAGTTGGAATTTTTGCCTGACATTTGTCACTCAGGCCAGTAGACTAAGTTCACTTTGAGGATTTATACCAAAATAGTATGCAACTGGCTTATTTTCAGAATTCCTAAAACACGAATTTAGCATCTGATTTATAAATTGTTAATTGTAATAAAACACCAGATTGGAACTTTTATTCTATACAAAGAAAAAAGGGCTTTATCCCTAAAGAGAGCACCAGTTACCTAAAACCTTTCATCATCACCGTGGTCACATGCTTTGCCATTTACAAAACACTTCCACAGACTTCTCAGTTGAATTTCAGAACCCCAGCAGGCAGGCAGGGCAAGCACTGGCTTCACTAAGCAGGTAGAAAAATGAAGTGCAAAGAGGTTAACAGACTCGCCCAAGGTCGCTCAAGTACAGCATGAACAAGTCAGGGCTCAAAATCAGCTTTTCCAACCCCAAGTCCTGTGTTCCCCGATGCCCTCATGAGGCTTAGTACATTCCTGACACACTGTGTAAAACTGAGCTACCTGGGGGCAAAACAAATTTATATATCAGGCTAAATCTTAAGCAAAAAGATCACAGATAAAAAGGAAGAGATAAAATTCAGATTTTCATTCCCAAATACACCCTGTGCTCCTAGCAACCATTACCTTTCAGTTCCTACTGACGCAGGCCAGCTTCAGGGAAAAAAAAAACACATATCATATAAACCATCTTTTCTGACCCTGAGGCAGGCACACACACCCACCCTACCTATCTTGGTTTAGCAAACTTTAAGAAGTGATACCAGGCATGGTGGCGTGTGCCTGAAGTCCCAGCTACTCTGGAGGCTGAGGCAAGAGGAGCACTTGAACCTAGAAGTTCAAGTCCAGTCTGGGCAACATAATGAGACTCTGTCTTTTTAAGAGAGAGAGAGAGGAGGAGGGAGAGAGATACTACATCAAGGATTTGCAAAAAGCCAAGGTTCCAGTTGAAATCTATGCTTAGCAGGAAAGTGTAATTTAAAAACCAGTTACAATGACCTCAAGCAGGAGGTCAATTACAAGGACCTTGAAACACGCTAGTGTTAAATAAGAAAGATGATGCATAGGACTTTAGTTCGTTGAAAACTTTTGAACACTATCTTGAATACTATTTTTGCTAAATGTTTTATGGGTAATACATAAAACTATAATTTTCTAGTGTGGTTTAAAAGTATCTGATTTCTGAAGCAAAGCATTAGTCAACAAAGTGATATGATGGCAAATGATTTACCATATAGTAATTCTGTGACTGTACTGGCTCATACCAGTCTTTAAATATATACCAGGTTATCCTTAAGTCTATCTAACTCCCTGCAGAAAAAAAAGAAATTATGAAAGTAAGTAAGACTGGCTTTGTCAAAATGAAAAGCGCTAGACTTCAGAATAAGTTTTTGGCCAAAGACTTCAAAACAAAAATTGGATTGGACATATGACAACACTAGCTACCTAAAAGCTACCTTTAAAAAAAAAAAAAGCCCAGATATACTGGACAGAAGGCACCTCTCCTAACTCCTACCATAATTTAGATCTTACTTATCCACTGCTGCTTATTTCCAACATACTCAGGTCAAGTCAGTGAAGAAAGTTGTGAAGTGTTTTGTTTGTTTGTTTTGAGATGGAGTCTTGCTCTGTCGCCCAGGCTGGAGTGCAGTGGTGCAATCTTGGCTCACTGCAACCTCCACCTCCTGGGTTCAAGTGATTCTCCTGCCTCAGCCTCCTGAGTAGCTGGGATTATAGGCATGCACCACCATGCCTGGCTAATTTTTGTATTTTTAGTAGACACGGGGTTTCCCCATGTTGGCCAGGCTGGTCTTCAGCTCCTGACCTCAAGTGATCTGCCCACCTCGGCCTCCCAAAGTGCTGGGATTACAGGCATGAGCCACCGCACCCAGCTTGAAGTGTCACTTAAATCTTATTTTCCAATCTCATAAGAAGGAGCCAATATACCAATTCAGTGTTAGGACATCAGCAAGTCCTTACCAAGTGTCATAGTGAGTGGTACTCGTTGCCTGGGGGATCGAGTTTTAACTAGGAGGAAGGAGGGGAGGCGTGAGGACATCAGGAAACTACCTGGCCTATCTTTTGCTTCCCAGTATCAAATTTTTTTGTAAGAATGACTGAAAGTAAATCTTTTGTTTTTTTTTCAACTATGTAAGTGTGATTGAGATGTGTCTACTACCAGTTTTTCCAAAAGAAATGCAGCACATATATGCCAACTACGTTTTACTCACTGAGGTGAATGGGCTCAATGGGCTTAATTTGAGACCACTCAAAGTGAAATATTTGCAATATACATTATAGCATGAGTTAAGCCACTTCATCTTTTGCAAATACATATTGTTCTTCCATCTGACAATACAGAAAAATATGCAGCATGATACTGCAAGCTAGACTGCATTCATCACTTTAAATGCTATCAATATTGTTACTTAGGAGGCTGAGGCAAGAGGATCGCTTGAGCCCAGGACTTTGAAACTGCAGTGAGCTATGATTGTGCCACTGCACTCCAGCTTAGGTGACAGAGTGAGACCCCATCTCTAAAAAAATAAAAATACATGGGTATTGATATCATTGTCATCATCCTTGCTGTCACACCCTTCACAGCTCCAACTCTGGGTTCCCTGGCAGCCAGTGAACACATCACCCCAATTTTTTTTTTTTTTTTTTGAGATGGAGTCTTGCTCTGTTGCCCAGGCTGGAGTGCAGTGGCATGATCTCAGCTCACTGCAACCTCCATCTCCCAGGTTCAAGCGATTCTTGTGCCTTAGCTTCCTGAGTAGCTGGGACTACAGGTGTGCACCACCACGCCAGGCTAATTTTTGTATTTTTAGTAGAGACAGGGTTTCGCCATGTTGGCCAGACTGGTCTTGAACTCCTGACCTCAAGTGATCCACCTGCCTCGGCCCCCCAAAGTGCTGGGATTACAGGCTTGAGCCACCACGCCTGGCCACCATCCCATTATTTTCATCTTCGTCATCTGAAGATTCCTCTTCAGCTTTCCTCAACCCTTTTCTAAAGGGAACGCTTTAACATGACTCTCTGTAGCAAAATTTTTGGAGACACATTCTGAGAAGCCTTTTCTGACCAGCAGATAGCAACCTCTTCTTTCAAAAGGTCTGTGTCACACATCACCTTCAAACTGTGCGCAATTCTAGAGTGGTGCAGAGTTTGATGTACTCCAGCCACACGCTGCAGACCCTGACAAGGGCACCGCTGAGCTTTCCTGTTACTGTGACAAAAATCACAGTAAGTAGCCCCTGCATTTCTTAATTAGGTCTTGTTAAAATGAATGTCAGCCGGCTCGAGGGAACCATCGCTTTTACATATACTCCTCCCACAATAATACACTCTTTCCTTAACAAAATCAACAGCTCCTTAAAGATCATCACTAAGCATCCGGACTTCTGCCTGGCTGCTGATTTCACCCATTCTGTGCTCTACGTTTCCTCAGCAGTATCTGTCCCCTACGCTTCCTCAGCAGTATCTGTCCCCATAGCCTGTGGGAGTGGTGACTCATTGCTAGATACAGGGGCCATGTTGCTTGGAACTTGCCCCTTCTAATTTCCTTTTTTTCATGTACCAATTTCCTTTTTCGTAGGTGGTCCTTTGAGAAGGGATGTGCAGAGTTTATGATCTGCATCAAGCACTCCATAGCCAGACAGTGCTTTACAAAAACTTATCTATTTGCTTCTTAGCAATGATAAGCACATTGGATGCAGTATTCTCATTCTCAGGATAGATAATACTTTTTTTTTTTTTTTTGAGATGGAATCTCACTCTGTTGCCCAGGCTGGAGTGCAGTGGCATGATCTCGGCTCACTGCAACCTCTGCCTCCCACGTTCAAGCGATTCTCCTGCCTCAGCCTCCCGAGCAGCTGGTATCACAGGCATGCGCCACCACGCCTGGCTAATTTTTGTATTTTTAGTAGAGATGGGGTTTCATCATGGCGGTTAGGCTGGTCTCAAACTCATGACCTCAAGTGATCCGCCTGCCTCAGCCTCCCAAAGGGCTGGGATTACAGGCATGAGCCACCACACCTGGCCCAGATAACACATTTTTAAAATAAACTCATCTAACAAGTCTTAAAACTTTAGCCTTGTGAGAGCCAATGACAATCATTGTGAACATCAAAATGGTCTTTGCTTCCAGCTCAACCAAAATATTTGGTGGGATTTACTGGAGACCAATGAAGCACTTTTACAATATCAACAATTTTCATTTCCTTTTTGTCCCATTTATTCTACATTTCTTTTACTCTCAATATTAATGGCCATACAAGGTATCTTGTATGGCTAGAACTGGGCTGATGCAACATGGCTGGCATTAGGATATCCTGGTGCATTAGTAAGCATTGTCGATAAGATGCAGAGATATTTTATTATATTCTGATTACTACTACTACATGACAAAACACCTCAAAATCAAGTGGCACAAGTTTGCGTTCCTCTGCACAGGACAAGGAATGGGGTTAGGATGCAATCTTCAACCTCAGAATTTTGAAAACTTTCCTTACAACCTGCAGGCATATAAAGCAACCCCACTACATGATAACTGCCCAAGGGATCTGAGCCCTGCATTTTTTATTTAACTAAATAACTTTGCTGCTTTTAAATAATGTATAAAAAGAATATATACTAACAAGTGAAATGTGATAAATGGAAATGTATACTGATCGATACCATTAATTTAAACATAAAAGCAAGCTTTGGCATGTATCATATATTTCCTAATGTAGTTATTCCAATAAACTAGTTTAAATTATGGAAACATTAACTTAATACTTTGTGAAAAAGTTCACACACCGGGTTTCAGCAATTTATTATTTCACAAAGCACATTTCATTCTACACTGGGGTTCTGGTATGTTTATTGATGGGGGTCAAGGGGAGTGGTGCAGGTGGGGGAGGGTGCTGACATTTACTGAACACTTACTAAGTTCAAGGCACAGACTTTGAATCTCTACACAGGGGTCTTTTTAAATGAGGCTCAGAGATATTAAGTAAGTTATCCAGGCTCACACAGCCAATAAACGAGAAGATAGAAATCCAAACTCAGACCTATAAAGCAAATGGTCTTTCTCCGTCACCACCTGTATCACCAGGGCCAGTGTGACACAATGATAGAAGACATGTTTAGAAGGTTTCATTATAGGTCTCTGGTGGGAGTTTTTGCTCCGGAAGGCAGAAAGGCCACTGCATCAAGGATAACCTGCACTTCCTGTACTTTCCTGGATAATGAGACGAAAAGGAGGCAGTAGTGGTCCTGCCTTCTGGACTCAAAGTGCCTGGGGGCACTCATCGTGGGGCAAGACTGGCATCCCACGTGTTCAAGGCATCAGGCTCGGTTTGTCAAGAGGAACTGTGTCAAACTTCATTTGAGATGAATCACAGATCTAAATGTAAAAGCCGAAACAAAGTTTTTGGAAGAACACATAAAAGAGTTCCTGCACAACTGCAACCTGGAAGGTTCCTTAGGCAAGATAGAGCAGGCAACCATAAAAGAATAATATTCTAGATTAGACTTCTTCAAAACGAAGAGCTTCTGCTCATCAAAAGCCACCATTATGTACATGGAGAAGCTAGCCACAGTCTGGGAGCAAATATTCACAAAATATATGACAAAGCACTTAAATCCAAAACATAAAAACCTCTCATAATTCAATAATAAGATGACAGACAACCCAATTAAATGGGTCAATGGCTAGAATGGACACCTCACAAAGGAAGATATCTGCATGTCCAAAAAGCACATGGAGAAGTACTCAACATCATTAATCATGAGGGAAAGGCAAATTAAAACCATGAGGAGAAACCACCACAACCCTTATGAGAAGAACCACAATTGACACGATTGGTAATACAGTGTTGGTGACGATGTGAAGCCACTGAAACTGTCACACATTGGTGCTAAGAATATAAAATGGTACAACCACTTCAGAAAAAGGGTTGGAAGTTTCTGATATACTTCAACACACACTTAACCCTTTGATCCAGCCATTCTACTCATAGGTATTTACTCAAGAGGAATAAAAACACTGGTCGACAAAAAGTCACAAAGACTTGCAAATTGCAAATGTTCAGAGCTGCTTTGGTTGTTAACAACTCCAAACTAGAAGCAACCCAAACGTTCATCAATAGGAGAATGCCTAAACTAACCGGTATATTCTTACAATAAAATTGTATAATATTAGAAAGGAACAAACTACAAATACATATAACTGTATGGACGAATCTCAAAATCATCATGCTGAGTGAACAAAGCCAGACACCAAAGAATACATATTGTATGAGACCATTTAGATGAAGCTCTAGGAAAGGCAGATCTAATCTACAGAGATGACAGCAGATCAGTCATAGCCTTATAGGGGTAAAGGTAGGATTGAGGGAGAGGGGACATGATGGAACTTTCTGGAAAAACAGAAATGTTCTCTATATTGCGATGGGGGTTGCATTAGACAGGTTTAGTCATTTTTTAAAGTTGTACAGCTGAGATTTGTATATCACAATGCCTATACATTTTACATTTAATATGTTTAAAAAGAATAATTGGCCGGGTGCAGTGGCCCACGCCTGAAATCCAAGCACTTTGGGAGGCCAAGGCGGGTGGATCACCTGAGGTCAGGAGTTCGAGACCATCCTGGCCAACATGGCGAAACCCAATCTCTACTAAAAATACAAAAATTAGCTGGGTGTGGTGGCGTATGCCTGTAATCCCAGCTACTCAGGAAGCTGAGGGAAGAGAATCGCTTGAACTTGGGAGATGGAGGTTTCAGTGAGCCGAGATCGCGCCACTGCACTCCAGCCTGGGTGACAGAGTGAGACTCCATCTCTAAATAAATATAAAAATAATGAAATAAAAAGAATAATCAAGTATGAGGTAGGGAATGGATAGAGGTAAAGAAGAAATGAGAACAGCAGGATGTTAATAATTGTCAGAGCTGGGTAATGTACATGCTTGAAATTTTCCATGATAAAATAATTTAAGAGGGAAAGTTATCTACATCGAATGCTCCTGTCTCTCTCTACCTTCTCTTTCCCCTCCCTATCTGTGTCCAGTTCTGCCTGGCCCCTGGGATGGCCTGCCACAAACCCCAATTCCTGAATGAGCTCTACTTCCTGCCAGGACTCACCCACTACTCAACTCCCTTCTGCTCCCCAACCACTCTCCCTCCCCAAACCAAGCCCCAACAACCGCCAGGCATTTCTGCCAGTCCCATCACATGCAATTGCCAAAACCTGTGCAAGTTACTGGGAAACAAGAATTTTGCCAGCCTGCTTTACAGAAAGTTCAGTCCTATTCCAACCATGTTATTTGGCCGGGATTGAAACAGCACCTATTTCAAAGCCAGATACATAGAAGACTTTTAAAACAGTTTATGGCTCGTATTCCAAAACTACGTTTGGAAGTTCACTGCAGGGAACTGAAAATACATTTTGTCCTAGTAACAGATAATAACACAGCCAGTAAGGTAGCAGACCAGCCCACGGATATCTACTCTAAAATGCACTCAAGGCTCAAACAGCAATGTCTCCATTAAATGCTGCAGGTGAAATGCTTCTTTCAAAGTTGGCCCACATAACTAACGTGAGGAAAGTTCCAGGCTCAATTCTGAGTCAGTAGCACTAACAGCAGCATGGAAACGAAGGAAGCTCAGGGAAGGGCCCCTATGGACAAGCCAACAGCCAAATCCAACAGAAGACAGCTGAGGTCCAGCCATGGACTTCTGCAGCCGGGGGTCCCTGGGAGCACTCATGGTTGTCTAGCCTGAGCACGCCTGGCCACTCTCTCCAGCAGGGAGGGAGAAAGGGAGAAGGCTTCTGAGTTACAACGCCATCTTTAATCGCCTACTGTACTTAAAGTAAAAATCGTACTTATATTCTAGAAAATAACATACAGTATAGAAAATATGGACAAACCAGAAGAAAAAGAACCGGTATTCCATTCCCAGCAATAACTGAAACCACTACTTCCATCCCAGCATGTCCAGTTTGAGTTCTTCTAGTCTCTTCTGTCAGATATGCACCACTGAAGAGAAAGGTTCAGACCTAGAAATCTGTCATTAGGATGGATGTTACTTCTTAATAAAATCGTAAGTGCACTCTATCTATGGCCTGACTACCATTTTCAACATGCCACTGGAAACTGCATTCTAAATTTCTTTTGAGGGCACCACATAAGATCTGCTTTATCTCAACAGGAGAAGCCAGCTGTCATCTGTGCCCACTGATGATTATTTTTAACAGGAGCTGGGTAGATATTCGTAGCAATCACTCAAACAGTGGCAAAGAAAACTATACCTGGCTCCCGGCCATTGAAGAGTTCGCTGTCTGGCAGAAGATCAATCATTAAATCAATAATTATTTAAGGGCTGGGTGCGGTGCCTTATGCCTGCAATCCTAGCACTTTGGGAGGCTGAGGCAAGCAGATCACCTGAGGTCAGGAGTTCTAGACCAGCCTGGCCAACATGGTGAAACCCCATCTCTACTAAAAATACAAAAATTAGCCGGGCAAGGTGGCATATGCCTGTAATCCCAACTACTTGGGAGGCTGAGGCAGGTGAATCGTTTGAACCTGGGAGGTGGAGGTTTCAGTGAGCCAAGACCGTGCCACTGCACTCTAGCCTGGGCGACAGAGACTCAGTCTCAAAAAGTAATAATTATTATTTAATCACAATTGTTTTGCCTGTGAGGAAAGAAAACCTCAGCATACAAAAGCCAACAGGGAGAAGGAGGGGAGTCCATGCAGGCTCCCTTGAAGAACTTGGATATGAAAGCTGAACAGGTATTGATCAGAGGAAGACTACAGGTGGGGGTGGGGACTGATATGGTTTGGCTGTGTCCCCCACACCTCATCTCGAGTTATAATCCCTACGTGTGGAGGGAGGGACTTGGTGGGAGGTGACTGGATTATGGGGGCGGTTCCCCCATGCTGTTCTCATGACAGTGAGGAAGTTCTCATGAGATCTGATGGTTTAAAAGTGGCAGTTTCCCCTGTGCTCTCTCTCTCTCCTGCCACCATGTAAGACGTGCCTTGCCTCCCCTTCCCCTTCTGCCATAATTTTAAGTTTCCTAAGCCCTCCCCAGCCATGCTAAACTGTGATTCAATTAAACCTCTTTTGGGGCCAGGCACAGTGGCTCACACCTGTAATCCCAACACTTTGGGGGGCCATGGCAGGTGGATCACTTGAGCTCAGGAGTTCAAGACCAACCTGGCCAACATGGCAAAAGCCCATCTCTACAAAAAAATACAAAAATTAGCCAGACATTGGTGGCTCATGCCTGTAATGCCAGCTACTCTGGAGGCTGTGACTGGAGAATCACTTGAGCCCGGGAAAGTGGAGGTTGCGGCGAGCCAAGGTTGTGCCACTGCACTCCAGCCTGGACAACAGGGTGAGACCCTGTCTCAAAACAAAACAAAATTACCACTTTTGTATATAAATTACCCAGTCTCAGTTACTATCTTGTAGCACTGTGAAAATAGACTAATATGGGGACGGAAACCAGGATACAGTAGCCTCTAGGCAGATACATAAATTTGAACGCAGCAAGACCGGCCCAACTTTGAGAGACCAGTTACAAAGCTACTGACAGTAACCTGGATGAGACAAGATGGTGCTTAGACCAAGACAGTAGCAGGGCATATAGAGAGAAGCGGGCAAATCTGAGAAACATTTTGGAAGTAACTACCTGGATTTGACAATGAGGGAGAGAGTGGGATCACTGACTCCTAGCTTTCTGACATGAACTGCTAGGTGGGGGATTTTACTCATCCATGTTTACTTACCCTTATAGATGGCAATGTCTAAATTAACTATCGCTCCTATGCTCTGCTAGAAATAAATGTGGCCAGTCTCCTGACCATGTGTAGATGGCATGCAAAACGTATGTGCTGTATCAGAGGGCTGCCTGTTTCATCACTGCACAGCCATCAAACCAACATCTCCCACAGGTCCATCTTCCTCTGAACTTTAAGCATTCTCCAGAATGATGAGGAAGGAATATTCAGCAAGTTATCTTCTTGTTCTTTGAGACAGAGTCTCACTCTGTTGCTCAGGCTGGAATGCAGTGGCGCAATCTCAGCTCACTGCAACCTCCACCTCCTGGGTTCAAGTGATTCTCCTACCTCAGCCTCCCAAGAAGCTGGGACTATAGGCATGGGCCACCATGCCTGGCTAATTTTTGTATTTTTTGGGAAAGACAGGGTTTCACCGTGTTGGCCAGGATGGTCTCAAACTCCTGGCCTCAGGTGATCTGCCTGCCTCGGCCTCCCAAAGTGCTGGGATTACAGGTGTGAGCCATCACACCCGGCCATAGGATATAAGAAGTCTTAAGGCATTTTTCAGGCTCCTTCTTGCAGGAGCAAATGCACATGTGGGCTGAGCCCACTAAAATAAGTTGAAACAAGACGTACATTTAGGCCAGGCATGGTGGGTCACACCTGTAATCCCGGCACTTTGGAAGGCTGAGGCAGGAGGATCACTTGAGCCCAGGAGTTCGAGACCAGCCTGGGCAATATAGTGAGATCCCCATCTCTACAAAAAAAAGTAAAAATAGCTGGACATAGTGGCGTGCACCTGTAGTCCCAGCTACACAAACAGGAGGCTGAGGTAGGAAGATTGCTTGAGTCCAGGAAGGTGAGGTTACAGTGAGCCCTGTTTGTGTCACTGCACTCCAGCTAGGTGACAGAGCAAGACCCTGTGGGAGGGGAGGTGAGGGGAGGGGAGGGGGAAAGAAAGAGAAAAGAGATGTATTTAGGTATTTTTAGCAGAATGCATGACAAGCTCTATTAGTCAGGATAAGCTAGGCTATGCTGCCACAACAGACGAATCCCCAAGGCTTCAGTGGCTTAATTGCTATCTTTAATCCCCGATCTTCAAGTCTGCCACAACAGAGGCAGAGAGATGGAGGAGTGCGTCACCTAACTGCTTTAAGCCCAAAGTGATGCTTGCTGCTGCTGCTCACATCGCACTGGCCAGTACTAGTCACGAGGGCCCAAGGGATATGAAGAAATGTGGAAGAACATATGGATGTTTGGCGAACACTGTCTTTGCCACACAATGCATCAAGCTAATAAAGAATCCAGAGATACCACCACAGAGGGAGAAGCCAGACATAACTCACGTGAAAGGTGGCAAGGAAAACTAAAGCTAGCCTTATTTTAAACCATTTCATATCTTTTGTTTAAAAAAAAGCCCAATATCACTGTCAGATAAAAACTAACAATCACTACAGTATCATTTAATGCCAAAGGAAAAAGTTACCTAAGGCTGGGCACGGTGGGTCATGCCTGTAATCCCAGCACTTTGGGAGGCCAAGGTAGGTGGATCGCTTGAGCCCAGGAGTTCAAGACCAGCCTGGGCAACAAGGCAAAACCTTGTCTGTACAAAAAACTAGCCAGATGTGGTGGCATGTGCCTGTAGTCCCAGCTACCTGGGAGGCTGAGGTGGGAGGATCACCTGAGCTAGGGAGGTAGAGTCTGCAGTGAGCTGTGATCGTGCCACTGCACTCTAGCCTGAGCAACAGAGCGAGACCTCCTCTCAAAAAAAAAAAAAAAAAAGCCCAGAAACAAAAGCTTGCCAAACAGGTATAGGGTTCCTACAGCACCAAACCTCTTATTTTTTGAAAGATTTTATGTAAAAAATAATAATAAAAATAAAACATTTGAAAAAGTTACCTAGCCTCCAAAACTGATGAAACCATGAAGGAAGATAAAATGTCTCCACCCACCCCCACGCCAAGCCAGTATTAACCTGATGGCTGATGGTCCAAGCATCTCATTTCTATTTTCTTAGCCCACAGCAGCATAGAGGGGGGCTCCATGATTGGCATGTACTATGAACAGTAATGATTCGTGACATGAGATGACCCACAGCCTGACTCTTTCTTGGTAAGGCCTACCCCAGGAGATAATTTTCTAGCAGTTGGACTAGATTTTCAAAACCTAAGTTGCAACTCTCTTATTACTATAACAAACGATGCCAAAATCTCAGTAACCAGACCAAATAAAAGCTTCTCTCTTGCACATGCAAAATCCAAAGTGGATATTCCTCCTCTGCCAGCTGTCCTCCAAACAGTAACTCAGGGAGTCAGGTACCTTCCATCAAGTGCCACCATCATCGTCTATATGGGGACTCCAAGGTTCCCATGGGGACCATGGAAAGGGATGAGAAGGTATGGGAAGGCCTAGTGGATTCACCAAAAACTTGGCCCAGAAGTGGCAGACATCACTCTCACCTATATGGTAGTAAGGATGAGTCTACATAGACTCAAAGGATGCTGGGAAATGCAGTCCTTGGTTCTCAGCAATAACTACGAGCATAAATCTCTTTTCTTTTTTTTTTTTTTTTGAGATGGAGTCTCACTCTTGTCACCCGGGCTTGAGTGCACTGGCATGATCTTGGCTCACTGCAATCTCTGCCTCCTGGGTTCAAGCAATTCTCCTGCCTCAGCCTCCCAGGTAGCTGGGATTACAAGTGCACGCCACCACGCAAGGCTAATTTTTGGGGTTTTTTGTTTGTTTTGTTTTTAATTTTGAGACGGAGTTTCACTCTCGTTGCTCAGGCTGTAGTGCAATGGCACAATCTCGGCTCACTGCAACTTCCACCTCCCGAGTTCAAGCGATTCTCCTGCCTCAGTCTCCCGAGTAGCTGGGATTACAGGTGCCTGCCACAACGCCCAGCTAATTTTTTATATTTTTAGTAGAGACAGGGTTTCACCATGTTAGCCAAGCTGGTCTCCAACTCCTGACCTCAGGTGATCCACCCACCTTGGCCTCCCAAAGTGCTGGAGTTACAGGCATGAACCACGGCGTCCGGCCTGATTTTTGTATTATTAGTAGAGACGGGGTTTTGCTATGTTGACCAGGCTGCTCTCGAACTCCTGACCTCAAGTGATCCACCCACCTTGGCCTCCCAAAGAGCTGGGATTAGAGGCGTGAGCCACCACACCTGGCAACAGCACAAATCTTTAGCAGCCACCTCACTATCTCCACCACACTTTATACCCCACAATGACTCTTGTATAAGCCAGCCAGAAAAGGAGTATCATCAGACTAGAGCAAAACCAAATAACGAATCTGGAGACTGAAGCCCTAGTCTTAGTTTTTATTTATTTATTTTTCTTGAGACGGAGTCTTGCTCTGCCGCCCAGGCTGGAGTGCAGTAGCGCGATCTTGGCCCACTGCAAAACCTCCACCTCACGGGTTCAAGCGATTCTCCTGCCTCAGCCTCCCAAGTAGCTGGGATTACAGGTGTGTGCCATCATGCCCAGCTAATTTTTTGTATTTTTAGTAGAGACAGGGTTTCACTATGTTGGCCAGGCTGCTCTCTAACTCCTGACCTCCAATGATCCGCCTGCCTTGGCCTCCCAAAGCCCTGGTATTACAGACGTGAGCCACCGCACCCGGCCTAGTCTTATAGTTTTCCTATCGATGTTCAGGAAATATGAAAACATCCTAGTATGGGTTGCAATACTTCACAACTTTTAAGATCACTGTGCACGTAACAGAAGGAAAAAACAAAAATCAGAAGCAGGACCCCTGGGTCAGGAAAGTAACATTTAAATGAGGTTCAGAGAAGAGTGAAGTTATGCAAAGCCAGACACAACAGGTATGGGAAGATCACTTGTGCCTCAGAAGCTGTTCTTGCCATTTAAGCAGTTAATAGCTAACTCAAGAATGCTGCTAATTAGCATCTAGGTAGAGGCTCTCACTTACACAACTAACCACCTAACTATTCTAAGAGTAAACAAAACGGTGTACTCCATGAAGACAAAAGCATTGTATTCTATCAGTCCCAATGTCATTTTAAGACTTCCTACTACAATAAGTGTATTCAATTACAGCATCCCAGGAGGATAGTTTCCACAGTCAAAACATTTGAGAAAGTATGAGACGAAGTCACACAGGTCTCTTTGCTTCCTGCAACTTGCCTCAAGTCTTTAAGATGTTCACAAACACTGAGAACCTCTAGGAGGGAGACACAGGATGCAGCTGACAAAAGCCTACCAAAATTAGCCGGGCACTGTGGTGCATGCCTGTAAGTCCCAGCGACTCGGGAGGCTGAGGTGGAAGGATCACTTGAGCCCAGGGAGGTCAAGGCTGCGGTGAGCCGTGATCGCGCTACTGCACTCCAGCCTGGGTGAGAGTGACACCTTGTCTCAAAAAAAAAAAAAAAAAAAAAAAAAAAAAAAAAAAGAACAACTAATATAAACTCAACCCTAATGTAAACTAAAGATTTCAAGTGAGTATGATGTGTCAACATATGTGTAAGTTCATCAATTGTCACAAGTGCCGTAGTCTGGTGGAAGAAGCTCATGATAGGGGAGTTTGTGGGAGAGGGCAGAGGGGTTGATGGGAACACTCTGCACTTTTCTTCTCAAGTTTGCTGTGAACCTACAACTGCTCTAAAAAACTATTTTAAAAAAAGTTCTGGAGATGCATATTGGTTTCTAGGGTTTTGTTTTGTTTGAGATGGGGTCTCGCTGTTGTCTGCCTGGGCTGGAGTGCAATGGCACGATCTCAGCTCACTGCAACCTCTGCCTTCTGGGTTCCAGCAATTCTCCTGGCTCAGCCTCCCGAGTAGCTGAGATTACAGGTGCCCGCCACCATGCCTGGCTAATTTTTGTATTTTTAGTAGAGACAGGGTTTCACCATGTGGGCCAGGCTGGTCTCAAATTCCTGACCTCAGGTGATCCACCCGCCTCGGCCTCCCAAAGTGCTGGGATCACAGGCATGAGCCGCCACGCCCAGCCAGGATATTGGTTTTTGTTTTTCGAAATGGAGTCTTGCTCTGTTGGCCAGCCTGGAGTGCAGTGGTGCAATCTTGGCTCACTGCAACCTCTGCCTCCTGGGCTCAAGCGATTCTCCTGCCTCAGTCTCCTGAGTAGCTGAGACTACAGGTACACGCCACCACGCCTGGCTAATTTTTATATTTTTAGTAGAACCAGGGTTTCGCCATGTTGGCCAGGCTGGTCTCAAACTCTTGAGCTCAGGTGATCCACCTACCTCAGTCTCCCGAAGTGCTGGTATTACAGGCGTGAGCCACCGTGCCCGGCCTGGAGATGGATATTGTTGATGGTCACGTAACAGTGTGAATATATGTAATGACACTGAAATGAACACTAAAAATGGCCAAAATAGTAAATTTTGTTATACATATTTTATCACAATTTTAAAAACCACAAGGACCGGGGGTGGTGGTTCACGCCTGTAATCCTAGTAATTTGGGAGGCTGAGGTGGGAGGATCACTTGAGCCCAGGAATTCGAGTCCATAAGATCTCACAGAGTGAGAGTTCACCTCTACACAAAATAAACAAAATGCGCCAGGGGTGGTGACTCACACCTGTAATCCCAGAATTTTGGGAGGCTGAGGCAGGAGGATTGCTCAAGTGTGGGAGGTTGAGGCTGCAGTGTGCCAAGATCGTGCCACTGCACTCTAGACTGGGCAACAGAGTGAGACCCTGTCTCAAAAAAAAATCTATATATATGTACAAAAATTTAAAAATAAATATTTAAAAATAATTTAGAAAACACAAATGGGACATGCCCTGCCCCTCTCAGCCCACGGTACTTTCCTTTTCCAACAGCATCCACTTGCTCTTGCTTACGTCCAAGGCCTGCCTGCCATTTTCCTGCAGCTCATCCAATCCACTATATGTGCTAGTGACACAGCCCCAAGATTTAGACCCACACAGGACCCCATGAAACACTACAAGGAGATGGAAAACCACAGTCAAACCTGACTTTGACTTGCTGTGAGAACAGGACACAGGAAGTGCTTAAATTTCCCATAGATGATGGCCCCTAAAACATACTTGGGCCGAAGCAGACCTGATAGATATCTACAGAACTCTCCACCCCAAGTCAACAGAATACACATTCTTCTTAGCGCCACATAGCACTTATTCTAAAATCGACCACATAAATGGAAGTAACACACTCCTCAGCAAATGCAAAAGAACAGAAATCATAACAGCCTCTCAGACCACAGTGCAATTAAATTAGAACTCAGGATTAAGAAACTCACTCAAAACCGCACAACTACGTGGAAACTGAACAATCTGCTCCTGAATGACTACTGGGTAAATAACGAAATTAAAGCAGAAATAATGATGTTCTTTGAAATCAATGAGAACAAAGATACAATGTACCAGAATCTCTGGGACACAGCTAAAGTAGTGTTTAGAGGGAAATGTATAGCACTAAATGCCCACAAGAGAAAGCAGGAAAGATCTAAAATCGACACCCTAACATCACAATTAAAAGGACTAGAGAAGCAAGAGCAAACACATTCAAAAGCTAGCAGAAGACAAGAAATAACTAAGATTGGAGCAGAACTGAAGGAAATAGAGACATGAAAAAACCTTCAAAAAAATCAATGAATTCAGGGGCTGGTTTTTTGAAAAGATCAACAAAATTGATAGACCACTACCTAGACTAATAAAGAAGAAAAGAGAGAAGAATCAAATAGACACAATAGAAAATGATAAAGGGGCAATCACCACTGATCCCATGGAAATACAAACTACCATCAGAGAACACTATAAACACATCTACACAAATAAACTAGAAAATCTAGAAGAAATGGATAAATTTCTGGACACATACACCCTCCCAAGACAAAACCAGGAAGAAGTCAAATCCCTGAAAAGACCAATAACAAGTTCTGAAATTGAGGCAGTAATAGCCTACCAACTAAAAAAATCCTAGACGGACTCACAGCCGAATTCTACCAGAGGTACAAAGAGGAGCTGGTACCATTCCTTCTGAAACTATTCCAAACAACAGAAAAGGAGGCCAGCATTATCCTGATTCCAAAACCTGGCAGAGACACAACAAAAAAAGAAAATTTCAGGATGAACATCGATGTGAAAATCCTCAATAAAATACTGGCAAACCGAATCCAGCAGCACATCAAAAAGCTTATCCACCATGATCAAGTCGGCTTCATCCCTGAATGCAAGGCTGGTTCAACATACGCAAATCAACAAACATAATCGATCACATAAACAGAACCAATGACAAAAACCACAATTATCTCAATAGATGCAGAAAAGGCCTTCGATAAAATTCAACACCGCTTCATGCTAAAAACTCTCAACAAACTAGGTATTGATGGAACATATCTCAAAATAATAAGAGCTATTTAAAATAAACCCATAGCCAATATCATACTGAATGGGCAAAAGCTGGAAGCATTCCCTTTGAAAACTGGCACAAGCCAGGGATGCCCTCTCTCACCACTCCTATTCAACATAGTGTTGGAAGTTCTGGCCAGGGCAATCAGGCAGGAGAAGGAAATAAAGGGTATTCAATTAGGAAGAGAGGAAGTCAAATCGTCTGTTTGTAGACAACATGATTGTATATTTAGAAAACCCCACGGTCTCAGCCCAAAAACTCCTTAAGCTGATAAACAACTTCAGCAAAGTCTCAGGATACAAAATCAATGTGCAAAAATCACAAGCATTCCTATGCACCAATAAAAGACAAACACAGAGCCAAATCATGAGTGAACTCCCATTCACAATTGCCACTAAGAGAATAAAATACCAAGGAATATAGACCAGTGGAACAGAACAGAGGCCTCAGAAATAACGCCACACATCTACAACCATCTGATCTTTGACAAACCTGACAAAAACAAGCAATGGGGAAAGGATTCCCTATTTAATAAATGGTGCTGGGAAAACTGGCTAGCCATATGCAGAAAACTGAAACTGGACCCCTTTCTTACACCTTATACAAAAATTAACTCAAGATGGATTAAAGACTTAAACGTAAGACCTAAAACCATAAAAACCCTAGAAGAAAACCTAGGCAATACCATTCAGGACATAGGCATGGGCAAGGACTTCATGGCTTAAACACCAAAAGCAACGGCAACAAAAGCCAAAATAGACAAAGGAAATCTAATTAAACTAAAGAGCTTCTGCACAGCAGAAGAAACTATCATCAGAGTGAACAGGCAACCTACAGAATGGGAGAACGTTTTTGGAATCTATCAATCTGACAAAGGTCTAATATCCAGAATCTACAAGGAACTTAAACAAATGTACAAGAAAAAAACAACCCCATCAAAAAGTGAGCAAAGGATATGAACAGACACTTTTCAAAAGAAGACATTTATGTGGCAAACAAACATATGAAAAAAAAACCCATCAATACTAGTCATTAGAGAAATGCAAATCAAAATCACAATGAGATACCATCTCACGCCAGTTAGAATGGCGATCATTAAAAAGTCAGGAAACAACAGATGCTGGAGAGGATGTGGAGAAATAGGAATGCTTTTACACTGTTGGTGGGAGTGTGAATTAGTTCAACCATTGTGAAAGACAGTGTGGCAATTCCTCAAGGATCTAGAACCAGAAATACCATTTGACCCAGCAATCCCATTGCTGGGTATATACCCAAAGGATTATAAATCATTCTACTCTAAAGACACAGGCAAATGTATGTTTACTGCAGCACTATTTACAATAGCAAAGACTTGGAACCAACCCAAATGCCCATCAATGATAGACTGGATAAAGAAAATGTTGCACATATACACAATGGAATACTATGCAGCCATGAAAAAGGATGAGTTCATGTCCTTTGCAGGGACATGGATGAAGCTGGAAACCATCATCCTCAGCAAACTAACACAGGAACAGAAAACCAAACACTACATGTTCTCACTCATAAGTGGGAGTTGAACAATGAGAACCCATGGACACAGGGAGGGGAACATCACACACACACCCCAGGGCCTGTGGGGAGTGGGAGGGGAGGGAGAGCATTAGGACAAATACCTAATGCATGCTTAAAACCTAGATGACAGGTTGATTGGTGCAGCAAACCACCATGGCACATGTATACCTATGTAACAAACCTGCACGTTCAGCACATGTATCCCAGAACTTAAAGTTAAAAATAAATACTTGGGCCGTTCAACAGTTCCCCTCCCCCACAAGCCTTTTTCCAGAACAGCATTGTTCAATAGGACCTTCTGAGATGAGGAAAGAGTTCTGTAACTTCACTGTCCCACCTGGGAGTTACTTGTGCCTACGGAGCATGCATTTATTCGTTTATTTAGAGACAGGGTCTCGATCTGTCACCCAGGCTGGAGTGCAGTGGCATAAACACAGGTCACCGCAGCATCGACCTCCCGGGCTTAAGTGATCCTCCTGCCTCCACCTCCCAGGTAGCTGGGACCACAGGCACATGGGTGCCACCACATCCTGCTTTTTTTTTTTTTTTTTTTTTGCTCAGGTTGGTCTTGAACTCCTGTACTCAAGCAATCCTCCCGCCTTGGCCTTCCAAAGGGCTGGGATTACAGGCGTGAGCCACTGCACCTGGCCTATCAAGCGCCTTAAATGCCACTAGTGCAACTAAGGATCTTACCATTTTTACCGTATTCTAATCAGTTTAACTGTCAAGAGCCACCTGTGGCTAGTGGCTACCAAATTGGACAGAGTGGTTTTAGAATTTTTACAAAGAAGCCAAAGTGAGAGCTCTGTATCTTTTTTGGTGGAAACATCAAAAAGCAGTGAGTGATGGAGGACGAATCCAGGAGACAGTGGAGGTGCTCATCTGTTTAGCCCAGGAACCCACTTACTGTGTATGTACTTTCTCAAACCTCTGAAAGCAATTCTAATGCACTGAGAAATGATTTACTCAAGACCAGGACAAGGTTAACCAAAGGGAGCTCGTGGTACAGCCCAACATTCTAGGCCACCCAGGCCAGAGTGAGCCAAGGTGACGTGTCTGTTGTGTGGCTCCAGAATTGAAAGCCTGAGATTTGACGTCTGCATCTTCACAGTCGACCTGTTAGAAGGGCCCCCCGTACACACACACTCCGCCCCAGGGAAAGCAAAAGCCACCGCACACAAATCTTTCAGAGGTGGCACCAGCAGGAAGGAGAGTGTTGTGCCTCATGGCAAAAGGAACATTTAACCGTTCAGAGAAGAGTCTGTTCAAACTCCAATTTTGGAGCAGAATGAATACAAGTTGAGAAAACGGAGTGGTTCTAGGTGAAGTGGACTCCTGAACGACTTTTCTAAAAAGATGTTGTGCTGAAGAGTATACTCAGTGTGGTCAGAAATGTCAGGAGAGTGCTTTCAATGGGTCCAGCTGCCACTTGTTTAAACAAGCCTGACTCCCCCCCTACCCCGCCCTTCCAGCTGGGGAGAATTTGCTCTGCAAGAAAAACAGATCTGCGCTGCCTCCAGCAGAGGCTGAATCCTAATCATCCTAGCTTACTATTACAGCAAAGCAACTTCCCATATCCTATCTCATCAGCTTTTAGGTTTAGGGTAGGCACTGTTAACTCCCTTTGACCAGAAACTGAGGCACAAGGACTCCCAGGTAATTACTGTCTCACATATAATGCTTCTGAACGTCACCCAGGTGACAGAGGTTTGTCACCAAAGGTGCTGTAAGGGAAAAAACGTCAAGCAACAATTCATTCCACACCGAGAGAAACTCTTGCCAATCCAAAGTACGCTTCTTAAGGCTGGATTCTCAGGCACATTTATTATAGTGAGTTTAGAGACCTAGAGTCCCACTCCAGCAAAGGTGCCCCCTAACCCGTGAATGCTGTGCATTATGGGATAAAATATACGTCACAGGGTGGTGGCTCACACTCCACCGTCAGTGTTTTGGGGACGAGAATTGAAGTGTGCAAAAGAACACTGGGTATTTCTAAGTAGAGGCAACACACACACACGTAAGACACCGATTTCCACTCCTGGCTGCAAAATGGAATCGCCTGGGAAGCATGACACTTCTAAGGCCTCGGGTGCTTATGTCATTGGTCTGGGGTCCGATCTGGGCACCCAGAGTTTTAAAAGCTCCCCAGGTGATTCTAATATGTAGCCTGCGTTGGGACCCACGGCCGTAAGAGACCTTCCAGGAATGAGAAAGCAAAAGTTGGATAACTTGGGAGAAGGGGGGCTTGGTAGGGTCTGGGTTACAGGCTGTTTCTTGGGTTATCTGATGTTTAAGATGCCTGAAGAATCAAAGAGTCTAAATGCCCGTGGCCTCTATTTTCTTATCTGTAAAAGGGCACAATGTTAAAGACTCTACCCTCCCCCAAAGGCAGGACGGTCCTGTTGGACGGATCAGGGGGTGAGAGGATAGGAGGGGGGCTAAGGGGAGGGGGATGAGAGGAAGGGGACTAGGGGAAGGGGAGGTGGACTAAGGGGAGGGAGACTAAGGGGAGAGGGGACTAAGGGGAGGGGGGCCTGCGGGAGGGGGGACTGGGGGAGGGGGATAAGGGGAGGGGGATAAGGGGAGGGGGACTAGAGACGAGGGGGACTGGGGGAGGGGAGGGGGACTAGGGGGAGGGGAGGGGGACGAGGGGGAGGGGAGGGGGACGAGGGGGAGGGGAGGGGGACGAGGGGGAGGGGGACGGGGGAGAAGGGCGAGGGGGCGGGGCGGGTGCCCTGGCTCGTGTGAGGGTAGGTGAACTGGGACTGAGGTGGGGACGAAGCCGCTCTCACCTGCGTCGTAGAAGGCGTCGAGCACGGCCGTCTCCCCGAAGTCCAGCTCCCCGAAGGGCACGGAGGTGAGGTGAGCGCCCTCGGCCTCGCAGGCCCGCAGCAGGCACTGCCGCGCCCCAGCCTCCGGGCCGCCGGCCGCGCCGCCCTGGGAGCTCTCACTGCGCACGTATACTGCCCGCAGAGCCCGCCGCGGCCCGCCCCCACTCTCGCCCTCGCCGCTGCCGCCTGCCGCGCCCTCCGCCGCCCCGTCGGGCTCCGCCGGCCCGGCCGCGCCCTCCACCCCCGGCGGCGGCGGGCACTGAGGGGACTCGCTCGCCGCCCCGAGGGCCCCGGCCGGAGCATTCCCACCGCCGCTCTCCATGTGCCCGCCTGCGCGCCCTTCCCCTGGGCGAGTGGCCAGCGGCTGCGATCCGCTAGGAGGCACAAGTTACAGCAGCCGCGCAGGCGGTCCCGGCACCTGCTCCTGAAGCGCGGGACGCTACGGGAATCGAGGGAACGGAGCGCACCGGGGACCCCGCGGCGGGCCGAAGACGGCAGTACCCCTAGGCTGCAGCCTGACGCTCAGGCCCCAAGGCCCCCAGCGCCCTTTGAAGGCCGGAGAGAAAGAGGCGGGGGCTGGGGACGTCAGGGCGAGCGAGGGGCGGGGAGGGGGCCGGGGAGGGCGGCGGGGCAGGAGCGGGGAGGGTGCCCCCTGCTGCCCCCTCCAGGCAGCGCCCGCCCGCAGCCGGGAGACGCCGAACACGGGAACAGGAATTGGGGTTGTTTTTTTTTTTGTTTTGTTTTTTGTTTTTTGTTTTGGCCATCCCTCTAGCCTGACCACCATTAGGAGCTCCAATTTCTTTTTTCTCAAAACAACTTGAAGCATTCGAGCAGGGTAAAAACTCTTTCAAAGCATCGGTTGGATGGAAATGTTCTATTCCCAACTCAATACAGACGTATTAATAGTTTTCACCCGGCATTGGGATGAACGGATGCTTCATCCCTGGTTGCCAAGCGCACGGCCCCCCGTGAGCCCTGTGCCGGAGGCGAGCTCGTCCTGGCTTTCGCCGTGACCTTGACAAGGCACAGGGAGGCACCAGCAACAAATTTTGTCTGGAAGATAGACTCCAAGTACGCTGCCTGCCTGACCTTTGAAAATGCCGTGAACTCAAAGGGGCCCTCACTCGGATCTTAGGCACTTCACGAATTTGGACACAAATATTAAAAGAAAATAGTGTTACCACTGAGGGTAATACCATTATTCTTATTTTTTATCTTTTTTGAGACAAAGTCTGTCGCTATCGCCCAGGCTGGAGTGCAGTGGCGCGATCTCTGCTCTAGGCTCACTACAACCTCTGCTTCTCGGGGCTCAAGCGATCCTCCCACCTCAGCCTTCAGAGTAGCTGGGATTACAGGCACGCACCTCACCATGTCCGGCTAATTTTTTTTTTTTTTTTTTTTTTTTTGTATTTTTAGTAGAGACGGGGTTTCACTATGTTGGCCAGGCTGCTGTCGAATTCCCGAGTTCAAGCGACCCGCCCGCCTCAGCCTCTCCAAGTGCTAGGATTACAGGCGTGAGCCACCGCACCTGGGTCATTGTTTTCTAAAAGATAGAATGCACCGGACGCTGTCACAGACTTGGAGGTTTTTCTTTTTTCAATTGCAATATTATTTTTAAACTTTATTTTTAATTGACAAATAATTGTATATATTTATGGAATACAATCTGTTGTTTTTCATTTAAGTTCAGGGGTATATGTGCAGGTTTGTTACACAGGTAAACTTGTGTCATTGGGGTGTGTTGTATAGATTATTTCATCACCCAGGCATTAAGGCTAGTACCCATTAGTTATTTTTCCTGATCCTCTCCTTCCTCCCACCCTTCACCCTCTGATAGGCCACAGTGTGTGTTGTTCCCCTCCATGTGTCCATGTGTTCTCATCATTTAGCTCCCACTTATGAGTAAGAACATGGGGCATTTGGTTTTCTGTTTCTGCATTTGTTTGCTAAGAATAATGGCCTCCAGCTCCATCCATGTTCCTGCAAAGGACATGATCTCATTCTTTTTTATGGCTGCATAGTATTCCATGGTGTGTATGTACCACATTTTCTTTATTCAATCTACCATTGATGAGCATTTAGATTGATTTCATGTCTTGGCTATTGTGAATAGTGCTGCAATGAACATACACATGTATGTGTCAACAGAGTGAACAAACAACCTACAGAATGGGAGAAAATTTTTGCAAACTATGCATCTGACAAAGGTCTAATATCCAGCATCTATAAATAACTTAAATTTACAAGAAAACAACAAACAGCCCCATTAAAAAGTGGGCAAAGGACATGAACAGACACTCTTCAAAAGAAGACATACATGTGGCCAACAATCATATGAAAGAAAAGCCTCAACATCACTGATCATTAGAGAAATGCAAATCAAAACCACAACTAGATACCATCTCACACCAGTCAGAATGGCTATTATTAAAAAGTCAAAAAATAACAGATGGTGGCGAGGCTGTGGAGGAAAAGAAACATTTATACACTGTTAGTGGGAGTGGAAATTAGTTCAACCATTGTGGAAGACAGTGTGGCAATTCCTCAAAGACCTTATAATGGAAATAACATTCCACCCAGCAATCCCGTTACTGGGCTTATACCCAAAGGTTTTCTCTTTTTTAATAACAGCTTTATTGAGCTATCATTCACATACCATACAATTCACCCATTTAGAGGGTACGATTCAATGAAAGTTTTTAGTATATCCACAGCGTTGTGCAGCTATGGCCATAATGAGTTATACAACATTTTCATCACCCCACGCCCCAGTGCAAAAATCAATCAGTACCCATTAGAAACCACTCTCCCTCCTTCCCAACATCCCCAGCTCTAGGTAACCATAAGTCTACCATCTCTGTAGATTTGCCTATTCTGGACATTTCATACAAATGGAATCATGCAATGTGTGGACATAGGTTTTTGAGCATATACCGGAGCAGGATTTCTGGGTCACATGCTAACTCTACAGTTTTTTTTAGAAAACGTTTTTATAGAGATGGGGTCTCACTATCTTGTTCAAGCTGGTCTCGAACTCCTGGCTCCTACCTCGGCCTCCCAAAGCACTGGGATTACAAGTGTGAGCCACCACACCAGGCTTACCTCTGTGTTTAACCTTTGGAGAAATTTCCACGGTTTTCCAAAGTGGCTGCACCGTTTTCCATTCTCACCAACCAGCAGTGTTCCAATTTCCCTGCATCTTCACCAACACTTGTTATTGTTTTTGGATTATGACCATCCTAGCAGGTGTGAAATTGTACTTCATGATGGTTTTGATTTCTATTTCCCTGATGGATAATGACACTGGGCATCTTGTCATGTGTTAATTATTGGCCATTTGTATAACAACTTCTGAGTGATGTCTATTCAAATCCTTTGCCCATTTTTTAATTGAGTATTTGTCTTTTTATTATTGAGTTGTAAGAATCCTCTACATATTGTGGATAGAAGTTCCTTATCAGATATGTGATTTGCAAATATCTTCTTCCATTCTGTGAGCTGTCTTTTTACTTTCTTGAGGGTGTCCTTGGCAGCACATCACAAGCCATTTTGACACGTGCAGGATAGGACTTATAAAACATTTCAGCTTCTTTGCATGCTTCAGTACTAATACAGTCCACCTCCCACCCCCAAAGAAAGCAGAAACTATCTGTATAAATCCATGAAGAAATCCTGCCCTCGTTCCAGCCCTGGCGGAAATCACAAGCAGCTTCCATGTGCATCCTCGTCTGTGGTCAACGAATGGAAAATGGGTTCTGAGGAAATCTGTGAGAACACACAGACCAGGCTGGGAAGCAGGAAAGCTCAGAAAAACTCTCCACACCTTGTTCTAAGACATTTTTTGTATGATGCTATAAAAGGACACATGTATTCTTTGTAACGTTGTAATGCATAATAATAGTAATTTTCCTAATATGCCTGTTCATCTGGAATTATTCCAGGGACTGCCACAGCCTTCAGAAGGGCAAAGATGCCCACTTAAAATCCCTTGCCAGCATCTTGCTGTTGTCCCCATCACAATCTTCCCGAATTCCTCTCAGCTCTCACTGGGGCCCTGCTGATGGAGTGAGACCCACGGGAGCTGTGAATTCTGGCTTGAATAAGAGCTTCCTCTAAATACAAACCCTGCTGAGTAAATGCTGAGAGCGCAGCATTTACCCAGCTAACGAGCACCTTCCCTGAAGTTGGGACACACAGCCCACCTTCTCATTGTGTGTAGCAATTTGCACACCTGAAGCATGCCCTGGCCCCTTCCCCCAATGTCCTTCCTACCTCCCCCCAGCCCCACTGAGAAGAAAATTGCAAAATGCTGGATTCGTTTCTTCTGTTTAATTGAACAACTGTCTTGTTCTTACCTTTGCCTTGCCCCTTATTAAGTACATGCCCTGGAAACAACTTTGTCCTAATGTAGAGGTATCATGGAAAGTTCTTCCATATATTTAATTTTTTTTTTTTTTTTTTTTTTTTGAGGCAGGGTCTTGCTTTGTCACCCAGGCAGGAGTGCAGTGGCGCGATCACAGCTCATTGCAGCCTCAACCTCCTGTGCTCAAACAATCCTCCTACCACATTTTTTTATTTTTTTTGTAGAGATGATGTCTCACTATGTTGCACAGACTGGTCTCCAAATCCTGGGCTCAAGCAATCCTCCTGCCTTGGCCTCTCAAAGTGTTGGGATTACAGACATGAGCCACCATGCCTGACCTCTTCCATATATTTAGAGGAAATCCCTTTGTGAGTGCTACCCACTATTTTTTTTTTTTTTTTCAGACAGGGCCTTGCTCTGTTGCCCAGGCTGGAGTGCAGTGGTGTGATCATGGCTTACTGCAGCCTTGACCTTCTGGTCTGGGCTCAAGCAATCCTCCCGCCTCAGCCTCCCAAGTACCTGGGGTCACAGGTGTATGCCACCATACCTGGCTAATTGTTTCTGTAGAGATGGGTTCTTGCCATGTTGGCCAGGCTGGTCTCAAACTCTCGGGCTCAAGCAATCCTCCCACCTCCGCCTCCCATAGTGCCGGGATTACAGTTGTGAGGTACTGTGCCTGGCCACACCCACTGGTTCCAATTTAATTATTCTTCCACATGGCAACTGTCCAAGAATTCTCCTTAAGTCTTCTCTTTTGCAGGTGATACCCCACCTCCCAGGCCCTTCGATCATTTCTCCATGGCATCATTTCCAGACTACTCTCCACCCTGATGACCCTCTCCTAGAGGATTCCATATTTGTCTCTATTGTTGTTTTGTGTATGTAAAAAACTTTTTTAATTAAAATGTTTTCTTTTGAGATAATTGTAGATTCACATGCAATTATAAGAAATAAAACAGAGACATCTAGTGTACCCTTGATCCAGTTTGTCCCAATGTTAACATCTTGTTGTATACTACCATAACCGAGACATTGACCTTGATACAATCAAAATACAAAAGAGGGCCGGGCACAGTGGCTCACACCTGTAATCCTAGCACTTTGGGAGGCTGAGATGGGCGCATCACCTGAGGTCAGGAGTTCAAGACCAGCCCGGCCAACATGGTGAAACCCCATCTCTACTAAAAGTATAAAAATTAGCCAGGCGTGGTGGCACGTGCCTGTAGTCCCAGCTACTCAAGGGGCTGAGGCATGAGAATTGCTTGAACCCGGAAGACAGAGGTTGCAGTGAGCTGAGATCATGCCACTGCACTCCAGTCTGGGTGATGGAGTGAGACTGTGTCTCAAAAAAAAAAATATATATATATATATATGTGTGTGTGTGTGTGTGTGTGTGTGTGTGTGTGTGTACACACAAGGATTGGTTCTGTCACCCTTTGATAGCCACACCCATCACCCTTCTCAACCCCCATCCCTAACTGCTGGCAAGCACTCATCTCTTCTTCCCCACTTGCCCCCTGCGACGGAGTCTTGCTCTGTCGCCCAGGCTGGAGTGTACTGGCGCGATCTCGGCTCACTGCAAGCTCCACCTCCCGGGTTCTAGCAATTCTCCTGCCTCAGCCTCCCGAGTAGCTAGGATTACAGGTGCCTGCTACCACATCTGGCTAATTTTTGTATTTTTAGTAGAGATGGAGTTTCACCATGTTGGCCAGGCTGGTCTCAAACTCCTGATCTCAAGTGATCCGCCCGCCTTGACCTCCCAAAGTGCTGGGATTACAGGCGCCCAGCCACATAACATTTTTGAAGTGACAAAATTATAGAAATGAAAAAAAGGGCCGGGGGCATTGGCTCATGCCTGTAAGCCCAGCACTTTGGGAGGCCGAGGTGGGCGAATCACTAGGTCAGGAGTTCAAGACCAGCCTGGCCAACATGGTGAAACCCTGTCTCTACTAAAAATACAAAAATTAGCTGGGTGTGGTGGCACACACCTGTAGTCCCAGCTACTTGGGGGGCTGAGGCAGAAGAATTGCTTGAACCCGGGAGGTGGAGGTTGCAGTGAGCTGAGATCGTGCCACTGCACTCCAGCCTGGGCAACAGAGCAAGACTCCATCTCAAACAAACAAAAAGTTATGTAAATGGAATCATACAATATGTAACATTTTGAAATTCTTTTTTCATTCAGCATCATTCCTTGGGATTCATCCAAGTTGTTGCATGTATCCATAGTCCATTCCATTTATCGCTGAGTACTATTCCATGGCATGGATATACCACAGTTTCTTTAACCATTCACCATTTGAAGGACATCTTGGTTGTTTCCAGTTTTTGCCTATTATAAATAAAGCTGCTATAAACTTTCATGTACCAGTTTTTGTTGTTGTTGTTGTTTCTTTGAAATGGAGTCTCACTCTGTCACCCAGCCTGGAGTGCAGTGGTGCAATCTCAGCTCACTGCAACCTCCACCTCCCAGGTTCAAGCAATTCTCCTGCCTCAGCCTCCCGAGTAGCTGGGACTACAGGCACGTGCCACCACACCTGGCTAATTTTTGTATTTTTAGTAGACATGGGGTTTCACCATGTTGGCCAGGCTGGTCTCAAACTCCTGGCCTCAAGTGACCTGCCCACGTGGCCTCCCAAAGTGCTGGGATTACAGGCGTGAGCCACCATGCCTGCCCCCACTCGTTTTTGTTTTTTTTTTTTTTTTTTTTTTTTTTTTTTTACAGAGTCTCACTCTGTCACCCAGGCTGGAGTACAATCTCAGTTCACTGCAACCTCCACCTCCCAGGTTCAAGTGATTCTCATGCCTCAGCCACTGTGTAGCTGGGACTACAGGCGCCCACCACCACACCCTGCTAATTTTTGTATTTTTAGTAGAGACCGGGTTTCGCCATGTTGCCAGGCTGGTCTTGAACTCCTGGCCTCAAGTGATCTGCCAGCCTCAACCTCCCAAAGTGTTGAGATTGCAGGTGTGAGCCACTGTGCCCAGCCATTTTCTAGTTGGATTTTTTTTTTTAACTCTTTAGTTTGTGTGTTCTTTGTGTACTCTAGATACCAATCCTTTGGTGGATATGTGGTTTGCAAATATTTTCTCCCAGTCTGTAGCTTGTCTTCTCATCCTCTTAACAAGAACTGTCACAGACAGAACAAAAGTTTTTAATCTTGATGAGGTTCAATTTATCAATTTTTTTCCATTTATGGATTGCGCTTTTGGTTCCAAATTTAAAAACTTTTTGTGTAGCACTAGGGCCTGAAGATTTTTGCCTATGTTTTGTTCTAAAAAATTTTATAGTTTCACTTTTACATGCAAGTCCATGATCCATTTTGGGGTAATTTTTGTATAAGATGTGAGATATAGGTTGAGGTTTACGTTTTTGCCTGTGGATGTTCAAGTGCTTCAGCACCATTTGATGAAAAGCTTGTCCTTCCTTCACTGAATTGCCTCTTTGTCAAAAATCAGTTGTGCATGTGTATGAGTCTATTTCTGGGTTCTATATTGCATTGACCTGTCTATCCCACCACCATTAACCACACTCTCTTCATTAGTGAAGCTATATAGTAGCTCTTAATACTGGGTAGAAGGATTCCTCCTTTACTTTTTTTCCAGGATTGTTTTAGCTATACTTGCATCCAGGTTCATGAGAAATATCGATCTGTAATTTTGTTTTAATTTTTTTGGTACTGCCTTTGCCTTGTTTGGATATCAGGGTAACACTAGCCTCATAAAATAGCTTGGAAACTATTCTGTTATCTTCTATCTTCTGGAAAAGATTGTGTAAAATTGGTGTCACTTCTTCCAATGTTTGGTAGAATTCTCCAGTGAGGTCATTGAGACTTGGAGATTTGCTTTTCAGGGTGTTTTAGTTACAAGTTCAATTTTTTCTAATGGTTATATAACTATTCAGATTGTCTATTCTATCTTGGTTGAGTTTTGGCCTATATTTTTCCATATACATTTCAGAATAGGCTTGCCTATGTCTACAAAAGAAGTTTCTAGGATTTTGATAGGAAGTATATCAAACCCAATAGATCAGTTCAGAGAGAATAAACATCTTTATTATGTTGAATCTTCCAAATTATGAGCATTGTATGACTCTCCATTTAGATGTTATTCGATTTCTTTCATTAGAATTTTTTAATTTTCAGCATACAGATCCTATACACATTTTGTCAAATTTATACCCAAGAATTAAATTTTCTTTAGCGTGATTGTAGATGGTATGATGTTTAATTTCAGGCTTCACATGTTCATTGTTAGTATGTGGAAATGCAACTTTTTGTGTGAATTTGTATTACACAACCTTGCTGAGCTCACTTATTAGTTCAAGAGATTTTTGTTTTCTTGAAATTTACTATGTAGACAATCATGTAATCTGCAAGGGAGAGTTTTCTCTCTCTCTCTCTTTTTTTCTTTTTTTGTTGCCTTATTACTGTGGCTAGAACTTGCAGTACTATGTTGAAAAAGAGCAGTGAGAGTGGGCATCCTTGCCTGATCTTAGGGGAAAAACATTCAGGTCTTTCACCCTAAGGATGATGTTAGCTGTAAGTTTTTTGTAGGTGCTGTTCCCTCTGTTCCTAATTTGCTGAGAGTCTTTATTGTGCATGGGTATTGCATTTTTTTGCAAATGCTTTTTATGTATCAATTGATAGGACCATATGATTTTTTCTCTTTAGCCTGTTGATATGGTGGATTACACTGACTTTCAAACGTTGAGCCAACCTTGCATTCTTGGAATAAATCCCACTTCGTTGTGGCATGTCATTTTTGTTACGCATTGCTGAAGGTGATATGCTAATATTTTATTGAAGATATTTGCATCCAGGTTCATGAGAAATATTGATCTGTAGTTTTGTTTTCATTTTTTTTCGTATTGCCTTTGCCTTGTTTGTATATCGGGGTAATACTAGCCTCATAAAATAGCTTGGGAACTATTCTGTTGTCTTCTCTCTTCTGGAATAGACTGGGTAAAATTGGTGTCACTTCTTCAAATGTTTGGTAGAATTCTCCAGTGAAGTCATTGAGACTTGGAGATTTCTTTTTCAGGGTGTGTTAATTACAAGTTCAATTTTTTCTAATGGTTATATAACTATTCAGATTGTCCATTCTATCTTGGTTAAGTTTTGATAATTTGTGGTTTTCAAGGAATTGGTCCATTTGTTCTAAGATGTTGATGTCATAAAGATGCCCAAGATGTCATAAAGTTGTTCTTATTTACTATACTTTTAATGGCTGCCTTCTCTCTTTTTATCTTTTTCAGTTTTGCTATCTATCCAAGTAAATGTAAATATTCAAGTCTACTGATGAGCCCATCAATGATAGTCTTCATTTCAGTTGCTGTGTTTTTTATTTCTAGCCATTTGATTCTTATAGTTCCCATCTCTGCTGAAATTACCTATCCGATTTTGCATGATGTCTACTTAGGTTGTGAGAGACTTTAACATAGTAATCGGGCTGGTCACGGTGACTCACACCTGTAATCACAGCACTTTGGGAGGCTGAGGCAGGCAGATCGCTTGAGCTCAGGAGTTCGAGACCAGCCTGGGCAGCATGGGAAAACCCCATCTCTACAAAAAAATACAAAAAATTAGCTGGCTGTGGTGATGCATGCCTGTAGTCCCAGCTACTTGGGAGGCTGAGGCAGGAGGATCACTTGAGTCCAGGAGGTTGAGGCTGCAGTCAGCCGTGATCACACCACTGCACTCCAGCATGGGCTACAGAGTGAGACTATATCAAAAAAAAAAAAAAAAAAACTAAAACTAAAACCATAGTGATCATAATTATTTAAAATTCCTGCCTGTAATCCCAGCACTTTGAGAGGCTGAGGCAGGCAAATCACCTGCAGTCAGCAGTTCGAGACTAGCCTGGCCAAAATGGTGAAACCCTGTCTGTACTAAAAATACAAACGAAAAATTAGCCAGGCATGATGGCATGCACCTTTAGTCCCAGCTACTCGGGTGGCTGAGGCAGGAGAATTGCTTGAACCTGGGAGGCAGAGATTGCAGTGAGCCGAGATCACATCATTGCACTCCAGCCTGGGTGACACAGCAAGACTTCATCTAAAATAAATAAAATAAAATAAAATTCTCTCTCTGATACTTTAATAGCAATGCCATATCTAAGTCTGAATCTGATCACTTGTCTCTTCAGAATGCTTTTTCTTTTCTTTTGGCATGCCTTGTAATTTTTTGTTGAAAGGTGGACATTGTATATAGGGCAGCAGATACTAAGATAATAAACCTTTAGTGTGGGACTTTATGTTGATCCAGCCAGGAGTTGGGCTGTGTTGAGATTTGTTTTCCTATGAACATTACAAACTTCAGATTCCTCTAGTGATCTTTTTTTGTCCCCCACCTCTCTTGGCTTTGGGGCTTCCCTTTGTGCTGCTCCCCAACGTCTGTCTCTTGCAGTCTTCCCTGCTATTGTTATTCCTGGAGGCTTGTTAGCATGCTGTTGGGAGATGGATTCTCTAATATTCTAAACTTCAGTCTTTGGAGTGCACAGTGGGCTTGTGTCTCGGGTGTAACTTTCACAGTTGTTTCTGTTTCTCCTCCAGGGACAGAGCTCCCTCCCATTCCCTTCTCCCAGCTGCAGTGGGTATCTACAAGTGTTTTCAGTCTATAGACTTGAAGCCCTTTTCTCTGAAGGTTGAATTGTTTTTAGTTGAGATGAAGAGCTAGAGTTGAGTGCAGTTCCCTCCCCTAGTTGCAATGGTAATTCACCAGGGCCCTCGGACCATGTCTTTCCCCATGCAGAATAGCCTTTTGTTCCTTAAGGGAGAAGGGTCTGAGTAGATTTCTCAGTGGTTCCTGAGCCAGCACCATGAGTTTTCTCTGGATTTCCCCTGATCTTCCCTGTGAGAACCAGGTGGGGTTCCTGGAGGAAAAGCCTGCAGAAGGATGACAGTCTTTCTTAGGAGCTGCACACTCTCAAGCTAGCCCACAGTTGGCTTCCAGAAATTGGTCAAATTTTCTAGCCTGACCTTTCTACCTAGTTCTATGGCATCTGGTGGTTTCTGCCCTTGGTAACCAAATGCTCAGATCCTGTGTCTTGCAGGAAGTGCCTAGCCTCTTTTTTTTTTTTTTTTTTTTTTTTTTTTTGAGACAGGGTCATGCTCTGTCACCCAGGCTGAAATGCAGTGGTGTGATCACGGCTCACTGCAGCCTCAAGGCTCAAGTGATCCTCCTGCATCAGTCTCTCAAGTAGCTGGGACCACAGGCAGGCGACACTACACCTGGCTATTTTTTGTCCCTTTTGTAGAGACGGGGCCTTGACATGTTGCCTAGGCTGATCTTGAACTCATGGGCTGAAGCAATCCTCCCGCCTCGGCCTCCCAAACTGCTGGGATTACAGGTGTGAGCCACCACACCTGGCCCAGATTTTCAAATGGCCATTTGCTCTTTGAACTTAGTTCTCTATTAATTTCCAGTCTGTCCAGACTTTTTCTTGTTGTTAGCACAGGAAGGGATTTCATGCAGCTCTTCCATATCTCTGAGCTGAAACTGGAAGTCCTATCTATTCAACCATATTTGATCTAAAAAAAATGTTAGTTTCACATGTTTCAACCAAATAGACTACGGCATTATTTCTGAGTAGTGCACCTTGTTTTGCTTCAGCCAAGGACAACTAGAGATTTCTGGAAAAGATTGCTGTCAGCTACTCTACACACAACTCACTGGGAATGAGTTGATCCCCCCATGATGGTGGTCTTCAAACTTATGCGTGCATCAGAATTACTGAGAGGACTTGTTAAAACACAGATTGTTGGGTTGCTTTCCAGAATTTCTGATTCAGGAAGTCTGGGACAGGGCGCAAGAATTTTCATTTCTACCAGGTTCCCCAGTGGTGATACTAATGCTGTTCTTTTGGGGATCACATTCTAAGAACCACTGCTCTATGGCTCTTCCTAGAAGCTCAGCGCTTATCTACCTTTCCCACTTACTCATCACTTTGAGGGCAGATGGTTTGCCCTGAGAGGGAGCAATTAGGTTCTCAGCTGACCTCAGAGAAGAATCAAGAGTCAGCAAAGAATTCCCTTTTTTTTTTTGAGACAGAGTCTTGCCGTCACCCAGGCTGGAGTGCAGCCTGCAAGTCACCCAGGCTGGAGTGCGGTGGCATGATCTCAGCTCACTGCAACATCCACCTCCCAAGTTCAGGTGATTCTCATGCCTCAGCCTCCTGAGTAGCTGGAATTACAGGTGTGTGCCACCATGCTGGGCTAATTTTTGTATTTTTTAGTAGAGACAGGACTTGTTGGCCAGGCTGGTCTCAAACTCCTGTCCTCAAGCAATCCACTCGCCTCAGCCTCTCAAAGAGCTGGGATTACAGGCATGTGCCACCATGCCCAGCTAATTTTTCTATTTTTAGGAAAGATGGGGTTTCACCACATTGGCCAGGCTGGTCTCGAACTCCTAGCCTCAAGTGATCCACCTGCCTCGGCCTCCCAAATTGCTGTGATTACAGGCTTGAGCCACCATTTTCAGCCCAGAATTCATTTCTTTTTTTTCCTCCAGAATGAGTATAGGAAAAAAAAAAAAAAAACTTTACTTTCTAAAACAGAGGTAGCCACAGGTTTCTAAGTAGTGACTGGACGTCTTAGAGAAAATGGTGTTCAGATGACATGAACTTGGTTTTGAGAACCATCGTAATGCAAGAAGCACTCTCCTTAGGGTCCGGGTGTTGGCTGAGACTCATATAGAAGTAAAGTGCTCTGAAGGCTTTCTTTGTATCTGTTTCTTTTGCTGTGGAGCTTCCCTACTGCCCCAGTTTTGTACTAAAGTTTTAGTAAAGGTCAAACCGGGCTGCTCAAATGTATAGAATAAATTGCATTTGACATCAGTCACAATTACCAATTCATCTATTCAGTCAACTACATATCAAGTGATTACTATTAATATATATCTGTCAATGTTTTAGGTGCTGGGGATAGAGCAGTGACAGAAAAGTCACTATCCTCAGAGTGGTTTCATTCTAAGGGAGGGGAGATTGAAAACAGAAACAAAGCAAGCAAGGGAAAACAAATGAAGGAGGTGTTGATATGGGGACTCTGGGGGTGGGTCAAGGCTAAAGTTGCTCTTTTATTTAGAGGGGTAGGGAGGGCCTCTCTGATGAGGTGACATTGGAGCAGTGACCAATCAGGGAAAAAGAGATCCAGACCTGACCCCCATCAGGATTTAGGCAAATGCAACTTTAAGGAAAGATGGGTGGTTAGTCACTTGTATATGCTAATGTTAATAATTAACTAAGTTTATAATTGGCCAAAAATGATTTTTGCTAAAAATATCAGGCAACTTATACTCACGTTCCACATTTTGGAATTATCTTAAGGATAGGTCAGAAATGTGGACATAGGCCAGGCATGGTGGCCCACGCCTGTAATCCCAGCACTTTGGGAGGCCAAGGTGGGTGGATTGCTTGAGCTCAGGAGTTCAAGAGCAGCCTGGGCAACACGGTGAAACCCTGTCTCTACCAAAAATACACACACACACACACACACACAAATGTAGCCAGGTGTGGTGGCGTGCATCTGTGGTCTCAGCTACTTAGGACGCTGAGGAGAGAGGATCCCTTGAGCTCGGGGGATGGAGGTTGCAGTGAGCCGAGATGGCACCACTGCATGCACTCCAGCCTGGGTGACAGAGTGAGACCCCATCTCAAAAATAAATAAATAAATAAAAAGAAAAGAAAAAAGAAAAAAGAAATGTGGACATAGATTGATGCGTAAAGATGTCCATGACAACTTTATTTTAAAAAGAAAAAAATTAAGTTCGTGAGAAATGTGCTTCTTTCCCTGACCTTCCCTCCCCTCAAGGCTCCAGTGGGCGTGTCTCCTCTGTCACGCCAAAGCTCTGGGGGCTTTTCTATGTGGTTGTGTTTTGTATTGAGGAAGACTTGCCTGTTTACCTGCCTACTTCTGCCCATTTGACACCGAGCTCCTTCAGGGCAGGGACTCTGTCGCATTCAGCGCCTCTCATGGCATCTGGCACATCACCATAAGCACCCTATATATGTTAGATAAGATATTGGTCAAATGCTTTCTGGAATATTTACAGATGGAATACTATGCAGCCATTACAAATTGTTTTCACAAAAAAAAGACAAAAAATGATATTAAGTATAAAAAGCAGGCTATAAAACTATAAATACAGAATGACCTTCTTATCAGAGACCAAAATTAAAGGCTGTTTCTGAGAATGTCTGTCTTCTCTTTATATTTTGTATTTTCTACTTTGGGCATAAATATTCGCTTCATATTCAGAAAAAAAGTTATCTAAAAATTCTCAAGGTGACTTTGTTCTACATTTGAGCCTACAGTCACCACTCTGGTGCTCTAAACATTTGTTTTTTTTGGCGGCGGTGGGGACACGGTCTCAACTCTCTCACCTACGCTGGAGTGCAGTGATGCAAACACAGCTCACTGCAGCCTCAACCTCCTGGGCTTAAGTGATCCTCCCGCTTCAGCCTCCTGAGTAGCTGGGACTTCAGGCACGCACCACCAAGCCTGGCAAATTTTTGTATTTTTTTTTGTTTGTTTTTGTAGAGATGGGGTCTCCGTATGTTGCCCAGACTGGTACTGAACTCCTGAGCTCAAGCAATCCACCTCCCTTGGCCTCCCAAAATTCTAGGATTACAGGTGTGAGCCACCGTGCCCGGCCTAAACTTTTTTTTTTTTTTTTTTTTTTGAGAGAGAGTCCCACTCTGTTGCCCAGGCTGGAGTGCAGTGGCACTATCTCAGCTCACCGCAACCTCTGCCTCCCACGTTCAAGCGATTCTCCTGACTCAGCCTCCCAAGTAGCTGGGATTACAGGCACCCACCACCACGCCTGGCTAATTTTTGTATTTTTAGTAGAGACAGAGTTTCACCATGTTGACCAGGCTGGTCTCGAACTCCTGACCTCAGGTAATCTGCCCGCCTCGGCCTCCCAAAGTGCTGGGATTACAGGCGTGAGCCACCGTACCCAGCTTGGCCTAAACATTTTTAAGACATGGAAGATTCATTGGTGACACTTTCATCGACAGGCCCATCCTCAGCATGTGAAGTGTCCTCAATTACCCTGAAAGTTGTCACCCTCAGCTGTACCGTTTTGTCTTCCTCATCACCCCTCCCAGATTCTCAGCACCACATGCGTCCCTATCAAAGCAGATTAGTTCTACCTTCAGGCCTGAAGCTTCCTCTGATAATTCCTCTTTCAATTCATGTCCTTCTCCTCTTTCCAGATTCACTTCCTCCAAGAAGACTGCCCTGATTGAGAACAAAGAACATTTTCTGAGAGCTGCCTTGGGATGACAGCAGGGAAATGAGCAGGCATTTCATACAGGCATCCGTTTACTCCCTATTCATCTATTTCCCTTCGGCATTCAAGGGCAGAGCTTCAGCCCCAGCCAAATTCTTGGTTTTCTCAGATTGACTCTAAGAAATATTCATGAAGCTTGAAAAGAATCTGCTGTATGTCTCCTAAGACATCGCTGTTTGTTTTTTTTTTTTTTTTTTTTTTGAGACAGGGTTTCACTCCAGTCACCCAGGCTGAGGTGCATTGGCACAATCTCGGCTCACCGCAACCTCCACCTCCCAGATTCAAGCAATTCTCGTGCTTCAGCCTCCCACATAGCTGGGATTATAGGCGTGCACCACCATATCCGGCTAATTTTTTGTATTTTAGTAGAGACAGGGTTTTACCATGTTGGCCAGGCTGGTTTCGAACTCCTGAGCTCAGGCAATCCACCCACCTTGGCCTCCCAAAGTGCTGAGATTATAGGCATGAGTCACCTCGCCTGGCCAGACATCTCTGTTTTTCTTTGGGGGAAATAACCTTGGAAATGTTATTGATTTCTTCATGTTTTTTCGTTTGGTTTCAGGATGGCTTTTACCAGCTGGGTTAGTTTAAAATTTGGTTTGTAAATCCCTTAAAACTTTCGTTTTTATTTGTTTTTTTGAGACAGAGTATCAGTCTGTCACCAGGCTGCAGTGCAGTGGCGTGATCTTGGCTCACTGCAACCTCCCCCTCCCAAGTTTAAGTGATTCTCCTGCCTCAGCCTCCCGAGTAGCTGGGACTACAGGCGTGTGCCACCATGCCCAGCTAATTTTTTTTTTTTTTTTTGTATTTTTAGTAGAGACATAGAGTTTCACCATGTTGGTCAGGATGGTCTCGATCTCTTTGACCTCATGATCCGCCCACCTCAGTCTCCCAAAGTGCTGGGATTACAGGCGTCAGCCACCATGCCCGGCCCTTTTTTTTTTTTTTTTTTTTTTTTTTTTGAGATGGAGCTTCGCTCTTGTTGCTCAGGCTGGAGTGCAATGGCGTGATCTTGGCTCACTGCAACCTCTGCCTCCTGGGTTCGAGCGATTCTCCTGTCTCAGCCTCCTGAGTAGCTACGATTACAGGCGCCCGCCACCACACCCAGCTAATTTTTGGTATTTTTAGTAGAGACTGGGTTTCACTATGTTGGCCAGGCTGGACTTGAACTCCTGACCTCAGGTGATCCGCCCTCCTCGGCCTCCCAAAGTGCTGGGATTACAGGCGTGAACCACCGCGCCTGGCCTTTTTTTTTTTTTTTTTTTTTTAATAGAAGCTATAATGAAAATTTGCATTTCCAGGGCACCTTCCCATCAAAGAGCTCAAAGCTTGCAAACAAATCTTAGCTTTCTGGAGAACTGGTAATATTCTATGGGGTGGGTGGGAACAGGGAGCATTCAAGACTAAAATGACATTGTTACATAATTATCTGCATAATTTAATTAAACTTGTTGCCACTTAAAGAGAACAGCTCCATGAAGCTGGTTTGCCAGGAATTCAGTTTTTTTATTTTTGTTTTTGTTTTCTTTTTCCTCAGAAAATTCTAGCTACAACCTACTACATCACCTTGTTCTGTTGTTTGGTTGAAATAAGTTATCACCTATTGCTCCAACAAGAAAAAAGGAAGAGCCCATTTTATTGTGAATTCCAAATTCACAAACACAATGAGCACCCCGTCATTTGTGGGAAGGGGCTGCCCCCACAGCCACTTCAATTTGGGATCAATTCAAAAGACATGAAATAGGCCGGGTGCGGTGGCTCACGCCTGTAATCCCAGCACTTTGGGAGGTCGAGGCGGGCGGATTACCTGAGGTCAGGAGTTCGAGACCAGCCTGGCCAACATGGTGAAACCCCATCTCTACTAAAAATACAAAAATTAGCTGGGCATGGTGGTGGGCGCCTGTAGTCCCAGCTACTCAGGAGGCTGAGGTGGGAGAATCACTTGAACCCGGGAGGTGGAGATTGCAGTGAGCCAAGATTGCACCACTGTACTCCAGCCTGGGTGACAGAGTGAGACTCCACTTCAAAAAAGAAAAAGGGCATAAAGTAAAACCACCATGTGGGAACCTGTACTGACTTCATGGATTCTTGTCAGTTGCACAGGCTGCCTCTGCTCCACATGTTGGGAACCAAGCCTTGGTGACCCTAGGAATAGGACTAGGAGTGACAGGAAAAGTTCATCCCCTTAAGAGACCTGGTCCCTGCCTGTCCTTACACCACTGATATTTATTTCTGGCTTGGCCATTGTGCTCCTTCACTCGTGCTAATTTTGGGCACAGCATCTTCTTCCCTGGGCTTAGGTCCTAAGTGCCAAGGCTTCCCTCTGTCGGATGCCACAATCAGTCACGCTGAATGCCGGTCACCCACGCATGCGTGCTTTGTTACGGTTCTTGTTTGTACAAAATCAAAGAGGGAAGCTTTCACCAAGCCCCCTTGGTGCCAAAACATCTCGATGTTAATTTGTGCTAAAATAACTAGAGGACTAAAACCTAATCTCATACCACAAAAAGGAGACCAGGATGACCTCGCGTTACAATACAAAGGCCTTTGTGGGACCTGGGGATTATTTTTATACAGACAGTGGCAAATTTGAGCAATAAATTATACATCCTGCAGTTTTCCCATCAAGGAGCGGGTTATGAAAGGAAAGAAAACCCTGCCACTAATAAGCAAAGACACGTGTGAGGATACATACAGGATGTCCTTATGGAAGAAAACAAATCATGTACTTGAGTGTGCCACCTAGAGGACTGTGTGTGAATAAAAGTGGCTTGGCCAGGTGCGGTGGCTCATGCCTGTAATCCCAGCACTTTGGGAGGCCGAGGTGGGCAGATCACCTGAGGTCAGGAGTTCGAGACCAGCCTGGCCAACATGGCGAAACCTTGTCTCTCCTAAAAATACAAAAATTAGTTAGGCGCGGTGGCGGGCACCTGTAATCCCAGCTACTGGGGAGGCTGAGGCAGGAGAATCACTTGAGCCCGGGAGGCGGAGGTTGCAGTGAGCAGAGATCACATCATCACACTCCAGCCTGGGTGACAGAGTGAGACTCTGTCTCCAAAAAAAAAAAAAAAAAAAGTGGCTTTACACAGTTATTTGAATAATGATGACTTAAAATTTTTTACACTAAAAAAGAATTTATACCTAACTGGCATTTTCTGATTAGATATGAGTATAAAACTGAACAATTTAAAAAACAGAATTCACAGGCACAGATTTCACAGATTATTTCTGTTCACTTGGGAAAGATGGGGGAGAGGCACTATATTCCATGTCTTCTAAAGATATTTCTATAAGAGAAATCAAATTGTATAAAGTGGAGAAAAATGGTATTCCAAAAAAAAAAAAAAATCATTCCTCTTGGACCATGACAACTTTGAACAAAACTATTCTCACAAAATTTCATTTTAATCATCTTCTTTACAAAGCACAATACTTAAGACTTTTCTAAATACAACTTTATAAAATGAAGCAAAAAAATAATCTCCATAGATGCCTGGTCGAGTCCATGCTGAATGCAAAATAATTTTTTTTTTTTTCAAAAGTGATACTTCCAAGCTTTTCAACATTCTCGATGGGTCCATTTTGTAAAGAGTAAAGATGGTGGCAGTTTGGGTAGCGGCTCGTCCAGTTCCTTGATGCAGAATCCTCTTGCTGGGTAGCCCGAGGGGCCGCAATGAAGCTAGACATACCAACTTCTCCTTCCAGAATCACTTCTCCCTCTCCTTATACAAAGGAAGCCAATGGCCTCTATGAGGGGGAAGACATCAGCTCTCTACATTCCATGTTGCCAGTGTTCCATGAGGGTGTTCCAACCGCTCAATTTCATCAACAATCCTACTCTGTATACACATTATATAAAACTATATAATTAGGGATTTTCATAAGTAAATGAGAAATTTGAACATCAAAGAATCCAATCTGCATTCTTAGATCATTAGGTCGTGGGGAATCTCTGGAATCTTCAAGTTTAACGCAGAAATGCTTATAACTGTCAAGGGGTACAGGGATGTTTTACGCTGCTCTTGGGAACCTGGCACTCCTGACCCCAAGCACACTGAACCCGAGGCTGCTGAAAAGGCAATATATCCAGGGATGGGAATGGAGGGTATGAGGTTTCCTTCCTTATACACTCCCTTCCCTTAATTATGCCCCCACCCAGGAAGACCAAGGTGTTTGGGCTCCTTAAATACTCGGAGGGAAATAACAGCCTCAAGTAGCAAGGATGAGCACATAGGTTAAGAGGAAGGCAGGGGGAGGAAGGGAGGAAGAGAAAGGAAGAGACATTTATTTGTAATACTATCAATGATCAGTAATGTGATTTTTTGTTTTTGCATCACTTCTTCGGTATTATCAACTCTCATTCTTTGTGGCTGTGCAAATCTATTAATGTTTAGTAGTTTCACTATTAAACTCAGGAAAGAGACAAAGCAGCTTTTGAGAAACACATCCAACATCTTCAGGGGCCATTAAGGGACCACCCCCTCCACCCCTACCCCTGAACAGTCTCGCAATACAGTAGGCCCCTCATTTTCAGCTAAGGATGAGAAAACAGTTACATAGTCTAAGGCTGAACTGTTCATGTACTACAAAGATAAAGCGGACAGGCAAACATCAGTTTCCTTGGGAAAGAAAAAGCAACTCCATAAATGCAAGAAAGTTCCAGTGGCTACACTTCAACATGACCCTCCTCCCATTCTCTTGGACCTGAGGAAGGGGTTACAAGTGAGCAAGGCAAATGACATTATGTGAATACAGTTTAAACGATAACACACACGGGTAACCCAGTGCAGGAAATAATACAACTTTCCCTCCCTTGTTTTCATTTGCATTTTACTTTTATTTATTTTTGCTTTAATAATGCATATTCTGTTCACGCAAAAGGTGCAAAGGACAGAAAGCAGGGGTTTAACTTGGCTGATGAAAAATCAAGCAGGATGACATTTCTAGTTTCATGAACAACCTAAAACTAGGAGAAATAGAAAAGTCACAGCTGGTACCACAGAGCACGCCCAACTTCACAGCTGTCTCCTCTTAGGACCTTTGGCTAGGGTGAGAGAAGCTTTGAAGACAGTGGCCTCTAGTGGACTTGGATAAGTGGCAGATTTTTTTTTTTTAATTTTTAATTTTTTTGAATCATGGTAGCTGCATCACAAAAGCTCCAATCAAGAGGGTGGTAAAAAGAAGGCACAGATCATTGCAAATACCAGATTTTCTCTTTCTCTTTTTGTAAATATACCGTCATATATAAGCTAAAATTTCTCTTAGGGTGGTGGGGTTTGCTGGCAGGGAAAGGGACAGGTTGAACCTACAATTGCATATGTAATAGAATCCTAATGGGGGGACAAAGAGCGAGGCAGCTCTTAGCCTGAAGCAAAAGAAAAGGACACTCGCTTCTGACTACGTGTAGTACAAACACTAGGGAAGTCTGTGACAAAACACGATTAAAAAATCATAAAATTATAAAGCTTGTAAACGAATAATCTGAAATTACATTTTATTAATGGAAAATATCATCAAAATAGTACCACTATGGACTAAACTGCCTGAGTTTTCATTTCGCATTGAGATCTCAGAGTAGAAAAGCCTTTAGCACAATTTTGCTCTGTGTAAGTCACAACGAGTGCCAGCCCCAGGACTAAACCCTGGGGAAGATTCTCCTCTTGGATGGAATTTGTGTTGTGCTATCAAGACTTTTGTGCTAATCTTTCAAACAGGGACATTTTGAGGCAAACCTTTAATCTTTTGGCACAAGATTATTTTGGCTGGGGCAGAAAATTTGAGTCTCGGACTCAGGATGAATAATGTGACATTTCATTGATCAAGTATTCATTTTGATTGTAGAGCTTTCTTTATGTCGTTCACTTCCATCTAGAAAGAGAAAAATAAGAATGGAACAAAGTCATAATGAATCGGCTGGTTTTATAGAAGCTGAAAGATTATCAACCCGGTCGACTGAAAGAAAACAATCAATCTGACAATTTTAAAGGTGACATGACATCTGAATAGACAATCAACAGCAATGCCAGAAGTGACATCAACACAGAACAGGCACACAGACACGAGGCACTAGGAAATGGTGCACATTTTGATTCTCAGGCTGCCAGGCTGCAAAGTTTGTCAAAAGCAGCAATAATTCCAGTTTCTTAGCCAGAGGGTAGAGCAGGCGGTCCTAACAGGCGGGGCCATCTGGCAGTGTTGGAAGGCAGCTGTGGTTGGCTCAAGGGGGTGTCTGTCAGCACCCCCAAAATGATGGCAAGCAGCTACCTATCCTTTGTTAAGCAGCATGGGTCCCCATCACCACAAGGGCGCCAACTGGATGAAAGCTGAAAGTCTACCTTCGGTCAATCAGAACTCCCACGCATTCTCTGCCATTTGGTAACAGCAGTGTTGAATCAGAGGCTACAGGGGACAGAGCTCTAACGCCCTGGCAGGACAGAAATGGCCATCACTGAGAAATCAAGAGCAAATGCCCCCGAACATGGACAGCTGTGGCCCCTGGAGCCATAGTGACCACATATAATGAGGCCTCTTGGAAATGGAGGTGGGAGAGGGGCTTTTCGCAGAGATGTTTAAGATAAATTCCAGGCTGGGTGCCGTGGCTCACACCTGTAATCCCAGCACTTTGGGAGGCTGAGGCAGGAGGATCACCTGAGGTCAGGAGATCGAGACCATCCTGGCTAACACAGTGAAACCCCGTCTCTACTAAAAATACAAAAAATTAGCCAGGTGTGGTGGCACATGCCTGTAGTCCCAGCTAATCGGGAGTCTGAGGCAGGAGAATCGCTTGAACCCGGGAGGCGGAGGTTGCAGTGAGCCAAGATGGCGCCAGTGCACTCCAGCCTGGGTCACAGAGCGAGACTCCGTCTCAAAAAGAAAAAAAAAAAAAAAAAGATAAATTCCAAATGAGAAACCCAATTTGGGGCACATTTCCTAATGTTTCCCTTCCCCAAGACTTCCTGGGGAAACGATATGTAGTAAGCCCATACGATTCTAAGAAGATGGTCACAGGAAATGTATCCAGATCTGCAGAGAGGTGACAATCATTTATTTTTGAAATAAAAGCCCTCACAATGTCCTGCCCCACTGAGCCTAGGACTCACGGGCAGCAGAACCCAAAGGGACGCACCTGCAACCGAAGCCGGATTTTCTTCTCTTCATCCAACTCAGACAATAACTGTTTAATCTCTCGTCTGAAAAGCAAATGGCAATGAAATTAACCAAAATCCCAGACTTCCTTCATCAGAGATCAGAAATCTCTTATTATGACTACAAAATCCATCTGATCCTTTTTTACAAAGAAACTGTGGACAACACATCATTATTTTCTTTGCATTGTTACTGCTTAAAATTTGTTTCAGACAGTAAGGCTCACCATTATTCTGGGGCCCCTAAAATATGTAGCCAGCAACTGGTGGGTGCGGAAGTGACCTCTGAAATCCCTTAGTCCAAACTTCTCTCAAAAGGATAAGATGGGGAAACAGAGGCCCAGCGTGGTGGCCTGACTTGCCCAATTACTAGACTTCACGTAACCTGTCAGAATATGACAGGTTCATATTCTGTCATCTTCCCCATAACCATTCCTTTATTACAAAATCACTGGGCTTTAAATGTACTTATTACAATTTTCTTTTTGAGACAAGGGCTTGCTCTATTGTTCAGGCTGAAGTGCAGTGGCACGATCATGGGTCACTGCAGCCTCAACCTCCCAAACTCAAGCGATCCTCCTGCCTCAGCCTCCTGAGTAGCTAGGACTACAAGCGCACACCACCATGCCAGGCCAATTTTTAAAATTATTTTTGTAGAGATGGGGGTCTCACTATGTTGCCCAGGCTGGTCTTGAACTCCTGGGCTCTAGCAATCCTCCTGCCTTGGCCTCCCAAAGTGCTAGGATTACAGACATGAACCACTAAGCCTGGCTCTTCTTGTAATTTTTATTGCAGATGTTTTTACCACTCCATATATATTTCCTTTATTTTATTTATTTATTTATTTATTTTTATTATTATTATTTTTTGAGATGGAGTCCCACTCTGTTGCCCAGGCTGGAGTTCAGTGGGGTGATCTCGGTTCACTGCAACCTCCGCCTCCTGGGTTCAAGCGATTCTCCTGCCTCAGCCTCCCGAGGAGCTGGGATTACAGGCACACACCACCATGCCTGGCTAATTTTTGTATTTTTAGTAGAGACGGGGTTTCACCATGTTGGCCAGGCTGGTCCCGAACCCCTCACCTCAGGTGATCAGCCCACCTCAGCCTCCCAAAGTGCTAGGATTACAGGCGTAAGCCACCGCACCTGGCCTATTTCCTTTATTTTCAATAGGGTTTTTAATTGCTGAAAGGTTACTGGTACGTTTTCATGGATTCTCATAAAATCCTACACAGTAAGTCCCAAAAACTTGGGGGTAAAATAATTGGAGTAATGGTATGGCAATCATGTCTTAGAGAAACTGGCATGACTTAGGATCCACGGCCTAATGCCCTTTCCAACATTAAAAATAATGAAGTGCACAGCACTAACCATCCCACAAAGTTAGGGCTCTATACTTAGGACACTGCAAGCATCCAAACACTGGGCAGAGAGCTGTCCTCCATTTTCAGGTATCCAACACTCCATTTTACATGCATATTTTTACAGACTGGATTGGAAAATCAAGAAACAAAGATGCCTGAGACACCACAGTAAAATAAGGTGGAAGTTATATTGCATTTTCTCACTTCGGATGAGCACGATGATGGTCCCTATTCTCTGGGGCAGTGTCCCAGCTCTGCTGTCAACATACTGGGTTTATATCACAACGAATATGAACCAGTTGTGATTCATTACTGTATTTATTTAAGCGCACATCATGCACCCATATCTCAGTGGGTACTACTTAGGGATTAGGAAGGAAGAAGGTGAGACTCCAAGCAAATGCTCCAACCCCAGGAGACTGGCAGGCAAAGCCTCAAGCAGTCCAGCTGTGGGGAGTTAATTGGGGAAAGCAGTCCAAAGAAAGTCACTAAGTCTTGAACTAGTGAAATGAAAATGAGCGTAAGTCTATGAGGAGGAAGAAACACAGGGGAATTGACAGAGAAAAGCCAGAGAAAAGCAGGGAGGTGAGAACCAGCTTATTTGGGGATAAGGAGAGCTGGTGTGGACTTGAGTTGAAGGCTAACAGGAAACTGACATGAAGGACTAATACAAGAGACTAGTAGGGACCCACTGACCCTGGGCACGAAGGCCAGACTGACGTAGGCAGCAAAAGGCAGGCCTTGGAAGAGAGGCCACTGTGGGGTGTTGACTCAAGAGATGTTGGCCGGGGAAAGACAATTCCCACCAACTATTTGCAGGCTTCACAGTGGGGGAGAAACATGGTGTGGCAGCCCGGAAGCACAGGGCATTTCAGATGTTGCAGGCACCTCTCATAGGGTCCAAACAGCTAAAGCCCTGAATTCAAGCCAGTCTGATGCCATGATGGTCCTGTTCAGAAGGCAAGAACCAATGCTCTGGGGTATCCTGGGGCCTCTGTGATGTCCTGTCTAGGAAAGGGACACAGGTCACCTGGACGTGGATGGGGCCTTTGGGTACCTAAATGAGTAACCTCCAGAGCCAGATAGGAGCTGGGGACTTTAAGGGGTTAGAGGTAGCCTGGCTGGCCCCAGGATTCCTTCTCAAGTACCATCTGTCAGTCCTGTATATTAATCTGATGGATCTCTTCCAGGCTGGGGTAAGTCCAAGAGGCTTCAATTCCCTCCCAGCCTGAGTGGAACAGAACCCGCTTAGAGCCACATTACTCAAAGCGAATTCCATGGAACCCTCATCCTAGGATGCTCTGGAAAAAAAAGGTTCTGTGATTAAGCAGGTGTGGGACACCTTGCATATGCTATCCTCTCCATCCTCCCAATGCAAAGCGAAGGCTCTGAAGAGCCCTTCAGAAAAGAACTTAAGTTTGCTTAACCGAGTTATCCCCCAAAAGTGACCACAAAACACATTAGGGCCCTCAAGCCACGTAGAGGGAGGCAGGTGACAGGGCTTCTGCTGACCCCAGACTGGCAGAGGGCTTCATCGCTGTAAGTCTCTGGCTGCATCTCCTGTCACCACCCCAGGCACCTCCAATCCAAGGAGGCCAGTCACCTGGGGATGTGTTGACCTCACCAGGCTGCCCCGTGTGGCCAGGAATCAACATGATGTTTTCGCTGCTGGAGTAGTGTGCTCTTGGCAATCCTAAATCATCGTTCAAAATCCTACCCGGGAAATAACTCTTTGAGATGCCTCCCTTGATTCTCTCAAGAAACAGCTAACTGATCCCTAAACTCCTCGAGCCTCAGTTTACTCAGAGCAGTGCCTCCCTACTTTTTTTTTTTTTAGACGGAGTCTCGCTCTGTCACTCATGCTGGAGTGCAGTGGCACAATCTTGGCTCACTGCAACCTCCTCCTCCTGGGTTCAAGCAATTCTCCTGCCTCAGCCTCCCAAGTGGCTGGGATTACAGGTGCACGCCACCACGCCCAACTAATTTTTTTGTATTTTTAGTAGAGACAGGGTTTCGCCATGTTGGCCAGGCTAGTCTCAAACTCCTGACCTCAGGTGATTCACCTGCCTTGGCCTCCCAAAGTGCTGAGATTACAGGCATGAGCCACCATGCCCATTCTCTACTTCTAATCCTCCTATGGGCTTTGTCATTGCAAACCACATCCTGGATGATAATGATGTATGATACTTATTTTTGTGTCCAGGTCTTTCTCCTCAACAAAGTGCTCCCTGAGGATTAGAGATGTGGCGAGAGTGTGTGTGCAGCCATGCAGGAAGAAAGACCCCCACTGCCCCGCCCCGCCCACTGCAGTCTCATGGTGAGAACATCTTACTGAGTGTAAAATCTTGGGCTTCAAGATTCCCTACATCTTCTTCATACATTACTGGTACCTCAATGCAGGCCAACTGCTTCATCTGGCAGCTAAGTGAAGAAATTGCCATTTTTCTGTTGCAAGAGGAAAAGCTAGCTGTTGAGCTTATTTAAGAAGTGGTTCATGTACATACTGTATTTTATGGGGGATTTAAATGCTTTTCTTCTTAGCAGCCTGCTGAGAGCATCAGTCCCTGCAATGGACTCATCCCTCTATGCCCCATGGCCAGCCTGTGCCCTTCCTGCACACAGTAAGTCCAGCAAAAACATGCAGCATAATTTAGGTATAAATTAAGACTCTCGGGGTCTACACGCACTCCCACCATTGCTGCCACCATCAACGGGGAGACCAGGCCCGCCCTCCAAGGCAGGCTGGGATCCATGCTTTCAGAACTAGGTGCTGGCCTGGCAGAGAGCAACCTGGGTGACGGCCCCCAAGAGTCCCCAGGCACTCACTTCTGCTGGTCCTTCATGGTCTCGATGATGCTCCTCAGCTCGCGGACCTGTGTCCTTAGCTCCTCCACGGCCGCCTGGCTGCTGGCCGCAGGCTCCATCTTTGGTTTTCCTTCCGTGCCGAACAGAGACGGGGAGTTGGCTCTGTGTCCAGCTGTTCCCAAAGAGGATGACAGGGGGGAGGGCGCCGCTGAGGACAGAGGGGCTGGCCCACCGCCACCTGCTGCCATGGTCCCCGGCTTGGGCGGCAGGGATGCTTTGTTGTCAGACACCTGTGACGAGGGAAGGCAGGGAGGGTTCAGGGCCGGGGATTTGTGTGCTGCGTCTTTGTCCTGGTTAGTCAAACTCTCCGTTAACACCACTGTCCCCGCCTCTCTCCACACACTCCATTCACTTGTTCCTTCATCCACAAGCCACCAAGGGCCTGCTTGGTACAGGCATTTCCCCCTTACTCACACGCCGCCTTCTATGTATTTTAAATGTGACCTTCTTTCTGGACAGAGAGTTTCCGACTGGTTCAATATACACATTGAGATGCCCAACTACTTGCCAGGCACCACAAACTCTGAAGTGAACAAGACATGCCTTAATAGGCATTCTCCTGGTCTCCAGGGAGCTCAGAACCCAGTGGGGCGCAGACAGACAGACAGACCAACGCACTGAGATGGGGGGACAACTGCACAGAGGGAGGTGAGCATACAGAGCCCCAGAAACACAGAAAAGGGGCCAGCCATCCAGACGGGCAGGCATCGCAAGCAGGTGCTGACAGTCCCGTCTTGGAGGAGGACCAAGAAGTAGCCAGAGGAAAGGAGGGGCACTTAGAGAAAGAAGCTGCAGCGGGAGGGAACACGCCAGGCAAAGGTCTAGAGACCGCAGAGCAAAATGCATTGGTGGGAAGTACTGCTAGACCGTCAGAGGGGGCAAGAGAGGGCCTTGGGGGCAGAGCTAAGGCTGGGAAGTACAAGCGGCTAGGCGAAAGGGTGAGAGGAGGGCACACGGTGCTGAGGACCATGCTGGCTGCAGAAAGGCTAAAGGGTTGGCAGATCTGGAGCTGGAGAGAACTGCTGGGAGAGTCTTACACAACGTAAGCTAGAAGCGGTCAGGGTTGGACCCAGGCAGTGGCTAGGAGGATAGACACAAGACAACTTTGAGTGATGTGGCGAAGGCAAGCACAGCCGACATAGAGCACCAGGCATTGTTCCCAGTGCTGGGGGCAGGAGTGGGCCAGGAGGATGGAGACCCTGCCCTCATGGAACAGACGCCTTGTGAGCAGGGAGATGTGGTCCTGGACAGGATGCAGAGGGTGGAGGAGGAAGGACAGATCAGGGACCACGGGTGTGGTGCACACACCAGGCATCGAGATTGTACCTTTCATGGGAGAAACAGCAGACTGAAGAATCAGATAATGATTTCCGTTTTTGACACATTGGATTTTAGGAGCCCTTAGTGACTGGGAAAGAGGGGAGGAAGAGGGGATGAAGCAGAAGACAGGCCTGGAGGAGAGTCCAGAAGGAACGAAGTGGTTGCATGCGTGGGTGAAGGGTGCTGAGAGGAAAACTGGGTGGAGTCCACTTGGTGGAGCCAGGGAGACAGAAAGCTGCTCCTGGCAGATGACCACCTGGATGGGAGGTGAAGGTGTGGCCTGAAAGTTTAGGACTCTCTTTCCAGAAACTTGGTTGAGGCAGGAAGACAGGAGAGAGGGAGCATGCTCATGCGGAAGCCTCAGGGGGAGGTGGGATCAGGGAAGGGTTCTGTTCACTTTCCAGGACTGGGGAGACCCTAAGCTGCATGATACGCTGAGAGAAAGAGCCAGTGAAGGGCCAGGCTGAAGGTGGAGGAGACTGGCGGGGGAGGCCTGATGGAGAAGTGTCCTGAGGAGGCCAGGAGGGCCGAGGAAGAAGGACAGTCATGGGCGAGAGAGAAGAGGGGTGCCCAGTAGGCCCCTGGGGGAGAAGGCACCAACAAGGGAGCTGGGAGGCAGGTGGCGAGGAGGGAAAAGAGTGGGACAGGATGTTGGGAGGCGGGGGCGATGAGCAGCAGGGCAGAAGTAGAGGCTGGTGGTGAAGCTTGGCAACGCGGCCGTGAGGCTCCCTCCAGCAGCAGGTACCCAGCAGGCTACCCCAGCGCAGGAGCCAAAAGGGGCTTGGCTGGCATGGCGAGGAGGCAGAGTCTGGATTCAGGCTGTGCTAGAGGGAGAGACTGGGCAGAGAAAGCCAAAAGCAGATGGGCCATCATTCCCAGCCTCTCTGCTCGCCTTTTTTCTGCCAAGTTACCATTGAGGAAAAGTGCTCTCTGCTGCCAGGAATAGCGCTCCGCCAGCCTGTGCTTTATCATTAGTAGGAGTCAGAGTAAGAGGGAAGAGGAACTGACATTTCTGGAGCAATGATCACATGCCGGACACCGGCTAGACAATTTGAGCAACGATCGGTTGGCACAAGCATTTTACCAAGCAGAAAACTGAGGCTTAGAGAAGTGGCTGAGTAGTTCCCCAAGACTCATAGGTAATAACTGGCAGAACAGGGGATCAATTCCCTATCAACTGGATCCCTCAAGTCCAGCACTGTGACTGTGGCTGCCTGAGTCTGAAGATTCGCACTCTCCTGTCCTCTCCTTTGCTTGTCATCTATTCCTGGGCTTATGCCTTTTCCTGTTGCCCATCCTGCATCCTTGCGGACCTCCCATACTCCTGTGACCCACCAGTGCCTTTGCACTGACTGACTTCCAGACACTTCTTGAATCAATGCTTCTCTTGGCATTTCCTATATGACACGCTCTCCCGGCCCATTTCGGCTACTGAGCAATTTTAAAGCCCTCACAGAGTATAGGCCACCACCCTCCCTGATCAAATTAGTTCAAGTGGAATTTCTAGAAGCACTGAAGAGCACAACATGACAACTCCGGGGAAGAGAAATAGGCTAATGGGATACAACTGTGTACATCAGAACCACGAAAACCCACTGTCCACCAGTAGATGTCACTGTAGAGACACCCCAGGGATGTCAAATGAAACTATACCTATGGTCACCAGAAAAAACGGGTCTAAATCCAACTTCTGCAGATGGAATCCTTTTATAAAGAAAGAATGCTTTGGTTTTGTGAATAATTACAACTGATCTGTTGTATAGGATCACGTTTTGCTTACTGTATCAGATTTTTAAGAAAATCTATACATGTAAATTCTTAAATCTATGGAGAAGGAAAATTCCACGGTAACCTTTGATTTCTTTGTGCTATTCCTGCTTCAAGTGACTATAGTTTTCTGCTTTTAGACAGAAAGAAGTTGCTAATATTCAGAGAAAATAATTCCAATTGACTTGGTTTTCTTAGTGGGAGAAAATGGAATTTTAAAATCTTGGTTCGTATTCACAGGGAGAGAATTTGTACAAGATGCTCCTCAAAAGTTACATGCAGTAGCTAAAAGTTAAATGTCTTCCTTGTTTCTCATAAACTAATAAAGTATCTATACTACTCTCTGGGCATGGAATAAAATTAAAGTGTTTTTAGACTATAAATTTATCATAGAATGTGACTCCAAATCAATTTTCTTTAAGAGACCACATTAGTTATTTATATTTATGATCTTCCAACTATAATTTGTGACCAGCTTTGAACATAAAAGACAAGATCTGTGGGCAGAGGGCACAGCATTTAATATATTTAATGTCTTCTCTCTAGACGTCTCACGGCTTTTTAAATTGTTCTGGTTGTGGTGATGGTGGTAGTGTGTGAAGGTATTTGTGAACGTGTGTGTGATGGTATGAAGAGGAGATCAAACCACAAGAGAACAACATGGGAAATAAACAACTGAACTTGTATCTCAGGGATTCTGCCTAGTTTCGGAGACTGCAACATGCCTTGGGGATTTTGATGAGTAACAGAATCGCTGTCACTGAAGAATGACAAACACCTGCACTGTTTGTGTATCTTTGTTTGGTTTATAACCCATCATTAGCACATGCATGAAATGACAGGGACACCCTCGCCATGGCTGGTGACTCACTTGGGATATGGTAACAGTCTTGGAAGTTTTCTTTGACGCGTCCACTCCTCTGTGCGCAAGTGAAATGTGTTCCTCCTTATCCTCTTCGGGACTTGGGGAGTCGAAGATATCAGGGCTTGAAAGGGATGACTGATAAAGCCAAAAGAAAATGCTTTTGTCAGAATTACACCTTAGCTGACACCACTTTCGTTAATATAATGCTGTATGCTTTAAAAGCACTCGACACTGCTATTTTGTCTTCTCACGATAACCCTGTGAGGCAAAAAAGTGTGCTGTTATGCACGCGCTCAAGTCACATAGCTGATTAGTGGCAGAACTGCGACTAAGAAGCAAGGTTTCCTAAACCAGGGATCTTGCCACTGATGTCCATCAATCACTTCATCCTTGCAAGCATCCATCGTCCATCCTTTCCTGCTCCTTCCTCTAAACATTTGCTACCATGTGCAAAAGCTGCAGTGAGCTTGTACTGCAGACTTAGTGACATGCCACACAGGATGCCTGCCCTCACAGGGCTGACAGTCTACCAGGGAAGAACACACAGGTCAACAAGAGGCTGCTCTAATCTGCCTCTCCTCCATTCCCTCCTCTTCCTTTTCCTTGACCTTTTCCATGATCACTAAATCTGCTGCATACGGAAGTGCCCTAAAGGATGTGTCTGAGAGAAAACCATTTCCAGGGATAAGGGCTCACCAGGCTTGTGGTCCAGTGACCAGTGTTTCCTCAGCTTGAGAGCACAGCCCTGCTCGCTAGTGCAACAAGCTCATATCTCCTTTGGTACCTGCTGCTAAATCTCTGCCCTCATTATTGCTGACAGTCAACATTCATTTTGGAGTCTGTATGGCTATAGTATATTTACAGAATGGCAGCATCTTTTGGTAAAATATAGGACGACACCCCTGTTCTTTCTGCCTCACTGTGAAGATCACTATAAAGATAAAAAAGCCAGATGAGGCCAGACACAGTGGCTCACGACCGTAATCCCAACACGGGGATTATGAGGCGGGAGGATCTCTTGAGCCCAGGAATTTGGGACCAGCCTGGGCAACATGGCGAAACTCTATCTCTACGAAAAATACAAAAATTGGCCAGGCATGGTGGTGTGCACCTGGAGTCCCAGCTACTCGGGAGGCTGAGGTGGAAGGATCACTTGAGCCCCGGAGGTCGAGGGTGCAGTGAGCCATTGACATTGCACCACTGCACTCCAGCCTGGACAAAAGAGTGGGACCCTGTCTGGAAAAAAAAAAAAAATTCTGGACCAATTCACTGGAATTCACTTGGTCATAGATGATCACTGGGCTAGAATTTCCCTATTTTAGAACAAAGCAAATTAAAATAAGAGTTCCTATAGCAAGGAATCCTTTATAATGAAGAATCTTCCACAGATCTCTTTGAGCAAGCTCATCTTCAGCTTCATCTCTATGCTTTCTACCCTGGTGGTAGAAAAACAGTCCCATTTAAAATCACCACTTGGCGTCATTATAGAAAAATTATACCCAAAAATATCGTATGTTTTCTTCTGTTTACTTAAGGCAGAAACCTAATGCATTTTAGGGAATTTTTAAGCAAATTTTTCAATTTAACAGGTTTTATTTGTTAATCTTCATTTAATCTGAAAATCCAATTACCTAGAATAACGTTTCCCCCACCACCAAGCCTTCTTATTAATCTAGGCTTAACGCTTAGCCACCATACCATGCCTGAATCCTTTCATTTTGAGATTTTATTCAAAAAGCCAGTTCCCTCCATTACAACCTAGGGTTCATGAGCTGCCAATCAAAGCTTGCTCTTTGAGTCCTATAAACATAAAGAACTTCAGCTAGGGTCAGAGGCCCCAGGCTGGGGAATCATGACTGGTGCATTTCCTCCATCATTTCCCCCAGTGGCCTTTGAGGAATACGCCCATATCCACTAAGCCTCCACTTGCCTATGAAAAATCCACAGGTGCTAACTGAAGAAGAGTAAATAGGAATTCAATGTACACATCCAAGTAGGGATGAATGGGAATGAAGAGAATATAATATTTATACTTTAAAGCACAAATATATCCTTTTGTTTTAAGTCTGCAAATGAAATCACTTCATATAAAATGCCAAACTTCAAGTCATTGTGCCGTAAGCTTCCTGCAGGCAGTGACCATGTGCTTTTCATTCCAGTTGTATCTTTGGTACCTGGCACAGTGCCGAGCCCATAGGGGATAGATGTCTATAAAGAGTTGTTGAATGAATGAACAACTGTGTAGTCTGAAGGCAGTGAAGATGATATATCCTCACCACATCCCCCAAATACATACGAACTCTCAGGCATGGGATGTATGGACCAAAGGTGGGACAAGAGATGGTAATTTAAACCTTTCTGTAATTCTGGAAGTCACAAGGCTCTCTAGACCTTGAAAAGTTGGGAAGAATTTGGAAGGAAGACAAAAATGATGAAGGATTTACAGAGAAGATAGAGGAGGTAGGATTGAAAAACAAAATATAGAGATACTAAGAGCCAACTAAACAGGTCGTGGGTATAAGAGGGGTGTTGGGGTGGGGTGTGAAGAGGTGAGAGGGAGAAGGGAAAGAAGGTGGTGTTGACAGAGACGTCTGTATAACAATAAAAAAAGTCAGCTACTTTTAAAAGTGTTTCACCCAAAAAGGTGTCAATGCAGTTAGGTTTTTCATACTAAGAGGAAAAATAGGATGACTCAAACCATACTTCCAGACTCTAGATATGAGAGAAGAGGTTCCAAGGAAGTGACATTCTTTTTCTTCTAAATGATGACACCTTAGGTGGGATCAGTGATGACATGAAAATAGGAAGTGTCCTGGGAAACCTGCAAAAGGTTAATTCCTTGGTTTATCTGGGTAGAGGTTATAAGGACTTAGACTCACTGGAACAAGGCAATGTGCTATATGGAAATAAAGAGAGAGAGAGAGAGAGAGAAATCGAACTTATACACAAACACAACTTGTGGAAGGTGAGCTTGGAGGGGACAGAACAACCTGTGGCAAAAGCAAACCATACATTTCCTTTTGACCCACTTCCAGAAAATTTTTACCCAAGTCAATAATTTTAGAGCAGCATCAAGATTTTTCTGCAGTGGCATTCATTTGAGTGTTGTTTATAATGAGGAACTGGAAACAACATAAATGCCCAATAACGATACATTGGCTAAACGCTCACATACTCATAGGTTAGAAAAATGGGCAGCCATGAAATGTGATGTCAGGGAAGAATGTGTCATGACTGGGGAGAAAGGCACACAACAGAAGAGGAGAAAAGCAAGTTTCACAACGATGCGTACTACGTAATCCTATTGGTGAAGAAATAATTTTATATATACAAATAATTTTTTTTTAAAAAGCTAAGGCTGTATAACAAAAAGTTAACGGTTCTTTGCACTGGGGAGCAGGATTACAGATAACTTTCTTCTTTATACATTTTGTAGTTCAAATTTGGTACAATAAACGTGTAATAGGTTTGCAATAAAAAGTCATTCAAAACAACCCAAACAAAAATCTTCTATGGGTTATCCTGAGTGTTCCAATCAGTCTCTCCTTCATCACCAGGTGCCTCATATGTTTGAAAACAATCTCCTGAAGGTCTGCGTGGTATTCTGTGGAGGGGTACAGGCAACGGGGATTTGAGAGAGAAAGGTTCGGCTGCTGCCTGGCGCTATATAGGAGCAGATCTTTATTTAGTAAAGTTTTGTTTTGTTTACACACCAAACCAGCCTCATTCTCCTCTCCCCACCCATAAAACGTGATTTTTTTTCTTACCCATTTCATTTCAGGTTAAAATAAGAATCAGTCTGGAAGGAAAGAAAAGGAAAGTGGGAATACAGAGCACCTACCTTGCTGGCAGAAACACAAAGAACAAATAGAAAGAAATGCCGCTCAAGTCAAGAAGACTGAAATCACTTTTGGTTGGCAGTGTATCTCATGGCCTCCCTCTCCCAGGGTGTCCTCAAATCGGCTGCTTGCAGAAGAGTCCTTAGCTAGAGTTTCTAATCTGTCCTGCTTTTCCGCTGTAGAGAAGTAAGGGAACATACAGTTTGAGGAGACACTTACAGATGTGAGGGACTGGGACGGAGGCCGCCTCCCTGTAGCTTTTGGTCTGCTTGTGGTCGGATGACTGAGTTTCTCAGTAGATGATACCACGGAGTCAAAACCTTCTAAGTCTAAAACAAAAGTAAAACAGTTTTAAGAGCCAAAATAGGAGCAAAGACTCTTATGATATGTCATAAGCACCTCTCTTCCTCAATAATAATCCTTTCTGTCTGGATTACACTTCATCTTTTACAAAGGCTGTTTACGTCCTTTGGTCATTCAATAAACAGGATTCAAACTGAATAGAATAATCATGTCCTTCTTAGTTTAACAAGCTATTGCATGGAAGAGAGAGAAACAGGATTTTTCTTTTTCCCTTCTACAGCTATATCCATAAATCTTTAAAAAGCTACATAAAGAGGATTAGAGGAAGAATCCTCTTTTTTCCACAAATCCAAGTCCATTTTAGTAGACAGAACACTCTGGCAGTCTCGACACAAAAGGCAGTTATTACAAGGTACAACAGCCACAAGCGAGTGGATGCCGGTCATTGATTCCAAAAGACAAGAAGAGATGGCAGTCCTGCTCCTCTGCACTTGTGACTGGTCTAGAGGCAGCTATGTAGTCCAATTTGAGTTACTGAGCAATATAGGGCAGTATACTGACAGCCTGTGGGAAACACATATCTCTCTCTGTCCAGAGAGAGGCAAGTGAGAAGGCCTTTTGTGTTGCTGTTCCTCTTCTTTCCTGCTTGGGATGCTACTGTGTAAGGACAGGATGACTGGAGCTGTGGCAGCCATCTGGTGACCATGTGGCCATCTAGTCACAGGATGGCAAGGCAGAAAAATGGAAAATGTTAACTGACAACCCCGATGGGCTGCAACCCTGGGATGATCTAGTGCCCAGACTTCTTGCCATGTGAAATTAACAAACCCCTGTTATTTCAGCCAGTTTTAATCAGATATTCTTTATTTGCAGCTAAAAACATCCTAACTGCCATAACTGCAGCTATACTGGTCCAGGACAGAGAAGTTAAAAAAAATGATGTGCATTTCCCCTCACTTTATTTTGGGGAGAATTCTTTTGCTGATGGTTATAATAAGTGGTCTGGCTGTATGACAGCTTTATTCTATTAATGAACAGGCAGGTGTTATCTGCAAACTATTTTCTTTAGTAGAATATGCAAAATCAAGCACAAGTCACTGGTCAGGAGAAGCCATTAAATTACACCTGGGATTACATTAAGTGACATTATCCTAGCACCTGATGATAACTCCTCTTATCAGGGCAAGGCAGGTATAACGAAAGGTTAACCATCCGCAGAGATGGCACAAAGGAAAACATCAGTGGCGCTCTGAAGCCAAGAGGGAGCCCATCAGCATCCAGTACCTGAATGAGGCTCATAAAGGCACCCATCTCTCTAGCTGGGCTCAGCAGGGTGCCAGGAGGACCCTGGCCAGGGGGAGGGCAAAGATTCCCCCTGCTAGAATGTGCTTCTCCAGTCCTGGCTCACTAAGCTGACCCCTCTCAGGGGCCTTCCCTTTAAGAGAACCTTATTATTATTATTATTTTCTTTCTTTTCTTTCCCTCCCTCCCTCTTTTTTTTTTTTTTGACAGGGTCTTGCTCTGTCTCCCAGGCTGGAGGGCAGTGGCACAATCTTGGCTCACTGTAGCCTCAACCTCCTGGACTCAGGTGATTCTTCCATCTCAGCCTCCCTACAGGCACGCAACACCACACCTGGCTAATTTTTGTAGAAACGGGGTTTTGACATGTTGCCCAGGCTGGAGAAACTTATTTTCTTAAAAGGTTCTCCTCCAGACTCTACCCTGGGACTCTCCTCTACTGAGTCCATGTTGTCTAAAATGAAAATTCCCCATTACACACTTGGATGGATGCAAAAAGCCACCATCTGACATGAACACCCCCCCAATTCATCTTTTTAAATCACTTTCCCCTGATGATAAATGTAATACATGATCAGCGTATAATTTTTAAAAAACAAAACACGAAATTGTAACAACGAAAAGAAAGTCAGCTATAATCTTACCACATCAAGACAAGCACTGTTAGTATTTTGGTACATTCTCCTCCAGGCTTCTTTTCCTGTAGATAGTATAGCTCATACTATATGTAATACTGCATTCTGCTTATTTCCCTTAACCGGATATGCCATGTCTCTAACAATTCTTTGTAAATATTTTAATTGTTGTTGCACTGCAATTAATCAATCCCATTTGTTGGATAGCTAGTTTCCAAATCATTTCCCCCTCCTATGTTTTACTGTTTTGGAAGAGCGCCGCACAAATATCCTTGCATGTACTCTACATATAATGAGTTCAGCAGCTTATCCGTGCAGATCTCCAACTGTTCTGGAAGAAGGAAATAAGGCCCAGGACAGGGAGGTTTGTTGGGGGCCGGGCGGGGTGCTGGTTGGGGAGGACAGAGGCATAACGAGGGGCAGAGGAAGGCTCGGGAAGAGGAGAGAGGACAAAAACCCAAGGAGCAGATGCTGACTGGCAGCCAGTGAAGGAGATGGAAGAGGGGGCTGTTAAAGTTTCCAGCAAACAGACAGCTGCCAACGGCCTTGGCTGGTAGCTACCAGGGGCAGAGCTGGACAAACCTATATTATGGCTCTGTCCAGGAAACTAAAACAAGCTCAGGAGCAAAAACTGAACAGGATGAAGTGACTAAAGAACAACGAAAGGCTAATTAACACTGCTTCTCCAACTCAGCTGCACGGAGGAATCACCTGGACAATTTAAAAAAACAAAACACCACTGCATCCCAGGAACTGACTCACCCCATCTAGGGTGCATCCTGGGCACAAGCAGATGTCAATCTCCCCAGGGGATGTGAACATGCGGCAAAAGCTGAGAAGCACTGCTCTAGAGGAGGCTGGGGGCTGAGGGGAGGGAAGGGAGTGAGGATTTGGCCAAGCGGAGGAGTGGAGAGGCCACCAAGTGACTGAAGGGTGTTCCAGGGCCCAGTGAATAGAGAGCCTGCCTGGGCTCTCTAACAGTGGGTCCTCCCATGCTGGGCTGAGGAGTGCTGGCCCGATTTGGAGGGCCACAGAGGTGCTGGAGCACTTGACGAAAATGGTGGCCAAAGGCTCGAATGATTGGTGACAGGTCAGACACACTGCAGCTGGAGCCAGGAAGAGGCCCGAGATGTGACCCAGCATAACAGTGGGGTGGGAGAGGAATGCAGAGAGCCAGGGGAGGGGATGGGACAGCTTTGGGCCCCTCTTAGGATGGACTTGGTAAGTCCACTTGTGTGCAGGGGTGGACAAGTTAACACCAGGAAACTTCTGCCAGGACTCCAGGGAGGATTCCATCTTTGCCATCCCCCGACCCTCCTGGGCCCACTGAATTAAGTCCACCTGGCAGTTTAGGATTTCAGAATGTGTGAGGTGGCAGTCTGTAATGAGTTATACTTTTAAAACAACCCAGAAGTGTGATGTCTGTCTCCCGCACTTAGGCTGTGAGCCCCAGGAGGGCAGGAACTCATCCTTGTGTTCTCAAAGTCTAGAATGTTCCTAGGGAAAACATGCTGGTTCCTCTGTCAATAAAGGAACAAGCGAACAAATGAACAAACTATCTCAAGAAAAAAACCAGGAATGTAGCTTATAGAAGTGGCTCCTAGCGGGATGTGAGTAGCTTCGAGGCTGAAGAAGCATTCTCTGCTATGGATGCAGAGAAGGCAGAATGGCCCATTCTGTTTTACTGGTTGAGGTTTGCACTAAGAAGACCTATGCACAGTGAAGCCTGGCCACGCTTAGCAAGAGTCTCCAGGACATATGGCAGAGAAGACTGCTCTATTTCTGTCACTCATGAGTAAGAGGAAGGTCCGAATACCTCAGGGGAAGCCACTCTTAACCTCTTAATGCATATATATATATTATATATATTAAAATATATGTTAATATATAATATATATTATATATTATATATATAAAATATTATATATAATATTAAAATATATAATATATAATATATATTAAAATATAATATATAATATATATTAAAATATAATATATAATATATATTAAAATATAATATATAATATATATTAAAATATAATATATAATATATATTAAAATATATTATATATATTAAAATACATTATATATATTAAAATATAATATTATATATCATATTAAAATATAATATTATATATCATATTAAAATATATTATATATCATATTAAAATATAATATATATCATATTAAAATATAATATTATATATCATATTAAAATATAATATTATATATCATATTAAAATATATTATATATATTAAAATATATTATATATATTAAAATATATATCATATTAAAATATATTATATATCATATTAAAATATACATCATATTAAAATATAATATTATATATCATATTAATATATTATATATCATATTAAAATATAATATATATCATATTAAAATATGATATATATTATATATTTTTTTGAGACAGAGTCTTGCTCTGTCCCTCAGTCTGCAGTGCAGTGGTACAATCGCGGCTCACTGCAACCTCTGCCTCCCGGGTTCAAGCAATTCTCCTGCCTCAGCCTCCCGAGGAGCTTGGATTACAGGCACGCGCCACCACACCTGGCTAATTTTTGTATTTTTAGTAGAGACGGGGTTTCACCATGTTGGCCGGGCTGGTCTCGAACTCCTGACCTCAGGTGATCCACCCACCTCGGCCTCCCAAAGTGCTGGGATTACAGGCGTGAGCCACTACACCCAGCTTAATGCACATTTCTGCTAAGTTTAACTTTCCATAGTTTTAGTTTGGAAAGAGCACTTTTTGGAAACAGCTACCAAACCAAACTGCCATACAGAAAAAAAATGTATCAAATATGAGATTGCTTGCTGAAAAGGGAACCTCAGGTTACCCTGGCATTTTTCCATAGACCATGAACTGTAATGCATTTCTGCTTTCTGACAGTGAAGGGGAGAAATTCTCCAATACTGTCACATCACTTTTCAGAGGCACAGAGCGCATGCTTCATGGCTGTGGCCATGGTAGCTGCGATTAAGGCAGAATTTCCATGACTAACCCATTGTGGTGTGGAGAAAATGTCCCAGTTTTCATGGTGGTTTTGAAATGAATCAAGCTGAAACTTGATATGAGCTTTCTCGGCCTGGCTGGGAATTTTTCCTCTTAAGAGAAAAAGGTTTTAATGCCCATAAGTCAGTCCAAAACTATTGAACTGGCAAATGCTGGGGTATTTTTAAGAAGTTAGTTTCATAAGGACGAGAGGCCCTTTGCTTTTGTGATACTTGGACAACAAACTCTCTGCAGACATACGGGGATAATTCATGTTGGGCACGATGGAGTTGGCTTGGAAAGGGCCTTTGACTCTTCATGGCACATGAAGTTGCTCATTTTCCATGAACTTCAGTCACACTCTATTTGGTTCAATTAGAAAATGTAGCCTCATTTTCCATGGATAGGAGCAATGGTACCAGTGACCGCAGGTGACGTAAAGCACATCCACTGAAAGCACAGAGGAGAAACAGTCAAAAGGCTAAGTCAGGCTAGCTGTCACCAGCAGAGTTCTTTGGGAGCTCCTAAATTGTTCTCTGCATTCATTATAGCATGTTGCTGTGCACTTTAAACAGAGCTTTAGGATATAAGTTTGCTTACAGCTAAAACCTGGCAATGTCGCTACCTCCCAATATCTCTGGAAGCCATCTCTTCTCCTCCACACCCTGTCTCAGATTATTAAGGCCGCTGAATTTCTTGCCTGGAACCACTGTTAATAGATTTCTCACTTCAAGCCCCTTACCACTCACATGCTGCCACCAGAGAGGTGTACAGCCCCCATCTGAGTATGTCCCTTCAGGGCTTCCTCTCCTGACTAATTCCTTCAGTGCCACAACTGAGGCGTCTTCCAAGAAGCCAGACTGCACCCTAAGACCTGGGTTGGGTGCATCCCTACTCACCCATCATCGTGATCTCGGCATTTAGTGCCCTGTACTGACATTTCCTGTTGACTTCTCTGCCTCCCCCACCAGCCAGGGAAGAAGCTATGGCTTTTCTCTCTGTTTCCCTGGACTTAAGATCACTCCTGGCTTGCAGCGAGTGTTCAAAAAATGATTATTAAATACATTAACAAACAACCTTTCTAGGCTTCAGATTTTCCAGCAGGAAAAAAATGAGAGAATTATCTGAGCCATCAGCTTCATAAGATTATTCTTTCGTAAATGAGAGACTATGTGAAAACCCTTTCAAATCATGCAGATAGAATTCTGTTTTCATACACCATTAACGGAGCTGTGGGATTTGGAAACAAGAATCTAAGAGCAAGGCTAGAAATCCCCCCTCCCCTACCTTTTTTTTTTTTTCCAAGGTCTAAGATGAGAAAACTCTAAACCCACAGGGCCGCAGGTACTTTCTCCGCATTGCAGAAACACCATGAGGTAGTCTGAATGGGAGGAGGAAGTCTCGCTCCATGCCTCAGTCATTTGACTAGTGTGGAAAATCTGTGCAGACTATCAAGATGGGCCCAATATTAGGGAGGGGTCAAATGAGCACCTGTGTTAGCTGACTCACTAACTGAAATGATTAGCAATGATTAGATTCTGCAGGAAAATAAGCCCTCCAAAATGTGTAAGGATATAGGAGATCAGCTGTTGTGTTTTCATTTATAATCCAGGTGTGAAGTTTGCAGGACGCAAGCTGCTGAGAATAAATAAGTTTTAGGGGGTTTTGGTTTTTCTTTTTTTTAGAGACAGGGTCTCGTTCTGTCACCCAGTCTGGAGTGCATGCAGTGGTGTGATCATAGCTCATGGTATTATAGCTTCAAGCTCCTGGGCTCAAGCAACCCTCCTGCCTCAGCCTCCCAATTAGCTAGCTACCACACCCAGTTATTTTTTGTTTTGTCTTATTTTTTGGTAGAGATGAGATCTTGCTATGTTGCCCAGGCTGATCTCATACTCCTGGCCTCAAGCAATCCTCCTGCCTCAGCTTCCCAAAGTGCTAGGACTACAGACATGAGCCACCATGCCTTGCTATAAACAAGTTTTGAGCTACTGTTTTGAACTCCATGTGCCAGCCATGCCATTACTAGATGCTTCGCATGCACACACCCTCATTTCATGTACACAAAACCCCATGCTGTGTGGGCATTACTATAATCCACAAAGAAAGAGATGGAGGGCCAGAGGTTAGAAAACATGCCCAAGGTCACTGCCAACAAGTAACAGGGCCCACACACAGATTCACATCCAAGGGATTCTTTCCACTACAGAACGTTGCTTGTTTTTTTTCTATTTTATTCAAATGTGTTTTCAAATGGGCAGGAAAAGGGGCTGGCTTCTTCAAGGCACTCTGTGGCAAGAAATGTAATGTGTTAGGCAAGTTAAGAGAATGTTTGGCTATTTGGTACAAGCAACTTCTACATCAAAACGTGTAGCTCAAGAATAAGAGAGGGAGATACAGTGTTTATTTGCTCATTAATTCAATCAAACATTTCTTAAGTATTTACTTTGTGCCAAGCATAGGGATAGTTTTGAAAATGAATGTACAATCATCCTATATCAGCACTGTCCAGTAGAACTTGCTGTGATGATCTTCTATAATCTATACTATTCAAATCGTAGCCACCAGCCCCACGTGGCTACAGAGTGCATAGATTATGGGTAAGTATAGCTATTTAATTAAATTTTAATAGTCACACATGGCTAGTGGCAATGAAGATTGTGTATTATGATCCTGCATCTTGATATTTCCCCTCACTTAAACGCTCAGCCCATTCATTCAGTGGCTATTTTTCTGAGCATACACTATGAGCTAGGCACTGGGCTAGGCAAAGGGGGATACAGGGGTGGAAAATAGCCACATTCCCTGCCCACATGGAGCTAAGAACCCACTGAGGGAGACAGGCTTTTGTATGGATAATTACAAATTCTCTTAGTTACTATGAAAGAATGATAAAAGGTGAAATTAGCAATGATAGCATGGGGACCCAATTTAGATCAGAGAAAGGGGGGACACGTCTTACTGTAGTCTTGCTTCGAGGAGAGGTAGTGATTCACTTGGATTGATGACAAGCAATGCTAAGTGGGGAAAAGTAGCTCTCCACATTTGCATTCCTTTAAAAATTGCTCACTACAGGCCCAAATTTGCTATGCAAAGTGATCTGATAAATAATGTAATTCTCTATTGGAAACAGTAGTTACACTATTATCCACAGGAACATAAATTGGCACAACCTTTCTGTATGCCATTTGGCAATACCTATTACAAAATGTAAATGTGTACACCTTCAGATATATCAGTGTCACTTCTAGAAATTAATCCATAGAAATGTTTGTGTAAGTATAAAATGATATATTTATGAAGCCAGTGTACTTGCTAAAATAATTTTGGAAACCCTTGTATATCCTCCTCACACATATCAAGTTGAAATCTAAACTTTTATGTAAGTTTTACTCACAAAGGATGTAATTTCTGTTATATTCTAAACATTGAGATTTTAAAATATAACTTACATAGATTTCTTAAATATATCCAATATATATTTGAATACTGCAGCAATTTAACCACCACCATCATCCATTTTAAAATATCATAAGATTTTAACAGTTGGAAATTTTACATCCTTCCTTTTCCTCCTTAAATTCATATTTCCAACCCCTACTGCTGAATTTTATCCTAATCCATTTTCAAGTCTGTTGTTAACTATTTTATCATCTTTCTATTGTAAAAACATGTATAGAAATTGAAGTTTAAGATTTTTTCTTTCCTGAAATCTTAAGACTCTAAGTGTAAAAATTATTTTTCTTTTGGATTGAGTTCTCATTACATTATTATTAGTATACAAATGATCAGAACACATTTTGATAAATAATTTTTAAGCATGACAAAACAGAATTTTATTGGGCTTTTCCCTCAAACACTTCATGTGTGTATGATTATCACTCAATACCAGGAAGAGATGGTTTGGTATCAACTCTCTATTTTTCATTTTAGAGACGTAAGTGCCAAGAAAATTTGTTCACTTAAATAGAAGTAGATGGAATGGAGGCTGGGTGTGGTGGCTCATGCCTGTAATCCCAGCACATTGGGAGGTCGAGGCGGGTGGATCACTTGAGGTCAGGAGCTCAAGATCAGCCTGGCCAACATGGTGAAACCCCGTCTCTACTAAAAATACAAAAAACATTTAGCTGGGTGTGGTGGCCCATGCCTGTAATCCCAGCTACTCTGGAGGCTGAGACAGGAGAATCGCTTGAACCCGGGAGGTGGAGGTTGCAGTGAGCTGAGATGGCGTCACTGCACTCCAGTCTGGGTGACAGAGTGAGACTCTGTCTCACCAAAAAAAAAAAAAAAAAAAAAAAAAGTAGATTAAATGGAAACAATTTTTTTTTTTCTTTTTGAGATGGAGTCTCACTCTTTCACCCAGGCTGGAGTGCAGTGGCACCAGTGGCACGATCTTGGCTCACTGCAACCTCCGCCTCCCGGGTTCAAGCGATTCTCCTGTCTCAGCCTCCAGAGTAGCTGGGATTACAGGCATGGGCCACCACACCCACCTAAAAGTTTTTTGTATCTTTAGTAGAGACGGGATTTCACCATATTGGCCAGGCTAGTCTCAAACTCCTGACCTCGTGATCCACCTGCCTCGGCCTCCCAAAATGCTGGGATTACAGGTGTGAGCCACTGCGCCCGGCCAGAACGGAAATAATTTTGTTATCAATGTCACTCAATTCTCTGAACTCCTTGCAAATTATATACCAAAAACCAGACCGTAGTCTAGCATCACCAGGAATTATTATTTTTAATGGTCTACCACCAAACAACTTAGTGGGTACCTCCTTCAATGTCACTGGAAGCAAAGAATTACTAACCAACTGATTTGAAAATAGAACTTGCAACCTGGAACTTGCATCTATGTCAGGGTTTTCTCTAGGATCTCAAACTTATTTAGGAGGGCAAACATCCTACTCTTTTACATTTCCCCGTAATAACTTGGGTTAAAAAAATCAAAATAATTCTTTTAAAAGATGAATGAGTACTTTTTAAAACTTTACAAAAAGGTATGCTCATGAGCCAGGTGCAGTAGCATGCCTATAAGTCGCAGCTACTCAGGAGGCTAAGGTGGGAGAATCACTTGAGCCCAGGAGTTCAAGTCTAGCCTGGGCAACATAGCAACACCCCATCACTAAAAATAAAAAAAAAAATAGTTATGTTCATAACCCCTTAACAATTTCTTAAATCTCCATATAGCCAGCAAATCATTTAAAAGCAAAAAATCATTAAGCCAAAAAAAAAACCCCTAGATTAGATCTTATAAAGGGCCAAATTATCAATTCTAGATTAAAAGAACTGACAGAACTAAAGAAAATGAAGTAAAGAGACAAAGGAAAGAATAAGCTGCTTCATTTCAAAGAGGATTCAGAGGCTACCAAAACAGCAGTTTTCTCAATGTCTAGAAAACTCAGCTAAAAGAAATGGACAGGGTTAGAGAAACATAGACTGTGACACTGCGCTGGGTCCTTTCTTTTTAATATTTTTTGTAGAGACAGAGTATTTCCCTATATTGCCCAGGCTGGTCTCGAACTGCTGGCCTCAAGTGATCCCTCCTGCCTCCCAAAGTGCTGGGATTACAGGAATGAGACCCCATGCACTGCCTGAATTGGGTTATTTATGATCATGTCATCCAAGCCCCTGGATTAATGATGAAAAACCAAGATCCAAGGAGGTACAATGGTGTGCTTGATGGTCAGCTTCAGTGGGATGAGCAGCCAGAGCAGAGTGCACATTTCTTTTTGGAGAGCAAGATGTATGGGTCATTTCATCTTCTTTAACAGCACTTTATTTAGATATAAGAGGAGCAGGGCCAGGTGCAATGACTCATGCCTGTAATCCCAGCACTTTGGGAAGCGAGGTGGGAGGATTGCTTGAGCCTAGCAGTTTGTGACCAGCCTGTGCAACACAGTGAGATGCATTTTTACAAAAAATAAAAAATTAGCTGGGCATGGTGGTGCACACCTGTGGTCCCTGCTACTTGGGAGGCTGAGGTAGGAGGACTGCTTGAGCCTGGGAGGTTGAGCATGCAGTGAGCTGTGACTGTGCCACTGCACTCCAGCCTGGGCAACAGAGCAAGACCCTGTCTAAAAAAAAAAAAAAAAAAAAAAGAGCAGTCTGATACTCATAATATAGAATTTTAATGCATATGTGAGACAATAATATTCTAATGTCCAGAATTACATGGAAGCCAAAATTACACTTACTACAAAATTTGAGGAGGAAAAACCTTCTGTCTCAAAGCCTAGTATGCTTTTTACTACCCTAGGAGAGACAAGAGTCCCCCAAAACTGCTAGAAAGGGCTGGCAGGCTCTCATTCACCAGCCTGGGTAACTTGATGAGCTATTTCTCATTTGTAAACATCAGGAGAAGGTAAAAAGGATTTAAAGTGCTCTGAAAAATCTGACACTCCATGACTTTTTCTTAGGAAAAAAATTACAAGTAATCCTATCTCTATCAAAAAAAAAAGTTAATCTGCTAATTGTACATTTCTGGACACTTAAGTTTTTACCTGAGCCACTGCTTCAACGCCTGACTCTCTCTAGGGCCTTTTCCTTGCCCCCAACATTTCTCTTTCCCGCCACCTTCCATCTTTGCAGATGTGAGCTGGACCTATGGTTTTCAAAAGAACTGGCACGTGTCTGCGCCAAGGTTATCACCAGTCATAATGCACTGAGAAAAAGGTCAACATTGTGAGTTTCCCATTAAGCTAAATTTGTTCAATTTTACACTTGGAGATTATACCCTTTCCAGTAGGAGATGGCATTTGTTTATTTTGAATGTGCATCATTAATAAAAGAAAAATCAAGCCGTCTCCCAAATTGAAAGCCTTTTTTTTTTTTTTTTGATAAATGAGCCTGTGAAATTCCAAACAGTATGAACCTCAGGGAGACATGGCTAAGGCGTGGGGAGATGAAGAGAGTGTCACTATAGGTTATGCAAAGGTAAGCTTGGTTCTAAATCAGGGCATCCTGCTGACCTCCAACTCCAACCTTCGCTTGCCACCACCACATCCAATGACCTTTTAATGGGGCCCATCAATGTCACTCTCCAACTGCTAATCACTTTTCTCTTGCAATGAATCAAACTTTACAGGCTCCTAACCTTGGCCAAGGTTTCCAGAACATGCTTTAATGAGAGTCCATGGCTAAATAAGGATTTTGATAATTTACTTAATAAAGTGATACCAGAACAAAATACTTAATAAAATGTCGTGTGTCCATAATGCTTTTAATGTGACAAAGGGATGCCTGAGCACAATTTTCTGGTAGACTGTACATTCCTCTGGATATTTGCAAGTAAAACGGAAGCCATAACTGGGCTCTGCCAATCCATGAGCCCACAGCCAGGGGACAGGGGGAGGGGGGCACCTCAAGCCAAATAAATGCCATGTGAGATCTGAGAGCTGAACATCACCTGTTCCCTTGCTTCCACATTCATTTTCAGTTCAGAGACCTCTGTGGTGTATACTGTGGATGCAGCAAAGGTCACTATATAAGTCTCTTTGTTCTATGAGACTACTTTGAATCCACTGGGTGTACCTCCAGATTTGCATTCTTAAATCTGTAGGTACACCCAGTACCTCCAGAATACGGCACTAGAATACGGTCTCAGCATGTAGCAAACATAGAGGCACTCAAGCCATCAGACTGAATGATGAACGAGAGCGCTGGCCACAGAGATGCAGGCGACCACATTACCAGGGGAGGCAGGACATGCTGACTCTGCACATAGGTGAGCATTTGGGGCTGCCTGCAAGTCCACACAGCTACTAGCCTCTGTGACCCTCTCCAAGCCAACAGCCATCTGAATTGATGCTCCCTAAATGTCCCTCCACCTCTCTCAGGTCAGCTATTTTGCAGGCTGGTGGGTATAGAGCACTTGGGTAGGACAGTACTAATTTGCTCTCTGTATATTGGAATAATTCATACCACCAAATGCACTGCTGCAGTGAGGTTCTGCAACATTTGCCATCATGTCCCCACTTTGACGTAATCTCCCCCTGTTTCTATAGCATTTGTGAGGCTTTTCCTACAGGCACTTTCAATGTTTACTGAGTTTGCGCTTATGGGATGTTATGGGGTAAAAGATGTTCGTGAAGACCCTCATAACTAAGCACAAACCCAGCCACCGTGATGGACCACCAAAGGCCAGCAGGACCGCCCTGTGCAAGGTGCACAGGCAGAGGTGAGCACCTCGGTTCTGGTGAGGATCAACATCTTTGACTGAGAAAGTCTAAGTGGAGATGCTCATTTTACACCCAAGATCAGGCCCTTCAAAGGGCCCTGAAGGACCATCTCCTGTAGGACTGGAGGATGCCTTTCGAAATGAGTGCTGGTTGCCAACTTGACCTTGTTTCCTCAGCAGCACACCTCCACTGTGAGCCTGAGAGGCTGGGAACCAGGGGAGGGCTCAAGGGCGATGCAGGGAGAAGGCCATCCACAGAAGCTGTTCTGAATTAGCTACGCCTCTGTAAGTTCGAGGAAGGAACCCAAAATGCTCAGAGGATTGCCTGGGTTAAAAACCCATCAATCAGAAGCGCAACCTGTTTCACTTCCTTTGTATAAAGCGTTTGACCCTCAGCACAATCTCTTTTGCTTTCTGTCATCACACTTGAGAAATGTATAGTGCTTTTCAGCTACTCCTGACAAAAATTTAAGTTTGATCACGATTTGTGTCCCTAGATAGGGACCGGAGCTGCACACGTCCACACATGGGCACCGCAGCCCGTCATATGCAGACTTGACTGTAGACCAGTAGCAACCGTATCTCCTGTTCTTCAGCACAGGTAACATCAACCATGTCCTTGGTCCCAAAGGCTGTGTCTGAAGGTTGCCAGTAAGGAGACAGTGTCTGTAGGAGCCAGCCGTGGCTCTTCAGTGAAAGTTCTCATGTCTGAGCAACTAATCCCGAGAGAGCTGGAAGGCGCGGCTGTTGTTCACACACACGCTCAGCCAGTAGTCAATCTGGAACACTCCAAGTGTCATTCATGGGTTTTTGTTTTTTTTTAATGGCAGGCAGGACACAGTATATCTTGTTTTATTGAACCTGAGCAATTGCTCAATGATCTGACATGCTGCAAGGACCAATAACTGGCTCTCTGGCTCCAAAAGGGGAAGTTTAAAATATGTATTTTAAAAACAGGACAGAAAAACCAATAGCCCCAAGTCAGGAGATCTGAATTTTTCCTCAAAATTTGTATGAGAAACCCTTAGAAGTGATTTATTATCATGAAAGGTAGAAATTGCAAAATAAGGTAAGAATGTAATCACTTGTTTGTAGACATTTGGTGTCACATTCACAAAAATGTTGTGTTAATGGTCGCTATTACAATTGCTCTCTCTTGCTCTCCTGTATAACTTTACCATACAGAGTACAGATTTAGAACTTAGTATTGATCAAATTTGTTATTGTCCTTTTATGTAATACCCGTTTAAACACTGGGTAGTTGATCTTTGGCAAATATCTAATCACAAATCCAATACTCTTTCTATTTGAAATCAGACTCAAATGGTATCATTTCACTTGCTGCAAGCCTTAAGATGGCCCCTCTCCCCTCTCTTCTCTCGCCTCTCTCTCTCTCTCCCCCCCCTTCCTCTTTCTCTCTCACAAAGGTCACAGTCATGTCCTTGGTTGATGTTTAATTACTTCAAATATAATTACTTTTTTGTATATGAAATATTTTCAAACTAGGTTTTATAGAGATTCTCAGGAAATGAGACAGGCCACTCCAGGGAACACAAGTTGCACTTGCAGGGGAAGCCTGTCCTCTTCCTGTTCCTAACACAGACTGGGCTCTCTGGGCCTCGGTGCTATTGACATTTGGGGCTGGGTCATTCTTTGTTGTCTGTGGGGGCTATCCTACACACTGGTGGATGGTTAGCAGCATCCTTGGCCTCTATCCACTAGATGCCAGTAGCATCTCCACCCCCACCCCTATGATGTGACAGTCAAAAATGTCTCCAGACATTGCCAAATGTCCCCTTGGGGAGAGCAGTTGAGAAATGCTGATGTGGACCTAGAAGGTTTGGGCTCATGGGTCAGAGAGACCTGGCTTCAACTCCAATTTTTTTTTTTTTTTTTTTTTTTTTTTGAGGCGAAGTCTCGCTCTTGTCCCCCAGGCTGGAGTGCAGTGGTGCAATCTTGGCTCACTGCAACCTCCGCCTCCCGGGTTCAAGCGATTCTCCTGCCTCAGCCTCCCAAGTAGCTGGGATTACAGGCGCCTACCACCACACCCAGCTAATTTCTGTATTTTTAGTAGAGACAGGGTTTCACCATGTTGGCCAGGCTGGTCTCGAACTCCTGACCTCAGGTGATCTGCCCGCCTTGGCCTCCCAAAGCGCTGGGATTACAGGTGTAAGCCACCGCGCCTGGCCTTCAACTCCAATTTCTTACTAGCCAGATAATCTTGCTCAGTTTCCCCAGCTTGCTTTCTTCCCTGTTCCTTCACTGTAAAAACATGAGTCATTACACATCCTTCATAGGGCTATGGACGGTGAGAAAAAAATAGACAAAACATTTAGTGGGCACCCAGTGAATATTAGTTCTTTCTTTCCTTACTCTTGCTTGCTCTCACTGCTCTTATTTCAACACTAGAACCTCAGGACGATGGAAGAGGGGAGATGAAGGGGGAGGGTTTGTTCTCCACTATATTAGCAGAATGATTCTAACACAAGGATATTCCACACACAGCTCCTGTACTCACACTGTACCTCAACGAGGATTAAAAGTTATAAAGGCATGTTCTACCCCAAACATGCTTACAAAACACTCTTAATCCTTTCTAACGCTTTGGGATTATTGTTTCACCAGGGTTGTAATCAGCTACAGATCAAAGTCCAGGTGGACCTTGATTTTTTAAAATGGTGTACAACAATACACACATTTAACACCCTAAGGGGACGTTTTACATTACAAAATGATTACTAGGTTTTGGAGACCTTTTTTTTTTTTTTTAAGATGGAGTTTTGCTCTTGTTCCCCAGGCTGGAGTACAGTGGTGTGATCTCGGCTCACTGCAACCTTTGTCTCCCGGGTTCAAGCGATTCTCCTGGGCTGAGGTGGGAGGATTGCATGAGCCCAGGAGTTAGAGGCTGCAGTGAGCAATGATTGCACTGTTGCACTCCAGCCTGGGTGACAGAGCAAGACTATCTCAAAACAAAAATACCATTAACTTGAGAAGATATAGCCTTCTAGGATTAATGTCTCTGTGGCAAAGAGAGAGAGAAAACCAAACCTCAGTACTCTATTTCTGGGCTCCCAAATATATGCAACTGTGCTTAGTTTCCACAGCATGAAAAGCTTCTATAGGTGAACCCGCCCCCCCATCAATACCCCCAATATTTCCACACTAGCTCATCAGACTGAAAAACATGTGATTCATATTTTCATGATAGCGATCATAGACATCTCCAGACCCAAAGAATGCAAAGGTCAAAGGTGAATGCTCTTAGCAAGCAAGACAGATTATCCTGTATATTCTGGAGGAGGGAGAATACCTCCCTTCCTATTGACATGAGGGAGGTGACAAGACAGCCTCCTGAGGTCGCACATGACCTTCACCAACCAGCCACCCTGGCTTAAAACAGGGCCCAAATACGAAACTGCGGTGGTAGAACCGGAACTTAGGCTCATTCTGACAATCCCCTTTCATTCACAGCCAATTACTGCTCTGCTCTGCTCTGCCTGCACTTTAAGCAGAACAAAAGCTACAGCAGGCCAGAGTTTCTGTTATTGCATCAGCCCAAGCTATCAGGTTATGCTTCCTGACTGGGCTTCTCAAGGGCTGAGGATGTAAACGAGCTTGTGGAAACAGGGGAAGTACTTTTGGCATTAACAGTCACAGTCACACATCCTAGCCCCAAGCCTGCATGAGATCAGACCAGAGACTGCAGGTCAGCAGTTGCAAAGATGCAACTCTATCAGCAGATTCAGAGGAAAACAGCACCCAAACAGAGGGACAGCAGCAGGAGAGCAGAATGCTCATGTTGAGAGCTCTAGTGCTCTTACAAGGCCTGCCAACCATCGCACATCTGTTTCTAAAGTGAGTGGCCCAAGCAGATGATGCTGGAAAGCTATCTTCCATGTCAAATCAATCCCTGATAGTGCTTGCCAGAGGTTAGGGAAGGGGGTGGGCTGGAGAAAGGTGGGTGTGGCTTAACAAGAGTAACACAAGGGATCTAGTGGTGATGGAAATGTTCTATGTCTTGACTGGTGGTAGATACACAAACCTACATGTATGATAAAATTGCAGGCTGGGTGCGGTAGCTCACAGCTGTAATCCCGGAACTTTGGGAGGCTAAGGTGGGAGGATCGCTTGAGCCTAGGAGTTCGAGACTAGCCTGGGCAACATAGTGCAACCCCACCTTTACAAAAAATACAAAAATTAGTCAGGCATGGTGGCATGTACCTGTGGTCCCAGCTACTCAGGACGCTGGGGTGGGAGGATCGCTTGAACCTGGGAGGCAGAGGTTGCAGTGAGCCGAGATCGTACCACTGCACTCCAGCCTGGGTGACAGAGCAAGACTCCATCTCAAAAAAAAAAAAAAAAAAAAAAAAAAAAAAAAAAAAAAAATATATATATATATATTGCATAGAGCGAAATACACACAGAAGTACTAGTAAAACTGTGAAAATCTGAGTAAGATTGGTGGATCATATCAATGTCAATATCTTAGTCATGACAGTGTACTATAGTTCTGTAAGATGTTACTATTGGGGAGAAACTGAGTAAAGGGTACACAGATTTCTATTACTTCTTACGACTGCATGTGAATCTACAATGACTTCAAAATAAAAAGTTCAATTAAAACAAAGTAAATTTTAAAATTCAGCCTTCTATATTATGTAGAATACGAGAGAATGCTAACTTATGACCTTGATAGGTACAAACAGAAGATGTAAAGCTAAAAAAAATTTATACTATTTGGCCATAAAAACGAGATCCTATCATTTGCAACAACATGGATGGAACTGAAGATCATTATGTTAAGTGAAATAAACCAGGTGCAGAAAGAGAAACATTGCATGTTCTCACTTATTTGTGGGATCTAAAAATCAAAGCAATTGAACTCATGGCGGTAGAGAGCAGAAGGATGATTACCAGAGGCTGGGAAGGGTAGTACAGGGCTGGGGTGGGGAGGCGGTGGGGATGGTTAATAGGTACAAAAAATATAGTTAGAAAGAATGAATAAGACCTACTATTTGATAGCACAATAGCATCTCTATAGTCAATAATAATTTAATTGTATATTTTAAAATAGTGTAATTGGACTGTTTATAACTCAAAGGATAAATGCTTAAGTGGATGGGGAAAAATATGTTGAAATGAAGACTTGCACATGGTTGCAAGTTTTTCTTAAAGCAGGTCATTTTCCTCTTCCCAAGAAATGTGATAGCCTGTTGCTAAACAATATGATTATTTTTATATATTTCTATCATTAAATGGCCTTTATGTCAAAAAATAAAATAAAATAATAAGAAAAAATTAGTCCCTGAATCTGGACTTCTTAAAAGGGTTGTCACCCAGGTCAGACCACTAGTGGCCTTAACAGCACACCGGTGGCCTCACACCCACTCACGTACACCTCCAAAAGGACCTCTGACTTTTATTTACCCAGAGAGACTGTAGCTCCCTCCCATTTATCACATGGTGGTATCCTGACCTTGGGAAAACTCACTCATGTTCTGAACTAAGTGGCAATTACCATACCAAAGCTCATTTGAAACTCAGTCAAAAGTGCTGTATCAACAATGAACCCTGCCATCTCACATTTGCATCCATCCACCTTTTTACACAAAATACACAAATCACTGGAAACTGTGAACATAAGGGCTAATGCCCACTTTTTACAAAAAGGCTTATTCATCATTTCTTTTCATTAGATCTTGTAAGGAATTTCTCCTAGGGAGGGGAAAGGTCCCAGGCATTGTGTTTTAATGTGGAAAGCACCATCATTTCCCTTCTTTACAAAACTGTAACACCTAAAGCCAAGCAAGGGTGCCAGCCTGGCATTTCAATGGCTTTATTACTTCTCATCATGCTGGTTGAAGGCAAGCCAGGCTCTGAGGTTCTTTACTAACTCTGCAAAGAGAAGCGAGAACACTGTCCTTACTCACCAATGTCATTGCTGCGGTCCGAGAGATCTTTGTCCAGGATGCCAGATAGCGAACTGCCGGCCAAGTCAATCTTTGGACTGTCACCCCTACATTAAAAACACAAGCCCAGACATTTAATAATTGGTGTGTGTCCTTGTCATTCTGTCAGTTTTCTTGCTGCACACGTTAAGGAGTGTGCTGGTGTGGAGTGGATGGCACTGTTGCCTGTGAGGGAGCCAGAGAACCAACGAGCTGTCTAGCCACATGAGATGGGGTGCAGACCAGCTGACAGGCTGGATGCGTCCCTCTCCAGCACACGTTTTCAAAAATGGCTATTTTAATAATGACTGTTCGCCCATGTACTTCCAGCCACAAACCCTCCTGCTGGGTACACAGGGTGCAGTATAGGGCCTGCTCCTGCCCTGCGGCCAAATAAACACTGGCTAATGATAACTGGGAGCTTTCCTTTTAAGGAACAAGGAATTTAGCCAATGCTGCTTGTCAAAGGTCAGCTACTTTCAACCTTGAGAAAAAGGTTTTCTGGCCTGGGGTTGTGGCATCAGCCAGGCTGTTGAAAGGCACAAGGTGTCGAGTTGAGATCTGGCGGCCTGAATGCTGGTGCTGGGGCTCAGGCCTGTAACATTAGACGGCTCCTGGATGGGTGCCCCATGCTCATCAGGACACGAATGACTTCCCTCTGTATCTGGGCTAGGAGCAGCTCTATGGGATGGGAACAGGCCTCCAAGATGACGAGAGAAACCTAGCCTTCTCATGCACAAACAGAAGGTTCCTCCAAATTACTCCACAAGACAGCTCTTTGCACCCTTTTGGGGGGATGAGTCACAAACGAGTTTATCCAAGGGCTATGAGAGCGGTGAAATAGGAAAAGATCCTTGCCCATAAAATGAGAGAGAGAAGCTGAGCAGTTGTTCCCAGCAAAGTAACAGAAATAGTCCATCTCACCGCCCCGAAGGCCACCATGGCCTGAAGTTACACCTCACAATGAGTAGTACCAGATTTAGTCAACAAGCACTTGTCATGTGCCACTTGTGCTGTGGGTATTCAGAGGTGTGCCTACTCTGGAATGGCTTGTGGTCTAAATGGGAGAGACAGCCAGCCAGCCACAGGTACACATGGCCTAGGCTATAAGACGCAGGTGTCACAGTCCTATTAGAAGAAAGGAGTGGGTCAGTGCAGGAGATCTGTGAGGCAGAGGGTAGTGGGCAAGGAGGTGGTGTTACACTTGAGCCTTGGAGGAAAAGGGAGAGAGGACATATTCCTAAGAGGTGTGACTGAGCAATGACTCCAGTGTAGGTGAGAGTGCCAGTGTGGCCAAGTCCCCCGGGACCAAAGCCTGAAGTCCTCAGAGAGAAGTGACAGGACAAAGGCTGGCAAGGTTGGTGAACACCTGACTGCTGGGCCGGATACTACAGGGCTTGTTTTGTCTGGGAGGCAATGAGGGGCCGAGGGACGGTTGTAGCAGGAGACCTGTATACCTGGAGGTCAGGTCAGGGCAGGTGCTGTGGGTAAACTCCAAACCAGGGAGCTGACAGGACAGACTGCTGCGTTTTTCACTCAAAGAATGGGTGGTGAGCAGGGCACGGTGGCTCACATCTATAATCCCAACACTTTGGGAGGCAGAGATGGGAGCATTACTTGGGCCCAGGAGTTTGGGACCAGCCTGGGCAATGTGGTGAAAACCCATCTCTACAAAAAATACTAAAATTAGCCAGGTGTGGTGGTGCACGCCTGTGGTCCCAGCTACTTGGGAGGCTGAGGCAGGAAGATCACCTGAGCCCAGGGAAGTTGAGGCTTCAGTGAGCCGTGATCGTGCCACTGCACTCCAGCCTGTGTGACAGAGTGAGATCCTGTTTCAAAAAAGGGAGTGTTTGTGGGCGCATTTGGCACAACATGCATATTTTTGTGATGGGAGAAAAGGACCAATGGAAGGAGGTGAGTCCTCCTCAACTCCCAAGCAAAAAACACTGCCTCTTAACCTCAAGCATCCTCCACCGCAGGAGGGGCAGGGGTAAGAATACCAGGGACCAGGCCTAGGCCTAATGGCTTGGCCTCCACTAAGAGAAAATACAGCTCCAAGACTGTCCTGGGAGTGTGTGCTATGATGCTGGCTGGGCCCTTCCAAGCTAGGCTGAAATAGAAGTTCAGGTAGAGCATGAACTCCTGTACTTGGAAAGGAGAAGCAGCTTAGGCTTCAGAGAAGGACCTTTATTTCCTGCCTCACCCTAACTTCCTAAGGCTGTGGGCTCCCCTAGGCTAGGTTTCCACAGCAGACTCCCTCTCCGTCCCCTGGCTACCCAAGCTTGGGCCCCACCAGGGCCATTGCCTCAGACTGATCCCGAGCCAACAGAAAGGGCAGGATGGAGGACATTTATTTCAAAACATTTCACTGTCAGGGCCCCAGCACCCACTAATTTGAAGGTAACCTGAATGAAATGTTTCAGAAATGCAGAATTATTAGCAGAAATGCATTTTCATTTTTAAGAGTTTTCCCCAGATATAAAGAAATACATTCCTGGGGACCCTTAAACATCATTACCTGGGATCCACAGATCCCAGAAGGATTGGGTGCTGCCATCCTTCAAAATAACAGACTAAACACAAATTATACTCACAACCAGACAGCTCTGTCCTTTTTGAAACACACCAAAGATCAAAACTTATAAGACCACATGTCCTGCCCAGGAGAAAGAGAGCACTCAGGCAGTGAGTTTAGTGAACTCTACTTGGCTTTTTTTTTTTTTTCCAGTCAAGAGGGAAAGATGGTTTGAGGTGATACCCTGTGGGCAGCTGGGGTTAAGTCAGAGGGGCTGCTGGCAGAAAGATGAAGTTTTGCTCATGAGTTAATCACATGTATCTCAGAACAGCTCAGCAGTTTCTGAACATGTGGCTTATTTGTGTATTATGGTAACTGTCAATCTGGGAGCTGCTGTTTCCCTCTGCGATTTGACAGCTGGAAGCTTCCAATCAAATGTGAGCCCGTCTCCAGAAACTTTAGAGGACCCTATTGTGCATTACTATGCTTTATTACTTTACTGCTCTTATTTTCCTTTTATTGTCATTCTCAACTATTCTTTTATATATATAAAGTACATATATATGTTATATATAGTACATATGTTATATATAGTACATATATATGTTATATAGAGTACATATATGTTATATAGAGTATATGTTATATATAGTCATATATGTTATATATAGTACATATGTTATATAGTACATATATATGTTATATATAGTACATATATATGTATATATAGTACATATATGTTATATATAGTACATACATATGTTATATATAGTACATACATGTTATATAGTACATATATGTTATATAGTACATGTTATATATAGTACATATATACTATATATAGTACATATATGTTATATATAGTACATATATATGTCACATATATGTACTCTCTCTCTCTCTCTGTCTATATATAAAAGAGTAAAATGTTTTTGTTTTTTTAAGACATGGTCTCATTCTGTCGCCCAGGCTGGAGTGCAGTGGCGTGATCTCGGCTCACTGCAACCTCCACCTCCCAAATGGATTTTATGCATCAGTGTGTTTTTCACAGTGTTATTTGTAATGAAGAAAAACTGAAAAGAACTAGAATCTTTCATAAATAGGAAAACACTTGAATAAACTATGATATTTGATGGACTTTTATATAGCCATCTGAACGATGTTTATAAATGGCTTATACTAACAAGAATGAATGCTTACGTTGCAATGTTAAGGGACAAAGGCAGGTTAAAAACAACACACACAGCAGCACACATATACCCACGTGCCCTCCTGACATATTAGGAAGAGCGATTTTAAGACTGGAAGAAAATTTACAGTGGTTATTCCTGGGTAGTCTGATGGGTGATTTCCACCACCCAGTTCAGTAGCTGGAACATGGCAGGGACTCAAAAAACATCTGTGGAACTAGTGAACATTTGCCAGATTTTCTGAAATGAGAATGCATTATGTATTTGTACAATAAATGCACTTTTCCCTCAATATCTGAAGTTGTATGCTGTTCAGTATGATCACATCTACGGAAAACTGGTGAAAAACAAACAAAATCATATATATAGGAAAAAGACAAGAAAGAAATAGTCCAAAATGTTAATAGTAGTAATCTCTGGGATAAGATTATAGGTAGATTTTTCCTTCCTTTTAAAGTTTACTTTTATTTTATTTTCTTGAGATGGAGTCTCACTCTGTCACCCAGGCTGGAGTGCAGTGGCGTAATCTTGGCTCACTGCAACCTCTGCCTCCTGGGTTTCAGCAACTCTCCTGTCTCAGCCTCCTGAGTAAGTGGGATTACAGGTGCGTGCCACCACATCAGGCTAATTTTTGTATTTTTAGTAGAGACAGGGTTTCACCATGTTGGCCAGGATGGTCTTGAATTCCTGACCGCAAGTGATCTGGCCACCTTGGCCTCCCAAAGTGCTAGGATTACAGGCGTGAGCCACCATGCCCGGCCTAAAGTTTACTCTTAATAATAGCAACTAGAGGCTTATCTAATTCAGGCAGCTCATGTTCTCTCTCCTTTCTCTCCAATAGTATTACCAAGGTAAAAGCTGAGATTGCCTGGATCCTGCCTCACAAACTCTCCTTTAAGAACCACCCAGGCAGTAGGTGGCCCACGAGGTCATCTCTCCCGGGAACTGGTTTGCAGGCCAGGGGTGGAGTTATGAACCCTAGACTTAAAAATCCAGGCCAGGTGTGCTACATCTAAACCTGCTGTTCATCACCCGTGTGACCTTGGCCGGGTTACTTAACCTCTCTGGAACTTGAGTGCTTCATCAACAAAATGACTGGTGGGCTAGCTTCAACAGGATCACCTCCGAGAGGCGTTCTATCTAGAGCTCCTGTTCCATAATTTCAACATCAGAGAAATGTTGGAGTCTGGGGTGGGCTTGGAGTGGAGATGGTCCTGTGAGTTGTGGCAAATTCTGGGACATTTCATCATCTCCTTTGACTCCAAATTTCATGTCTCTGGCCAATGTTGTGAATTCCTTCCCTTCCCACTTGACTTGAGCAAATGTAACTCACCCTTTTAGCACTCAGAGATCCATCTCTCTTCCTCGTGTTTCCTGCAACACACCCCTGTATCGCAACCCTTATCACAGCACTTCATATTTATATATGTACCCAGTAATCTTCCCCACTTATTCTTCAGAATGGGATTTTGTCACTTTTGTTTCCTCCTAGTACAATGCTTTATACATTTATGTATGCCAAAAAGTGTTTAACTAAATGAATAAGCAAACATTGTGATTTTTCTGGGCCTTGTACACGTTAGGAAATAACCTGTGGATAAGTTATATTCTTGATATAGTGTGGATGACTTATAAACAACAGAAATTTATTTCTTACAGTTCTGGAGGCTGGGAAGTCCAAGGTCAAGATGTCAGCAGATTCTGTCTGGTGAGGACCCAGCTTCCTTCTCGCTGTGCCCTCACGTGGTGGAAGGGAGAGGGGTTTCTTTTATAAAGGCATTAATCCCATTCATGAGGGCTTTGCCCCAATGACCTAATCACTTCTCAAAGGCCCCACCTCTTATTCTGTCACCTTGGGAGTGAGGATTTCGACACATCAATTTGTGGGAGGGGGAGGTATAAACATTCAGACCACAGACTTGAGTATAGTGTCAACGCTTTTTAAACAAAAAAATTCTTGCAGATCCCCATGTATATGTCTGTTATGGACTAAATTGTGTCCTCTCAAAATTTATATGTTGAAGTTGAAACCCCTCAATACCTCAAAATGTGACTGTATTTAGAGATGGGCCTTTTAAAGAGGTGATTAAGTTAAAATGAGGCTGTTAGAAGAGGCCTCAGAAGAAACAAACCCTGCAGCTACCTTGATCTTAGACTTCTAACCTCTACAACTGTGAGGAAATAAATTCTGTTGGTTAAGCCACTCAGACTAATACAACATCCCTGTTTGAGAAACCATAAGAAACAAAAAACAGCCAACGACAACGGCTATCAGTGGAAAACTGTTGCCACAAGGGCATTTTGTCTTTGCAACTGTTAAAATTATAAAGAATACCACACAAATGAAAAACAAAGGTGCAAATTGCTTGTAGCTACTAGACGCTCTATCCCCAGTTTTAGGAGCATTGTTCTAATGGCACTGGATAAAAGGAAAAAACTATTATGCTCCAAAGTTGGCCAAGGTAGCTGTCCCTCAAGTGGCATTTAGTGTGACCTGGGGTGAACCCTTGTCAGGGAGGGGCTTCTGACTCAGGAGAGTGTTTTACATCTCTGGGATTTGCCTGCAGGCCCCTTACAGATGGTCGGATAGCCTGAACCACAAGGGACCATCCTGAAGAAATAGGAACTAATCATCCCTGAGCCACTCCTCCCCAGATTCTAAAGCACCAGCCACATGTTGATAGGAAGGAGAGTGGGATCTCTCCAGTCTCTCCAACTGAGCCCTGATCCCTCATGCCAAGCACCAGACACAGGCTTAAGTTGAAATGATCTTCGACACAGGACCAGAAGCAAACCTATTTTGAAAACACAGTAGGTGAAGTTTAAAAAAGGTTCTGATCCTTCCAAGTAGGGAAGCTGCAGCTGGTGTTTTGACAGTGTTCAGACTGTGGGTGTGCAAGCATTTTACAATGTCTATTTGGAAATGCCTTTCACTGTATTTATAGACTCTTAGAACAATGCTAATGAATTTCAGTTCTGAAAAATACCAAAATTTCTGAAATTCTGTGAAGCATGTGTCTGGAGTGGCTGACACCCAATGAGGATGCAGCCCCTCAGTGGTCCCTGTTCTCCCCAGTCTGCCCAGCATGTGGGTACCATTTGGCAAAAGGGATGTTATTAAATTCAGAGAAAAAGGAAAAAGCCCATCCTTTTGTAATTTGCAAGCTCCTGCAAGTGTTTCTGTCTGGTGAGTTTCTATGCCTACAGCTGTTAACTAAAAGGAGAACATAAGAGAAGTCAGGAGATACTACCATATATCCAAAGACATCAGAAGAAAGTTGCCCTTACTTGTTTCTGATTTTTAAATCAAAGTAATGCAATGTTCTTATATTTTACCTAGCAGTTTTCGTTATGGACACTTAGGACACATGACTTGGATAGGCAAGTACTGGCTAAAAGTCTCCTTGTTTTACTAAAGCAGGAACCTAAATCACAGAGAAGAGACTGACGAGCCCAAGCACCACACCAGGTATAAGTAGAACCTATGATCCCATAGAAATAACAGCAGCTCACCCCCTTTGAGAATGAAAAAAGAAAAAGAAAAAAGAAACAACAGCAACAGCTACTGTTTACTGAATGCCTACCATGTGCCAGGCACTAGAATAAGCACTTAAAAAAAAAAGAAAAGAAAAGAAAGAAAGTCTCACTCTGTTGCCCAGGCTGGAGTGCAGTGGCATGATCACAGCTCACTGTAGCCTCGAATTCCTGGACTCGAGTGATCCTCCTGCCTCAGTCTCCTGTGTAGCTGGGATTACAGGTACATGCTACCATGCATGGCTAATTTAAAAAAAATTTTTGTAGAGATGGGGCTCTCACTATATTGCCCAGACTGGTTTTAAACTCCTGGCCTCCAGCAGTCCTCCAGCCTCAGCCTCCCAAGTCACTGGGATTACAGGCATGCTTTAAATACTCAATCCTCACAACCACCCCTTGAGGTACCTACTATGCGCAGCCCCTTGAGTGAAGGGCTCATTGCCCCTACTGCCTGCTGGGAGTGCTGTCAGCAGGCAGCTGCCAGTTGTCAGCTATTCCAGGGACCATCTCAGCTGCAGAGAGCCTCCTCAGCCAAGGCACTCCCTCCCCTCCAGGGCAGCCCACACCCCATGGTATCAAAGTCTCAGCCATCTCAGCCCAACATGGGATGACTCAGATGGGCCATTTTGGCTCCAAAACTTTCCACGAATTTGGCCAAGGCTTTTTGAGCCAGTATCACATCATGACTTCTCCCTCTGCCCAATCCTTCTTCCTTTTTGCTTCATAGGTATTGAACTCTAAAACATATCTTCATGTTAAATGCTGGCTCAGGGTATGCCTTCTAGAGAACCCCACCTGTGACAACCTTGTTTTCATTACGTAGATAAGGAAACTGGGGCTCAGTGAAATTAAGTCACTTGCTGATTAAGGGTCATAAAAGCAGTAAAGTGGCAGGGTCTAGAATTGGGCCTATTAAGTCCAACTCCAGAGCCCAAGCTCTTGACTCCTTCTCGAAGCTGCTTTAGTCAGCCTTCTGGTCTTCCAGGCTGGGGATCTGGCCTTGGAGACAGTGAGTTATCAAGGACGCCAGGCAGCCTGTGTCACCCCGGCTCACTGCCAGCTAAGTAAATTACCTTTGCCTCTCTCAGTTTAAAAGTACTACTAATAAACAAAAATCATGCACTCGACCTATCCAGAGGGGCCTGTTCTTCCCACTCAGACTCAAGATATAAGATGGGGCTCGTGCACAGACGGCAATGTGGAAGATGCACCATGTGCATCTCTCGAGACCATGAACTCAGCCAGTGGCATGGCCCAATTTAGCCTGCGTTGGGACAGTTAAGCCAAGACATGTGGTACAGACAAGGTGTTGAAGTGCACAGGAAGCCAAGGCAAGCAAACAAACAAGTAAATTAGCAGTAGCACTAACAGCAGCCACAAAAAAAAAAATACCAAAAAGAACCCACAAACCTTTTGGAGGTGAGCAAGGATGAAAGAAGAAAGAGCAAATCTACCGATTGCTACTGAACCAGAGTCCAAGTCCATATGGTGACTCTTTTTGGCAGCAACACACCCCTCTCCGCCGCCACCCCGTGCCCCAGAAAGGAGGTACGAGTGTTTGGGCTTCAACTGCCTACAAAATTTGACAAGGAGGAAAGAAAGCTGGGAAGAAAAGGAAAGGAAAAGAAATAGAAACGCCCCATTGCCTGTGCTTAGGAAACCACTGAGGCACACACCACACATCCTCTATTGTTCATCACTTTTCATTGCATTGGGAACAGATGATAATGGATGTCAAATGTGCAGATCCTAGAGAAACCACTCGAATTATCCTATCTTCTTTTTTTATGACAACTTTTTACTTTATTTCAATAGCTTTTGGGGTACACGTGATTTTTGGTTACGTGGATGAATTGTACAGCAGTGAAGTCTGGGATTTTGGAGCACCTGTCACCTGAGAACCTATCTTCTTTCTTTCTCCAACTCTGCAACCTTGCTTATCACTCCCTCCTAGTGTAAAACTACTGCATCTCATTGTTTACCTCTGTGGCCCTGTCCAGTCGGGTGCCTGAGGATACAAGGCCAACGCAAGTAAGCGCTCCCTTCCTGCTCTCCTGGCTGCCTACTTATAACATCTCAGACTTCAGCTCTGATTGTTAAAGGTGAGTAGAGACTACCCAGCTGAAGCCCCCATTTTATTACAGACAGAGGTCCTGTGCTCTGAGAGTGGGGAGTGATATACCCAAGGCCACCTAGTTGATTGGTGGCAGAGCTGGAACCAGATGGAAAGTTCCTCATGCCAAGCCAGTCCAATCTTTTCCTACCACATTTGGGATGGCAATAATGTAAGTGAGCATCCGTGTGCACAGGTTTTATGCTCCAAGAGATGTTTTTCTCTCAAATGAACAGCAACAAGAGGGCCCTGCCCATCTGTGAAGATAGCAGATGCAAAGCCAGTCCTTCAGAAGCATTCTGCCCCAGGAGGGATGTTACTGCTCATGGAACTTGGATCCTTCCATCAGGAAAGGACAAAATGGGAGTATCAGTAATCCCAGTTTCCTTTGCTCCTCAGATGGAGGGCAGGAGGAGCCTCCCTCCCTTTCCCAGAAATCCAAATCCAAAGGTTCTGCTGTTATCTGCTATGAGTCCCCACATACTCACCTGGTAGCCAAAAATGTCCCAGGAATCACAGGAACTTTTGGACTGAAAAAGTGGTACCATTTAAATGTGGGACAAGCAGAGGGAGGCCAGGGGCACAAGAAGCAGAAACCAGAGTGGTTTTCCTGGCAGCTCTCCCTTTGCATCGTGCGTCCTTGTCTGGATAAGCACAAACAAGCTGGGCTATTTATAGATGGTGAAGACACGCTGGAAGGTGATGGGAAAGTGCTCACTCAATTCCCCTCCAAATTCCTGTTCATTGTGCAGACTCTGCAAATATATCTGGAAGCAGGCCTCTCTCCAGAGCCCATCCAGGGCCTGACAAGCCCTGCAATCCACTATGGCACAAGGATGATGACATCCATAGACGTCGCCTGCAAACCCACAGCTTGACATCTCAAAGAGGCGCAAGGGGCTTTAAGGATGCTGAGCCCCCATCTTGGGCAGTGTCTGGAGGAACGAGAATTCATCATCATGTGACTGTGAGAAAAGTTTGCAGGGTGCCGTGTGGAGGAACCGTACTACTCAAAGACATAGCCCATGGAAAACACATTCTAGAAACCAATTAGTACAAAGCATGCGTGAGGTGTTAACATTTCCTACTGTTTCACTGCCTGATTCTGGCCATCAGTGGCAGGAAAATCCATGTGACTCAGCCTGGGCTGAGGCTAAATCCCATCACTATGGTTGATTCACTTTATGTGTGGGAGGAAGGAAAGAGAGTGAGAGAAGATAATATGTACAAGTGGAATGAGGTCAGCAAATCATGCAGATGTCCCTAAAGTATGACAAGGTACTTCCCCCCATGCCTGTGACCTATGGGACTACCTTCCATCAGTTGCTGGCCTTCCCTGGGTCCTGGCTCTTGCTGCAGCTGGGGGAGGCCACTCATGCTTCCACCCGGAGGATGTTCACTTTTCCACTCCCTTGGGGCCCCAGAGCCTGATGCAGGAACCCCTCCCCCATGGAGGTCACAGATTTAGTAAGTGCCTCTCAAGTTGCCAGGCAATGAGCTAGGCCCCTGAGGTGGAGCAGTTTGTTTAAACTCTCCACACCTGAGCAAGGTAGGCCTTGTGGTGTCATTTTGCAGGGGAGGGAACTGAGTGAGACTCAAGGTGGTGAGCACCTTGCACGAAGTCACAGGGTATCTAAGAAGAGGGTTGGGGTTTCAACCCCAGTGTGCCTGGCCCCAAAGCCCAAGCAAGCAGTGGGTGGGCCTGGTTACCATAGTTAACTACTACCTAGAAGAGGGCCAGGGCAAAGGTAGGCACTTAACGAGTATTTGAAACAAACAAATGAATCATACATACACATACACACATATACACACACACAAATTTTCTTTCCTTCCTGAATCTATATCTAGCACCCATTCTCCATCTTTTTTCCATAGCCAATTTCTCACAAGACAAGTCTACCCACGCTTGGCCGCTTGCCCATTCTCTCTTCAACTCACCCCAAATCTGTCTCCTGCCCACAACTGTTGCATGGAAATTGCTCGACTGGGATCACCAAGGGCCAACTAATGAGCAAAGCCTGGGTGTCCCTGGCTCTCGAGATGGCAGTGGTTCTCACAATGTGGTCCCCTGACCAGTAGCAGCAGCAGCAGCAGCACTGGGAGCTTGGGAGAAATGCAAATTCTCAGGCCTTAATTCAGACCTACTGAGTTAGAAACCTGGGGTGCCAGCAATCTGTGTTTCAACAAGCACCCCTAAACACCCGTGATTCGGATGCACGCCCAGGTGTGAGCACTGCTGATCAGTAGTTGCTCCACACTTCCTCCTTCTAGCTTCCATGACATCACACTCCTCCTACCCTTTTGGATGGCTCCTAGGCCTTCCTCCACCCTGTACGCAGTGATTTTCCCTGCTGCTGTCTCTACTCTTTCCTCCTCCTGTTCTCCGTAATCTCCTGCAGTGGTCATATCTATTCCATGCTTGTAACTACCATCTATAAGCCAATGGCATCCACCTCTGTAATTGCTTTTTTTTCTCTTTTTAATTATTTAGAGACAGGGCTTCACTCTGTCACCCAGGATGGACGGTGTGTAGTGGTGCAATCATTGCTCACTATGGCCTTGAACTCCCAGGCTCAAGTGATCCTCCCACCTCAACCTCTCAAGTAGCTGGGACTACAGACATGCAACACCATGCATGGCTAATTTTAAAACTTTGTAGAGATCTCTATGTTGCCTAGGCTAGTCTAGAACTCCTGGCCTTAAGTGATCCTCCTGCCTCTGCCTCTCAAAGCACCGGGATTACACATGTGAGCCACTGCACCAAGCCAACCTCTGTAATTTCTAGCCAAGACTTCTCTCCTGAATTCTCCAAAGATAAGTCTTCATCCTGATTTGTATTAAAGGAGGGAAACACACAAAAATCACACAAGGAATCACTAGGAATCTTTAGAAAGAAATTCACAACACCTGAGTAATCCCAATTCAAAATGATGGGCTAAGCATCCAAGTATTCAGTTTACCTGCTGACTTAGGGAACATTGCACACACTCACTAGCTTTCTCGTCCTCTTTTTTGATTAATGGATTGATTAGTTTATGCCTAATAAAAGCAAAGAGGTCTTTTCTAATGCTTTCTTTTGGTGGGCATGGGAGTTGGACACCTCACGGAGTGATCAGTACCTGGAAGCTTATTTCCTGCTACATCATAACCCCAAGGTCTTAAGCCAAGATGCCTTGGTAAATTTAAAGAAAAAATTAACTTCCATGCTCTTAAGTTGGTCCCAAGAGAGACATCTGCCCTTCCCTATGCACTTAGTTGATGTTTGGCATATAAATGTTTACTTAATCTTTGCCTCAAGCTAAAATGCTTCAGAACTCATCAGTCACTTAACTCCCAGTGTTTCTCTGAAATCCAGTGCTCCAGCATCACTACAGGTTTAAAAAAAAAAAAAAAAAAAAGCGATTCCACTGCGTGCTGCCCCTCCCCTTATCCTATGCTCCAATTCTCTCAGTATAGCCTCCAGCTCTTCACAAGAAGTCCACATGGTATGTTTAACATTTAAAGCAATAGGTCATCTCCAAGTGGCATAGGTCTGGAAAGTCACTGGGCCTCCTACCCACATCCTGGTGTCCATCATCCAACTGCCTATCTTCGAAAGCAATTCCTGGGCACATGTTTCCACATGTAAAGTCAATGGACAGTGACCTCTGGGATGTCTGATTCATAGCAACCAACTCCCCCATATCTGGACCCTTCTCATTGAATGGTCCGCTTCCATCCTGACATTCTCAGCCACCGGCCAAAGCAAAAGCTGTTAATTCTGCTCTGCCCGACAGAGGATAGAGCCAGCAGGCTCACACCACCTGCTACCACACTGTCAAACCCTCTTGTCACTATCATCAACTCCCAGAACACACCAGCACCCATGGGAGGACACTGGCTTGTAGAACACTGGCCTCCCTGACTCCAGCTCTTGCCATCTTCCTGAGCCTATGGTGGCCGCGTGGGTGATCCATCCCCAACTCCGGCCCCTCCTTCCTCGGTATCTTCAGTTCTATGACCTTCATTCATTCATCTTCAGTCACCCACATTTGTGGCCACAACCATTGCGAATGTTTTCATCTTCCAAACAAACCCACCTCCAAGGTTGTAAGCACCAACCTCCCCTTTCTGATCACCATCTCCTGTGCTTCCTTCCAGCCATCAACTTTGCCCTGCTCCCACTCCATCCTTGCTGGCCTCACTTCCTCTCCTTCATCCCAGACCTTCTCCCCACATCTCTAACTCAAGGCTCCCTGACACCTGCCCCTGGCCACTCAGAGAGCATGTGCTACAGCGGGAGACAGGCAAAGCTCCCCAACTCACAGTGAAGGTCCTGCTCTAGCTTCTCTATTCTTTGGGAAGAAAATGACTAATCCTTATGCCTTGGGATGTCTGAGTTTGGGAGGATTAACAAGCCTGCTTTGGACTGGTCAGGCTGCTTCTATCTCTTGCCCTATCAGAATTATTTCCTTTTGAGGGTACACACCTGCCCTGCCCCTCAGGTTTCTTGCTTGCTGCCTTCCACTGCATGCAATTACTAGAGCTAAGGGCAGCCTGCCTCTCTCCAGCATTTCCTTGGGTTTTTCTTTTTCTTCTTTTGGACTCTTCTCCCAAGTCTCAGGAACTCTTTTCACAGAGGAACCCATTTTTATTCAATTGCTAATACACATTATTATTATTATTATTATTATTATTATTATTATTATTATTTTTGAGACGCAGTTTCACTCTTGTTGCCCAGGCTGGAGAGCAATGGTGCAATCTTGGCTCGCTGCAACCTCTGCCTCCCGGGTTCAAGCGATTCTCCCGCCTCAGCCTCCTGAGTAGCTGGGATTACAGGCACCCGCCACCAAGCCTGGCTAATTTTTTGTATTTTTAGTAGAGACAGGGTTTCACCATGTTGGCCAGGCTGGTCTCAAACTCCTGACCTCAGGTGATCCACTTGCCTAGGCCTCCCAAAGTGCTGGGATTACAGGCATGAGCCAGCGTGCCCAGCCCACCATTGAATTTTTAAATCAATGCTGGTATTACATTTTTGAAAGTCTTTTCTTCCTGTTGAAATTCCACATGAACTTACTTTCTAGAAGTGGGGAGAACATTCTTACTAAAGGTCAAGTATATTACTATCTGAGGAAGGGAGCGATCACTGTAAGAGCCTTCATGTGCGTTTCCACTTGCTCAGGCTGAACACAGACTGCTGACTGATGTCACTGTGGTTTTCCTAGATATAATTCCTAAAAACTGTGAACTGGAACACCTGGGTCTGACCAGGACTAATATAATTACTAATTATAGTATTATTATAATTATTAATAATTATGGTGCTATTAATAATATATATTATTTATGTATACTTATAACTATATTAATATACTAATATATTTATTAACACATATGTATATATTTGTTAACATATATTTATATATCAATGGTATATGTTTATATATTTCTAAATATATAAATATATATCATTTATATTTATATTTATAAATATATATTGTTAATATATATTAATGATATATTTCTAAATATTTATATTAACAATATATAAAATATATATTACAAATATATGAATATATATTTGTAATATTCTTTTCTATATTTCAAAATAGATAAATATATATTAATTGTATATACAAAATATACAATGTCCAACTGATTTTATGTTACCATATTAATAATATATATTTATATATAATATATTTATATATATTTATATATAATATATTTATATTTATAAATATATGTCAATATATATTTATATTTATAAATATATATAAATATATGTATATAAATATACAAAATACATATTTATATATATATAAATATATTTATATTTATATTTATAAATATGTATTTATAAATATAAATACACATATATATATTTATGGAGGAAAGGTCTCACTCTGTTGCCCAGGCTGGAGTGCAGTGGCACCATCACAGTTCACTGCAGACTCAACCTCCTGGGTTTAAGCAATCCTCCCACTTTAGCATCCTGAGTAGCTGAGACTACAGATGTGTACCACCATGCCTGCATAATTTTTAAAAATTTTTTTGTAGAGATGTGGTCTCACTATATTGCCCAGGTTGGTCTCGAGCTCCTGGCCTCAAGTTATCCTTCCACCTTGGTCTCCTAAAGTGCTGGGATTACAGACAGGAGCCACTGTACCTGGCCCTGTAATACGTTTTTTGTTAAGTGAATATATCTGAAAGTGATGATGCTTTTCCTAAACTTATGTACAGTATTCCTTTTTTCTGAAAGATGTTAGCTCCTGTTTAAAGAGAAAGAAATTACTCTCCTCTGAAAGCCGCACTTGGCAGCAAGATTACTGGCTGGTGAGAAGCAGCGTGAGCCCGGACGCTGCAGCTGGAGTGGCAATGCCTGGCTTCCAATGAGAGCTGCTTACAGTGACTACATGTCCATGCATGCAATCGTCCATCTATCCATCCATTCACCTGGTCAGGTAAATCCTGGCGAAGATCTGGGTTCACACAGAACACAATACCCTTTCTCCAGAGGACCACTGACACAAGACTATTTGAATTAACATTCCTACCTCCACTAACTTGGCAGAAGAAAACAAGTGCATAAACCAATATACAGGTTGGTTGTTCAATGTAATCGCTTAGCAAAAAAATATAAAGTGCATTAAGTACCAAGGAACAATAAGCCTTTCTCTGACTTTTAAAAGTGTTTTTGTGTGGCAATCCATGGCATAATAGGTTACTTAGAATGTAAGACACGCATACTAAATGTACTAAATGTACTAAATGTACTAAATGTACGGAGGCTGGGAAGGACGACAGGAGAGGCAAAATTGAACAAAATATAAGCACTGGCACCTCCCCCTCTTTTAAGGAACCATGGCATTCAACAAGTGTTTGTTAAATGAGCCACTACCATATGCTCGACACCGTAAGGCATGTGGAGATGACAAAACACACTCTTGATCTGCTTTAAATCTGGTAAAGAAGTCCGGGGGTGTTTGCATCCCAAGTAGCACAGCATGGGGCCCAGCACTAGGCTAAACACGGGTGGCAGGCATTTGGAGGAGAGAGCAATCATGAGATCTAAGGGAAGGCTTCCAGAGGAGGGCATGCTAACAGGGGCTCTCAAATCTGAAGCACGAGCAGGCGCTTGAGAGGCAGCCAGGCAAGGAGGGGCGAGCACCGTCAACAACTTGGAAGAATCTAGAGCAATGGGTGTCACGGTGTGGATTCCACCACCACTACCAGCAGCAGCAGCAGCAGCAGCAGCAGCAGCTTTTAAAAATGTAAATTCTCAGGCCCACCCAAGACCTACTGAGTCAGCAACTGTGGGGATAGCACCCAGCCATCTGCTTTGAACAAGTTCTCCAGGTGATTCGGAGGCATGCTGAAGTTTGAGAACCACTGAGTTAGAGCAGGCACTGCCCTCCCTTAAACCGGCTAAGCAGGAATCTCAGGGCTTTCCTCCCCCACACCCTCCTGCAAACCAGTGTCTAGGGAGCTAGGCAGCCATGGAGTGTGTGGAGGGCTGGGGGCTGACCACCCTCTCCCAGGCTGCTCAGATGGCACGCACTGTTAAGAACAATTACATCTTCCACTGGCTTCACGAACCTCTCTCATGCATCTCCCTTCATGGCCTGGACTTCTAACTAACCACTGGATACTGGGAGACGCAGAGGCAGAGAAGAGATAAGCAGAGGAAGGAGGCAAATGGGACCTCTGTGAGCCCAGAAGTTTGGTGGTGATGCCACATTTCCCCCAGGCTTGCAAAGCCTGTACCTATCCTATAACCAGAGAGTTGCAAGCAACTCTAGAAGGCAAAGCAGCAGTTGGAATTCCACTTCTCTTCAATCAGATTGTTAGAAAGAGCAGCAGGAATATTTTGGAAATTGTTATAGAGCTAACGGAAATGTTTGTAGCCCCTGGAGACTAATAGAATTTGCCAGGGTGTGGCTTCAGTGATGTGCAACCTTTGCTGCTCCACATCTTCCCCATTTGTATAGCTCGTATTCTTTTCGGAAGCACTTTGGTTTAAATAAGTTTTTTCTTCTGATATACTAGCTTCTGGGCTGACCACACCACTGAAATGATCCTTGCTAAGGTCATCAAGGCTGTCAAGTGGCCCCAATATGTGCATGTGCAAAGAACCTTCTATTGCCAGTTCATAGTAGAGGGTGGAACATGGAGAGGCCTCACCAACTCAACAGGGGGTGTCACATGGAGGCAATTGTTGGACTGGACCTTGGGAGATGCCTGTAGAATGACACAGGTGAACCAGCTGCTACTTGAATGGGCTCACACGCACCTGAGATGACCACAGCTCTGTATCGACTGGGCAGCCAGCCCACGTTGCGACTTGCCTCTACATTTGAGCCTGGGAGTTGTGTTTTTGTTGTTGTCATTGTTATGAAAAGCAAATGAGCCATACTACAATACAGATGAATGTTGAAGACATCATGCTAAGTGAAATAAGCCAGTCATAAAAGGATGAATCCACCGGGCACGGTGGCTCACACCTGTAATCCCAGCACTTTGGGAGGCCCGAGGCGGGTGAATCACCCGAGGTCGGGAGTTTGAGACCAGCCTGACCAACATGGAGAAACCCAGTCTCTACTAAAAATACAAAATTAGCCAGGCGTGGTGGCACATGCCTGTAGTCCCAGCTACTCGGGAGGCTGGGGCAGGTGAATCCCTTGAACCCAGGAGGAGGAGGTTGCGGTGAGCCGAGATTGCGCCATTGCACTCCAGCCAGGGCAACAAGAGCGAAACTCTGCCTCAAAAAAAAAAAAAAAAAAAAGATGAATCCTGTATGATTCCACTTACTGAGGTACCTGGAGTAGTCAAATCCATAGAGACAGAAAGTAGAATGGCGGCTGCCAGGGGCTGGGAGAGGGGGTAAATGGGGAGTCACTGTTTAAAGGGTGCAGAATTTCAGATTTACAAGATGAAAAGAGTTCTGGAAATGGTTGTACAACAATGTGAACGTACTTAATGCCACTGAACAGTGCACTTAAAATGGTTAGGATGGTAAATTTTTACATTGTGTGTATTTTACCACTAATTAAAACTTGTCTTTAAGAGAGTAAATGAGCTCTTTTTGTCTTACTGCAGCGTGCCCAATTCAATAGGCAATAATCAAAATAACAATGAAAATAATGTTGATTTGCATACTTGGGAATTATTTAGGTGCATTCCATTATCATCCTCTATTTACAGATGAAAAAAGTGAGGTGAGAGGATAGAGTAGCCAAGCTCCTACTCCTCCCATGAATGAGGTGGGCTGAGATTCCAGCCCTGAGGTCTGTCTGACTCCAACGCAAGAGCTGTGAAGCCCATGCAACTTTCACCAGGCCAACTTAGCTCATAAGAACAAAAATTCAGTGACTGTGTGTTGACATGTATACCTAAAGACCTCTGAGTCACTGACCTGCCCTGGTGTGTTACACCAACACATATAATACATATATATTTTCATATTATGGTAGAAAGTTCTGGCAATGAACTTATGGAGAGAATTCAACAGTTCCTTGCTCTGTGGTAGGTATCTCAGGTCTGGAACACACAATGTCCAACTCTGATTTCATGGAACACATGCATCCAGCCAGCTGGCGAATGAATTTGCATTCTGTCAAGCACATCTCAGAACACATGCCTGCATAAAGCATGTCCCCAGCCGTTGAGGGTCTTAGAGTTAGAGACGTTCCTGGCTCGGGGTTCCATAACAGGCTGTACAGTGAAGAGCAGAGGGAGCCTGGGCTATGGAAAGAAGCCCTGCAGAGCAGTGAGGGTCAGGGGTCGTAGCCACACATGAGATATACATACTTGAGGCCGGCACAACATCCAGGGGGACAAAGAGGGACACGCCACCTGCATTTCCAGGCTGAAGGGCAGTTGGCCTTGCTTCTAATAAGGCCCAGGAAAAACCCCTGTGTGTGAGCAGGGCCTAAATGCTGGGTACCCAGTCCTCATGAAACCCACACCGCACCCCTCAACCTCACACTCACTCCTGCCTGAGTGCAGGAGCAAGGACAGAAGTGGCCGGTGTCTTCAGATAATTTTGCTGGAGGATGTAAGAGGGAAGCTTGAGCACCCCCTTCTCCTCTCCCTTCCTCCCAAGGTCTGTGGCAGTCAGTTCCCCTCCTGTGTTCCTTCCATAGCCACCCCACACCCGCCCCGGAGGTGAGAGCACAGCAGTACCTGGTGTGTGTCAGCGGACCCACCGGTCTCTCCGGCCTTCTCGGGGGCAGTGCGCCAGGTCTGCTGAGAGAATTGGTCTTAGGTGGCCGAGGCTTTTTTGGCGGTATGGCAGGAACGGAGGGCTTCTGTAAATCCAGTTTTGGCTCTCTCTCTGGTCTTTCTTTAAATCATTGTTTAAAGAAAACAGATAGATCGAGTGTAAGTGACAGTACTTAGATGCAGATCACTCATTTCCTGCTAAAAAAAAAAAAAATTACTGATGCTATTTCTGAAGGTGATCATGGAAGGCCAAGAGCACCACTTATTCTTTGTCAGGTTAGAAGAAGTCCCACAGAGCTCACTGTTCCCTCCCTTGCACACCTTCACTCATGCTGGTCCTTCTGCCTGAAGCGCCCTTCTGGCCACCGCCCACCTTCAGCATACTCCAGCTCTTCCTTCGAAGCCTGGCTGAAACGTGACACTGCCATGTTCCCTTCCCAACAGCTCAAAGGCAGACTTCCTTCCTTCCTCACCTGAGCATTACAGGGCAGCGCTTTACAAACACGCTCAGACACTTTCTGGGTGTTTGCATGTTTGGCACAGCCTGTAGGCCGACAGCCCCTGAGGGCAGGGCCCAAGTCTGGTCATCTCCTCAGAGCTGTATGTGGTGCTGGCATGGAGTCAGGGCTCAGCAGAGGGCTGAGGGGTTTGGTCAATGGCCCACGGGACCTGCTGGGTATGGGAAGGAAAGAGGCCTGACACGTCTCAGGCTGGCCTCTGAAAAGGGCCATGAGCAAATAAAAGGGAGAGCATTTCAGGGAACAATGAGTTCTGGATTCTTCTTGCGCACAAGAAGTTTGAACTTGGAAGGCAAACTAGGACTTCACAGGTATAAGGTTTCCAAGGCTTTTTGGAGTCACAGATATTAGAATGAAGTTGAAGCCAGATCTGTTGGCCGAACGGGGGCAGTGTTCAGTGACAACCTCATATTTTCTGTTCCCAACTAGCCTTGCTCCGTGTGTGGCATAAAAAGCATACATCCACATTCTTCTTGATAAAGATGGAACTTGAGAGAGTTGCCCAACGGACTATAGGCAGGCTCCCTATGCTTACTTGTAAGATGGTACTCAGGACACCTTCTACTTGCAAACACAGACTCATGTTGTTTGGGTGCCCAGATGGTTGGCAAAAGGTTAAAAAAAAAAAAACCCATCAGGGCTGGGCGCGGTGGCTCACATCTGTAATCTCAGAGCTTTGGGAGGGCAAGGCGGAAGGATCACTTGAGGCCAGGAGTTCAAGACCAGCCTGGGCAACACAGTAAAACCCCGTCTCTACAAAAACTAGCCGGGCATGGTGGCATACACCTGTAGTCCCAGCTATTCGGGAGGCTGAGGCGGGAGGATCTTGAACCCAGGAGTTCGAGTCTGCAGTGAGCTACAATCGCACCACTGCACCCCAGGCTGGGTGACAGAGCAAGACCCTGTCTCTAAAAAAATAAAATAAAAATAAACCCATCAGGTACTATTATGCTCATCCCCACAATGTGGGGAAATATGCTCCAATCAGGAATGCTGGCAACTCATTTTATGGCACACAGGGGCCAGAGGAGGAAGGGCTCTGTTGAAATGCAAAGCAGGGGACATTTCTCCTATTGCAGCAGGACAGGGACAGGAACTCCAGCAGCCTGCTGGATGAATGGAAAAGGGAGTTTGTGCTGACCCAACAGGGAAACCAAGTATCCGGGTAGGGCTGATTCCCTGGCTTCCCTATTGCATCTGACCAGGGATTCTACGTCCCTCACCCGCTGTGGCATATAACAAGGGATCATGGGAGAGGAAGGAACCAGAGATGTGGGGCCACTTGGTCAGCCAACTAGGGTGGTTGTTCACATGTAAGCCTAGTCCATATGTCAGCATGGACTAGTGCAGGAAGTGTCCCCATCACGGAGCCTGGCTATTACCCAGAAACTAGCCATGTGTCCTCCATGAGGACAGAGGGTGGTGTCTGGTTATTTCACATCACACACTTTTTTTTTTTTTTTAGACAGGGTCTCACTCTGTTGCTCAGGCTGGAGTACAGTGGCATGGTCACAGCTCACAGCAGTCTTGATTTCCAGACTCAAGCGATCCTTCCACCTCAGCCTCCCAAAGTAGCTGGGACTATGGACACAGGCCACCAGGCCTGGCTATTTTTTTTTTTTTTTTTTTTTTTTTTTTTTTTGGTAGAGACAGGGTCTTGTTATGTTGCCCAGGCTGGTCTTGAACTCCTGGGCTCAAGTGATCCTCCCGCCTCAGCCTCCCAAAGTACTGGGATTACAGGTGTGAGCCACTGTGCCTGGCCATACCAATGCTTTTATACAAAGAGTTATTCATATAGTATATACTCAATGGCTGGTTTTTTTCTTCAATCCGTGACACAGACCTGGCCTTCACAATGAGGTTCCACAAGTCAAGTTCTAACTGCTCACTGTGAAAGAAAGAGGTATAGCTTCTTAAGAGCTGGCAATGTTGGTAAAATTTTTGGCAGGCTGATATCAAATATCAAATTTCACAATAAAATTTCATGAGGCCACCAAGGAGCACCTCCAAATAATTACATTCATTAATTCAGCATTTCTCTTGTGACTTAAAAATAACTGCTTTTTAAAATGGGATTTGCTCAGCCTCCTGTTCGTAATAACATAGCACTTTTCCCATAAAAATGTGTGATCAATCAAATCCTAGACACCTAATAAAATGAGTCCTTCTACAGTATGCAGAATTCTTTGGGAGAGACTCTCAAAATGGTAGGAGTCAAACGCGTTCATAAACCTGATTGCAGGACACACATTAACCTACTTTCCTGCCAATGACACTCCTGACCACCTTCAGGAGACGCTGGGGACCAAGCTGCTTTCCCAGTATTACCATGCCACCCTCCCCTCCTCCAACATCCTTGACCAAGGACTTCTGTCTGTAATAACGTTACCCAGAGTCAAGGGTCCATGAGTGACCAAAGAAAAGAGCTTTCATTTGTTTATTTATCTGGACGTGAATTTCACTATGCCAAATCCATCCATCAACAGTGAATGAGCACCTTGGGACACTAGGCATGAAGGACAGGCTAAGTGGAAACTGACAGATATATACCAGGCCCTAAAGGAACTTACATCCGACTTCAGGGTGCAGAGAGGGTGGCCATGGTAGAGACATCAGGAAACAGCAGCAATGTGTTAATTGACTAGACTGGTTATTTTTCATCTGATGAGAAATTGTGGTCCCACGAAGTACCACATAACCCTCTCCTACTTCCTTAGCAATAGGATTTGTAAAAGCAATCAAAACAAAACCATGATCACCATATTCCAAAGGAAAAGCAAATTCTGTGGGTATTCTGGACTAGCCGTGTAACAGACAGCTTCAGCTCCTGCTGTTCTGGAAGTGCCAATGAAGAATTGATTTCATACCTTTTTCTTCTGTTCTGTTTGGAAGCATTTCTGGTCTTTCAGGAGGTATCTTTTTAATTTCATGTTTTCTCTCAGTGGTGCCTAGGAGGGAAAGGGTAATAGTGATCACAAAATGTTTTCTGTACTCAATTATTACACCCACCAGCATTTAAATCTTTATCAGGTAGAGCAAAGTCAGTAAGATTTTTTCCCCTGAGTTGGGCGTTAGCATTATCTGGCAAGCACGAGCTGTTTAGAAACAGAGCAGAAGACATTTCTGGCCTATGTCATTAAGTTCACCTGCCTATGTATCCTTAATTTACAAGAATACCACTAATAATATTTTCTGATATTTAAGCCTGATTTCCTTAGGCATCAATATAGTCACAGGAAATCACCGGGTGGGGGTGGAGAATGTGTATAAATAAATGTCAATTATCAAACTTTACAAATAAGGGGCCACTGAATGTTGTGTTCTACCAAAAAAAGGGGGTTTCATAGGAATCTGGATCCCATTTTGTAGCCATTTTAAAACAGGGCCTGGAATTACCTGATACTCCTCCCAGTAAGAGGTGAGGTCTACATCCCCTTGCCAGGAATGTGGGTGGGCCTGTGACTGCTTCAATCAGTGGCAGGAATGATACCACATAACTTCCAAAGCTGAGTCATAAAAGTCCCTGTAGTTTATGCTTTATTTGCTGGAATACTGAACTTCCATGTAAGAAGTCAACTACCCTGGAGAGGCCACATACAGATGCTCCAGCCTATAGCCCCAGCTGAGCCCAGCCTTCCAGGCACCCTTGCCAAGGGGAGCCAGACACGTGAGGGAAACATTCATCTTCAAAGTGGATCCTCCAGCTTCAGCTAGTTCAGTATTCCCAGCTGAGGTCCCAGATATGACGGAGCAGAGACAAGCCAGCCCAGCCATGGTCTGTTCTTGACCCACAGAATCCATGAACATAAGAAGGCTGTTGTTTTATGCCACCAAATTTGGGGTCCTTCAAGTATTACATTTTTTCAAATGTACCACTTAGCACTTAGCCTTTACCCACATGGACTGCAGCTGCTCCCTTACCTGGGGTTTCCTCATTGGTGCCAGTGGCCTCAGGCATGTAAGAGCACTTGAGAAATAGCTAAAGCACAAACCAGTCAAAAGTACTCCTCTTATGTATGGACTGGGCTGAGTTCTTAACAAACTCTTTACATGACCAGTTCCAAAGATGGGTGCTTGGTACTAGAAATCTCAATTACACAACCTCAGAGAACAAAAGAAGTTAAAAAAAATATCCACCAAACACATCCTTTACTTAATTCCTCTTAATGACTCACTACAAATTAATCACCACATCTCATTTCTGTCAATTTCATATCTGATTTTTTTTTGGTAAAATAATCAAACGCAAGGAAAGTTGACGAGGGAGAAAATATGAATATCTATCTCCCCATTACAAAGCAGTTCCCACGATCATTCAGGCAGGATAAATGAGCAGTAATCTATAAACATTAAATGCCATCCTGCTTTGCCCCACAGAGACCCATCATAAACTTTGGTAAAATTGTTTTAAAAGGGTAAGAATTTGCCTACCATGCTACAATCTACTCACCTAACAATAATGAAGTCGGTATCATTCCTAGAGACACAGAAAGAACTGACAATCCTATTATACTGAAGAATCCAATCTTAGCTACATTCTAGACTGCCTGAGCCTTGGACTCCTCAACTAATCTCCACGGTCTCTGATCAATTACCAAGGCCTACAGGGAAAGGGGTCTTCAGAGAAAAGTAAATAAATAGCTTGCTTCAATTTCAGCACAATAAAATATATGGGCAGAACCACTAGGTGGCAAAATGAAACTGCTCAATGCAAACAAGGATGGGGGCGGAGCAAAAGATGTAATTAACATCCCATTTCAGGACTTAATCTCTAATAATTCTCAACTATGCCAAAGGGAATGGGAAAGGAATTTGGGGTCAAGTTTTTCCTCTTAACTTGGTGGGCCAAAAGAACTTAAAAATCACTTCTTAATAAGTTTATAAATAAACCAATCTTGAAATTTATTCATAATTTAACTGTTATAGAAATATAATTGTGAATGTGTAGAACTAAAAATACCCTTTCTCTTCTATTTTAGTTGTTAATTTTTTAAAATGCTACTTAACTAATAACTCATGGAGGAATTTTTCCCTATAATTAATTTTAACTATTATAAAGAGGAGTTCTACCGGGAAATATGAAATATCTTTTTATATATGAGAATCCAGTGTGAAACAAGCTACCAAATGTTCAACATCAATTCTTCCTATATTATTCAACCTGAATATCTGAACTACACAGAAAAAAAGTGAATTAGACTCTTCAAAATTAAACAAGAATCATAAGGAAAAGTATTTATTGCTAGAAAAACATCTTTTTGTTGAGGGGTAAGTGAAGTCAGTACAAATTTTGGTTAACCACATGGGACAGATATCGAAAATTCAGCAACACTATATACGCACAACAATGCTATGACCTGTGGGAAACAATCTTCCCTAAGCTGACCTTCAACTGGGCACATGAGAAACAGGGCAATTCAGTTCTTTTCTCCTCAAAAGCTGTTTACTTAAAAAAACCCAAACTTGTTTTTTTTGTTTGTTTGTTTGTTTGTTTTAATTCTTTCTGATCATTCTCATTGGGAGCCTAGATTTTTACACTATATCAGGGTCACATTTTAATGGTATGTTTATCTTTTAGGAAAAACAGAAGTATCTTTAAAACCTGCCTGCTGAGACCAAATCGTAACTTCCCAAGTAGTCAATCTATGGCACTTGAACCAGGAATCCCGAACTCTACACTGAGGATGATTTGAATATATGCAAAAAGAAAGACGCATATTTTATTTGATGGAACTGAAAGGTACATTACCTGCCCCTTGTTTGATGACAGGAGCGGATGGAGGCGGTGGCTTCTTGGGTCTCTGAAAAATTAATAAAAATTATACCACATGAGATTGTTGGCAAGCCTGTCCTCTCACAGAAGGACCACAGACATTGTTTTCTATGTGCAGTTTGGACAATTTAGAGAACCTCTCCAAAAAAATTGAGCAATTCTCTCTCCAGGGACGTCAGTTTTTGGCACCTCTAAACAAACACTAAAATAAATCCAGTCGGCAAAACAAAACTCCAATCGACAAATGAAACGCCATTTCCCCCTTTCTAAATTTGTAACAGCCTTCTGGAAAAGCACGGCTCAGCAAAAATGGCCTGAAACCAGCAAGCACAATGGTACTCCTACGCTGAAGCTGCATTTGCAATTAAGATTTAATCTGCTGAATAACCATGCATTCGAAAAGAGTCACTGTAAAGATTCAAAATTGAATCTGCTCTGGATGTAGGACTCTCAACAAAATGCAGGCTGAGGGCCCACTGCAGCCACATCAGGTTGCAAGCCTTCTGCCCCTTTCTACACCGAGGCTGGCAGGCCATTTGTTAGACACCCCACAGACTCATTGTACATGTGATAAACTGGAACAGAGAGGGATTTTTTTTGTTGTTGTTTTTTGGTTTGTTTTTTTTTTTTTTGCATATCAGCCGTGATTTGTTTTTCTCACATGCTGTCACTCTGTAGGTGATGGAGGTAGCAGTGCAATCAATGGCATTCATCCCTGAACTGGTTCCAGAGTAGCCAGCATTTTCTTGCCACCTAGGATTGACTGTGGGAGAGAGATGATCAGGCTGGACTTGGAAAATTATTCCATGGCCAAAAAATCCAGCCAGGGCACTGTTCTCAGACAGCTGTGTTAGGGGGAAGCAGTGATCTCTGATTCTGGGTGCATATGTGTGCGCACACGTGTGTGTGTCATTCTTAATGTTTTTCTGTATTGTCTCTATGAGTGCAGAGAAATATACTTTATTAAAATAAAGAAAGCTGCTCTAAGGGCCACCTGCCCTTACACACAGGTCCTCCATGGGATGGATGTGTTTCTGCCTCATGATCTCACATTATTCTTTCCCCTTTTGCCAGCCCCTTCTAGCTCTCTACTAACTCTTTTTCTTCCTCCCTTCTCTGTCGTTGTGTTAATTATCCTGGGGACAGATGTGTGTTTACCTAACAAAAGTATCAGTGAAGTTCTGCCAGTTAACCTTCCTTTACCTCGGAATCAGAGTACAGGCATACCTCAGAGATAACGCAAACTCGGTTTTAGACCACTGCAATAAAGCGAGTCACAGGAATTTTTTTGGTTTCCTGGTGCACATAAAAGTTATGTTTATGCTCTACTGTAGCTTATTCAGTGTGTGATAGCATGTCTAAAAAAGCAATGTACGTACCTTAATTTAAAAATACTTCACTGCTAGAAAAAACTAATGATATCTGAGCCTTCAGCGAGTTGTAAACTTTTTGCTGGGGGAGGGTCTTGCCTCAATGTTGACAGCAGCTGACTGATCAGGGTGGTGGTGGCTGAAGGTTGGGGTGACTGTAGCAATTCCTTAAAATAGGACAACAATGAAGTTTGCCATATTGATTGACTTTCTTTCGTGAAAAATTTTTCTGTATCATGCGATGCTGTTTGATAGCATTTTACCCAGAGTAGAACATCTTTCAATACTGGAGTCAATCCTCTCAAATCCCGCCACTGCTTTATCACTAAGCATATGTAATACTCTAAACCCGTTGTTGTCATTTCAACAATGTTCACAGCATCTTCACCAGGAGTAGATTCCATCTCAAGAAATCACTGTCTTCGCTCATCCATAAGAAGTAACTCTTCATTCATTCAAGGTTGATCATGAGATTGCAGCAATTCAGTCATATCTTCAGGCTCCACTTCAAATTCTAGTCCTCTTGCTATTTCCGCCACATCTGCAGTTACTTCCTCCACTGAAGTCTTGAACCCCTGAAAGTCATCCCTGAGGGTTGGAATCAACTTCTTCCAAACCCCTGTTAATGTTGATATTTTGACCTCCTCCCATGAATCAAAAATATTCTTACTGGTATCTAGAATGGTGAGCCCTTTCCAGAATTATTTCAATTGACTTTCCCCAGATCCATCAGAGGAATCACTATCTACGGCAGCTATAGACTTATAAAATGTATTTCTTAAATAACAAGACTTGAAAGTTGAAACGACTCTGATCCATGGGCTGCAGAACGGATGTTGTAGTAGCAGGCATGAAAACGGCATTCATCTTCTTATACATCTCCATCTGGGCTCTTGGGTGACCAGATGCATTGTCAATAAGCAGTAATATTTTGAAAGGAATCTTTTTTTCTAAGCAGTAGGTCTCAACAGTGGGCTTAAAATATTTAGTAAACCATGCTGTAAACAGATGTGCTATCATCTAGGCCTTGTTTTTCCATCTATAGAACAGAGGCAGAGTAGATTTAGCATAATTCTTTTTTTGTTGTTTTTGTTTTTGAGACAGGATCTCACTCTGTCGCCCAGGCTGGAGTGCAATGGTGCGATCATGGCTCACTGCAGCCTTGACCTCCCAGGCTCAAGAGATCCTCTCACTTCAGCTTCCCAAATAGCTGAGGCCACAGGTGCACACCACCACAACTGGCCAGTTTTATTATTTGTAGAGATGGAGTCTTGCTATGTTGCCCAGGCTGGTCTCAAACTCCTAGGCTCAAGTGATCCTCCTGCCTTGGCCTCCCAAAGTGCTGGGATTATAGGCATGAGCTGCCGTGTCTGGCAGCATAATTCTTAAGTGCCCCAGGATTTTCAGAATGGTAAATGAGCACCAGCTTCAACTTAAAGTCACCAGATGCATTAGCCCCTACTAAGAGAGTCAGCCTGCCCTTTGAAGCTTTGAGGCCAGATATCAACTTCTCTAGCTATGAAAGTCCTAGATTATCTCTTCTTTCAATCAAAGGCTGTTTCATCAATGGAAAATCTGTTGTTTAGTGTAGCCACCTTCATCAAAGCTAGATCTTCTGGATAACTTGCTGCAGCTTCTCCATCAGCACTTGCTGCTTCACCTTGTACTTTTATGTTATAGAGATGGTGTCTTTCCTTAAACCTCAATAACCAACCTCTGCTGGCTTCCAACTTTTCTTGTGCAGCTTCTTCACTTCTCTCAGCCTTCATAGACTTGAATAGTTAGGGCCTTGCTCTGAATTAGACCTTGGCTTAAAGAAGTGTTGTGGCTGGTTTGATCTTCTATTCAGACCACTCAAACTTTCTCCATATCATCAGCAAGTCTGTTTTTATTTATTTATTTATTTATTTATTTATTTATTTATTTATTTATAGAGATGGAGTCTCACTATGTTGCCCAGGCTGGTCTCGAGCTCCTGGGCTCAAGTGATCCTCCCATCTTGGCCTTCCAAAGTGCTGAGATAACAGGCGTGAGCCACCATGCCTGGCAATAAGGCTGTTTTACTTTCTTATCATTCATGTGTTTACTGGAGCAGCACTTTTAATTTCCTTCACAAATTTTTCCTTTGCATTCACAGCTTGTCTAACTGTTTAGTGCAAGAGGCCTAGCTTTTGGCCTGTCTCAGCTTTCAACATGCCTTCTTCACTAAGCTCGATCATTTCTAGCTTTTGATTTAAAGTGACAGATATGTGGCTTTTCCTTTCACTTGAACACTTACAGGCTATCACAGGGCTGTTAGTTTGCCTCATTTCAACATTGTTACATACCAGGAAATAGTGAAGCCCAAGGAGAGGGAGAGATGGGGAATCGTAGGTCAATGGAGTAGTCAGAACACACACAACATCGATCAATTAAGTTTGCCATCTTATATGGGCACAGTTTATGGTGCCTCAAAACAATTACAATAGTAATGTCAAAGATCACTGATCACAGATTACCCATAACAGGTATAATAATAATAAAAAAGTTTGAAATGTTGTGAGAATTACCAAAATGTAACACAAAGACATGAAGTGAGCACATGCTATTGGGAAAATAGCGCCAGTAGGTTTGCTCCACATAGGGTTACCACAACCATTGAATTTGTAAAAAACGCAATATCTGAAACACAATGAAGGAATGCACAGAAGAATGAAGTATGCCTGTCATTCCTTATTTACAAAACTGCCAACACCCCGTGGCCTTATTCTTCCCAGCCAAGTCCCAAGGACACCTACCCCTGGACATCTTCCTCACTCCTTGCTGGTCTGAATTTTTCTATAGCCAATTTCACATGAGCCTCCTTTCGCTGAGGCCATTACCCCAGCGACCTTGCCTCAAACCACAGGGCCCCAAATTTAAAAACGACAATTACAAGTCATCATATTTTCCAAGATTACTGGTCAAAGAAAAAAAAAATCCCTTTAATGTTGTGTCACATTTAGCATGTAGCAGACACATGAAATGTGACAGAGCAGAGCAGAGGGGCACCAGGGGAGGGAGAGAGGAAAATGTTGCACTAACAGACAGTGTATGAAGAGTGTGGTCACAGCAAGCATGTGTGTGAATGTGGCAAAGGACAGAGACAGAAGTGTGAAGTTTTGTTCGGAAACCCGGCAGTTGCAGAGGCAGTTGGGAGCACAGTTTTGAAAGGAAGGAACAGTTTGTGAGCTGTCTGTCTTGCATCTACCACTCTTGATCAATGCTGGCCAGGTGCCTGCTTTGCTTACTAGCAGAGGGGGTTCACAAGTTTTCCTCTTTTTTAATCCTTTACTGACTTCACTTTCTCTGGTTCCATCAAACTTAGCCTTCATGCTTTTTCAAAGGAGAAAAGATGCCATATTTTCAAACAGGATGTCTTTAAGGTAATTCTAAATAAAAATCAGGACCAGGGTTCTATGCGGCTGTAGACTGTCCCCCTCCCCAAAATGATTCATAAAGTATTGCACATGGGCCTACAATGTTTTTTAAAAAATGCAACAGGCGCCAGGCGCGGTGGCTCACGCCTGTAATCCCAGCACTTTGGGAGGCAGAGGCGGGCAGATCACGAGGTCAGGAGATCGAAACCACGGTGAAACGCCGTCTCTACTAAAAATACAAAAAATTAGCCGGGCGCGGTGGCAGACACCTGTAGTCCCAGCTACTCAGGAGGCTGAGGCAGGAGAATGGCGTGAACCCGGGAGGCGGAGCTTGCAGTGGGCGAGACTCCGTCTCAAAAAAAAAAAAAAAAAAAAAAAAATGCAACAGGCCCAGCACTTTGGGAGACCAAGGCAGGGAGATTGCCTGCACTCAGGAGTTTGAGAGCAGCCTGGGCAACACAGTGAAAACCCATCTCTACAAAAAATGCAAAAAGTCAGTCCGGCGTGGTGGCGCATGCCTGTGGTCCCATCTACTCGGGAGGCTGAGGCAGGAGGGTTGCTTGAGCCCGGGAGGCAGAGGCTGCAGTGAGCTGAGATCGTGCCACTGCACTCTAGCCTGGGCAACAGAGGGAAACCCTGTCTCAGTAAAAAAAAAAATGAAACAAATTAAAAATTTCTTTTTAAATGCAACAGGAAGACAAGGCAGTGTGAACTGAGAAGGCAAAACAGGTGATTCTCCAGCAAAATGTGACAGTAGAAAATTCATCACAGGAGTTCACTATTCTCAAATAAAAAGACATGAAGAGATCATTTAGTTGATTTCCCTCCAAACATCCCATTGTGACTGGATAAAGAAAATGGGGCTGGGGTCCTCCGGGCTAAGTAGTAGGTCAAGGTTTCCTGTGTGGAGTTTAACAGTAATAAGATATTAACCAGCTCCTATAGGTGCACACCCAAAAACATCCTTTCAACTCAGGCAAGTATTTAAGTCCTGAGTTTCTAGAGGCACTTGTTCTGTTTATTCTCTTTATCCCTCCCTCCATGGTGAAGGTAAAATGCTCCAGCTCCAACCTCAGGTGGCTTCAGCCTGCTCAATTTGCAGGTAAGTGCTAAAAAAAAACAGTGGATATTAAGAGCTGCAAGTCATCACAGGAGTCCCCCCTGCAGCTGAGATCACTGAGGCCCAGAAAGGCTGTTTCAACAGCTAGTTGGTAGCCAGAGGGCCCAGAACTCTACGTTTCTCAATGTCCAGACTACGGGAATTCATTTCACAAGAACCAACATGAATATAATGGTAACAAAGTCAATGAACCCACATTTTCTGATTTCTGGGAGAGCCGAATGCCTTCCATAGTCTTCATATATGGAGGGAGCACAGGCCTAAGTGCACATGCGTCTGTGTCTGCTTGTGTGCGGGGTTGTTGGCTGGCACCAAGACATGCAGACACCATCCTTCAAAGGATATATTAGCTAGATTTGATTTTTACCTTTACATTACCAGGAAGGAAATAGATATAAACGTTCTGGAATGAGAATGGCAGGAAGACAAGCTTTGTTTCCTGTGAAGGATTTCAGAACTGACTCTGCCCTTTGCTTGGCAAGACTGGCCCTTCCCAAGCAAAAGGCTCATTGGCTGGCTCAACTGTTCCCCTGGCAGGAATCTGGTTTGCTACTTTGCCTCTTGAGCTGGTTTGCCTTCAGAGCTCTGGCCCCAGAGATGTGATTTGGTAAAAACAAACAAACACAAACAGAAGTGTACCCTGATGGCTGGGTAACCTTTAAAGGGCTTCGTTAGAGGAATATGGTGAGGTTCTGGAAGTAAGTCTCAGCTTGATTTTCAGCAATTCTGGACTTTGGGAGACCTCCTCCACACATCCCACTAAGTTCTCTGGCGGTGTCTGTGGGTGAGGCTGGAGAGGGGACACAAATGGACAGCTCCTGATTAGGGCACCCCTTTGCAGCTCTAGAAACACATGGGGATCTCCACTCTGCCCTTTTCTCCCCTGCCCCTAGAGGAACAGCCACACCTTTGAAATGTGCAGCTAAAGCTATGCTCTAGGTGATGACAGTGTCTTAAACTGCACCTCTGTACCCTATAGAGTCCCCAGCAACTGCCTGCCCTGTCACCCGCACTGGAGATCCCCAGGGACCTAGGGAATCTGCTCTTGGAAGAGTCTTTCTCTAGTTTCCTTCCTCAGCCTCTGGCCTAGTGGTCTACATCCATCATCTCCCATTCAGACTGATGGCCTATTGGGTGGTCAGCCAGGCCTTGGCATTTGGTTTCTCCCTAAGATGCTCTCACAGTTCACCCCTTGGCTCACCCCTTCATTCCATCTGCCCCACCCTGAAAGTGATGCCTTGATTCCATGCCCAGACCCCATGATCAGATGGAAGGATCTGGGCCTCTCTTGGTCTAGGAAGGACAATCTGACAGGAGGCCAGCTTCCCCCTGCCCCTCCCTTCCACTCTTCCTCCTCTTTTGTACAAGAGAAAGCAGCAAGCAGGAGAGGAGAGGCAGGAGGAAGAGAAGATACACTCTGGCACCAACCAACTAAAGGACCATGGGTTCTTCACCAGCAACCATGTACCATGCATGCTGTAAGGCCCCATGAAGGAGAAGCTTGGGACATGGGCTCTGCCTTCAAAGACTACAGGCTGTAAGTACAGCTGGAGAAGGGAGAGGGAATACCATCTGGGTGGCTTTGAGAAAGTCCACTGGGGCTGAGTCAATAGGCCATACTCAGATGACATTAACTCCTTGACAAACCCCATTTCTTTGCATGTGAAACCACCCATGAAACTAAATGTTCAAGACAGATAATGTTTAGGTAAATTTTTTTCATAAGGCTGCTTATTAGAAGCACATATTTCTTTCTTTTGGAAGGCTAAAAAATAGGGAAATTATCGGGCATCTTCAGAAACTAGAAAAACAACAGTTCTTGTTATAGATGCCACGTTTTCAAACAAGATGTCTTTTAAGATGATTCTAAATAAAAATTAGGGCCAGGGCTAAAGGCTAAAGGACATGATGAATAATAAAGAAAATGTTGACTAAGAACAGATTTTACGGACTGAGTTGTCAGAAGATGGAGGCTAAGTAAGGTGAGGGGCCTCCTACGAATTTGGTATAGGGAAGGTAGAGTTAAACCAGCAAAATTCGGCCATTGTGGGAATCGAGCAAGAGACTTCCTTTCTTGCAAAAGTTTGGAACCTGCAAAACTTGTGCTAAAAAAAATCGTAAGAGGGTGGGTTGGCACATGATTATAATGGAGAAAGTGGGAAATCTAACTGATTGCATCACAATGTGTCTGGAGATTGATGTGAACAGGAAGGGTCCAGTCAGTCATGAAAACAAAGACAAATGGAGGCCGAAGGCAGTGGTGCAGTGCTCTTAGAAGTATCATCAAGGCTTAGTTGACTTCAACACATGGTTCCCTTGGCAGATCTTTCCCTTTGGTGCATGAAGGAGCCTCAAGTGATACCTGCCAGACCCTTGGTAAGAACAACAAACTCCTCTTGTTTTGATTCCTTGCCCTCCCGGAAAGCACCGGATAAACGTGGCTTCTGGTGGAACCCGGCTTCTAAGGAATCAGACCCATAGGGGACAAAATGACCGGGGCAGGCAGACCTCTGCGTTCCAGACTGGCTGACATCTGAGTTCTTGTTGTGATGAGTAAGCTGGCTGCCTGCTACCTGATTAAGTCTCTGTGACTCAGCAAAGGCGAGCCTGCATCATACTCACAGGGACATCTTCGAGGGCAGGTTTCTGAGTCCCTGAGGCTGAGCTCCCACTGGGGAGCATTCATTAGGGAAACGCCTATGGGAATCTTAGCAATGCCATCATTCTTGACTTGCACTAACACTGAAGAGCCCTCCAAATAAATGCATGGTAGATCAGTAATATCTTCTGGTGATTTGAACAGTTTCTCTTAAAAGAACTGGAGCCTGAGATTTACTTTTTTTTTGAGACAGGGTCTCGCTCTGTTGCCCAGGCTGGAGTGCACTGGCATGATCACAGCACACTGCAGCCTCAAACTTCTGGGCCCAAGCGATCCCCCAAACTCAGCCTCCTGAATAGCTGGGACTCCAGGCATGTACCACCATGTCCAGCTAATTTTTCTTATTTTTGTAGAGATTGGGTCTTGCTATGTTGCCCAGGTTGGTCTCAAACTCCTAGGCTCAAGCAATCCTCCCACCTTGGCCTCCTAAAGCGCTGGGATTACAGGCATGAACCACCACACTGGCCACTTTCTTAAATAACACTATCTTTCAAAATACCTATTCTAATTTTGTTCTTTTTTTAATGACAGTGAGCAGTTGTTTCTGCTGTTTTTGAGAGTCTAAGTTCCCCGTTAGCCTTCTGTAACAATGACACAGCACACACACTGCTTCATTAGAGTTCTCAGAATATTTAATCTTTCCGTTCTGGTATTCAATTTTACTGTCAAGGCCAAAAATAAACAGACAGCCATTGAATCTAGGTTCTCTTATAAATAGCTTACATAATTGCTCTAAAATATGCACCAAGAGATCAACGGATGCTCTTCTGGAATATCTTGAGGAAAAACCCCAAAGCATTTGTTACCCTGGTGAGGGAGAATCCACTAAGCACTCTCCGAAAGAAAGATGGCCAGGAATTCCAAAAGGCCTTGTAGTAACTACCTGAATTCACACCCCAGCAGAAAATATGTCAGCCTTATCAGAATGCTCTGCGGATGCCTACGGAGTCAAGAGGCCTGCTGTTGAATAAATGCCGTTTGCTTCTGTCTACCCTAATCATCACAGATCGTCCTCTTTTCTGGGTGAATGATTGTAACCCCAGTCACTGGCAAGACAAGATGACATCTGCTGACACCAGTGGCAGAACGTTTCAGACTCTAGCATTCACATAGTGCCTTCGTGTTAATGATTCTAATCATCTTCACACCCTCAGCGCAGCAAATGACAGCCCTATCTCCAGTCGCATTGTCACCAACTCACCAATACTCTGGGTGCAGCAATAAAGGCTGGTATAACAACCAATGTGAAGATGGTTGGCTGGTTTTTATAGACCAGAGGAGATGGAATGGGATGTTATACTTTGAATTTTCTGGAAGTTAAATGTTAGGTTATACAATCACTTTTCAGCTATAGGTATTACTTTGTCTGACGGGTATGACTATTGTTTCCCTTAAATTGGGTTTTCTGCTTCATAAGGACAAGGTTAAAAGACTTATCAAAGAGATGGCGGCTGCTTGTGGGGGATTAGAGAGATGCCCATGGGGCCCCAGAGAGCGTGCATGTCCCAAAGAGCGTGCCATGCCCAGTCCACTCATCACTGACAACTTCACTCTCCTGGTGGAAGTGCTTCCCTTAATAGCTTATGTAACACAGAGCTTCTAGAAAAGTACTGTATGGAGTAGCTCTCACCTGAGTGAATTTACTGCCCCCCCCCAAGACATGACTGGGAATTAGAAGGCATGCTTTACCCATTTGTTAAAAGAATGATCTAGATTTTACCCTAGTCTTCAAAACCCTACTGCCCATCACCACACAAATAACGACGTGAGGTAATGCATATGGTAATTAGCTAGATTCAGTCATTCCACAATGTATATATACTTAAAAGCATCACGTTGTAAACATTAAATACAATTTTATCTGTCAATTAAAAAAACATACTGCCTCAATCAGAACCAATAAGGTGGCAAATGTCTAGTAAGATGGTATGCTTGCTAAGATTCCTTGGTCGAAGGGAGAGGAGTCACCATGAAGGTCTTGGCGCCCAAATGCTTCAGGATGTGCCTAGCTTTTACCAGCCTCACAAAGATAGGGGAGAAGCGGGGTATGGGCAGACTGAACAGCCCCCTTGCCTCCACTCACTTGGAGAGGCCTATATCAAGTGTCCTTTCAGAAGAGTCTGGCAGGTCTCCATGGCCCTAAACGCCAGACCTAACTGCCTAACTCTAAGCTCACAAGGACAGTACCCATGTGCACGCTTCACTTTCAATCAACCAGCACAGTGGCCAGCCCAGAGAAAGGACTCAATAAATACTGAATGAGTGAATGAAAATAAAACATTTATCAGGCAGCAGATCCAGAAAAAAAAACCATGACAAATAACATAAAGATTATGCCATTCTGTGCTCACGTGTCTCTACCAATACATTTTCTAAGTTGCTAGATTTATTTCTAATGGCTATTTATCAAAGTTTTTAGATGCATTTGGATTCCTAGGGAAGCTCGCCAAGATACCAAGATAACTGTGTTGATTTGATGAGCTGGAGCAAAAAGAACTAGAGTCAGCCTTCTATCATTACTTCACAGTTTTAGCTAGAGTCTTCCTACCCTCGTGGTAAATAGTAATTATAAAGACTGGAATAGTTAATCTGTGTGAGGCATTTACCAACTACTAGGCACCATGTTTAAGAATTTATGTGCATCATCCCAGTAAATCTTCTCTCAACACTTCGACAAGGTAGGTACAATTATTCTCATGATTTTATGGATGAGAATGCAGAGGCTTAGAGACATTCAGTGACTCGGGTTTGGCTATAGAACAAGTAAGTGACAGAACCAGGATTCAAACCCAGATCTATCTGATGCCACAGCCTAGGGTCACAACCACTGTACTCTTTGTAATGTTTGCCATCCTTACTCCTGCGTCCTACTATTTCAAAACATTTCCTATGCAGTCACTACTAAGTGTTTAGTATCTTTTCTTCTCAGTGACTGATTTTGTCAAATGACAATCCACTATTGCTACAGTCATCAGTAAAAACATTTCAAGTGATTTTGCTTGGTGGAAAATTTCCTTATTGAATGATGAGCTCTTCTCTGTTGTGTGAATTTATTTCCCTCCTAAAATATGGGGGATGGGGGAGGAAACCAGAAGGTGGGTTGTCATCACTTAGATACCTGCTTCTACACTAGTGCTTCCTATACTGTAATATGCAAGCAAATCACCAGAGAACGCTGTTAAAATGCAGATTCTGATGCACCATGTCTGGGGTGGGGTCTGAGCATTTCTAACAAGCTCTCAGGTGATGCTGCTATTGCCGGTCCATGGATCTCACTTTAAGCATCAAGAATCTAGGAAACATTAAGAACCAGAATCCAGATTCTCTAGAACCCAAACTCAGACTCCAAGAGAGAACAACAGGTGTGGAACAGAACATCCTTCACCTAAACAATACAAGAAAGCAAGCAATCAAAAAGCTTACAAAGTGTGGCTAACTTAGCCTTTAAACCAACCTAATGGTCTATGGGCCGTAATCTTGGCAGGCGCCAACACCATCTAGCTTCTTAAACAATTACATCCATTCATCAAAGCAGCACAAATTCCATTAAATGCTACTTTAGTATCCTTGGCAACGAAGCCACCAGCACTGTAGCTATCCTTCCCACACCTCAGCCCTACTGGAATCGTGCCATGGCAAGATCTGGCTCAGCACCGTCCAGTAACAGAGTCCCCATGGACATGAAGTGGGTTGAGGCTGGGAAAGGTGGGCAGAGGCCACGCAAAAGCCTGGGCAAAGAACCTAAATATGGGATTGCTCCTCCCTTATACTGGAAAGTGCTTCTAACTTCCCAATATTTCTTATTACATCGTCAGCAGGGAAAGAATACACCTGGAGTGAGGCAAACACAGATGGAGTGGCTGATTTAAACAGTGGCATGGTCAAATGGGCTCCCACAACAAAAGAGAAACCGTGGATGAGAGATGTGTATATACTAATATACGGATATGTGCGGGTGTACTCACACATGTAAGCATATAGTGTAGAAAGATTAACAGGCCTCGCCCTGCATCCTCAGCCTTACAATGTGCTTTTCAACCACTTCCACAACACTGGCTACTTTCCCACCCCCAAGGACCATGCTATGTGGGATGCTGGCAGTCCACTTACCAAAAAGAGCACCCAAGGTTCTCACAGTTTATTTGGGTGCTGAAATGTGCCAGTGCTGCACCGAGTGCTTTACACACACTATCTTGTTTATGTATGCAACAACCGCAGAGTAGAGATCACTGTTGCCAGCTAACAGATGCATCCTATGATGAAACTTGTTACAGAGTATATGGCAGCCGAGGGCTCAGAATCTGGGTCTGTTGAATGTTCAAATGCCAGTGCTCTTCAACATTACACCAAACTTCCCCCATCCCAAGTCCCAACATGGGAGCCACAACTCCGCTGAAATCAAAGTGAAGGAGACTTACATTCCCTTCCTTTTCAAAGTCCGGTGGAAGTAACTTCACGAAGTTATCGGGGAACACGCCTCGTCTGCCGTTCAGCTCTCCTTCCCACCAGCCTACGTCGATGCAGTCCTAGAAAACAGGAGAACAGAGAGTGAGAGATGGGGGCAAGCAGCCTCCAGAGGGGTGTAACCCCCCTCTTCAAGAGAATGGAGGCCCTTTCCTGGAGGTCCGTGTTAATGAGGCAATGGTTACCAAGTCAGCACAAACCCCAATGTCAGAGGGGAAAACAAAAGCTTAAGTCCGCTTAACAATGTCGGCTGGTACTCAAAACCCAGTGCTGCTTTTAGATGCCCTGAATCAATAAGGTCTTCTTTTACCTTTCTTTCTTTCTTTTTTTTTTTTTTTTTTTTGAGACAGGGTCTCACTCTGTCGCCCAGGCTGGAGTGCAGTGGTGCAATCTCGGCTCACTGCAACCTCCGCCTCCTGGGTTGAAGCGATTCCTCCATCTCAGCCTCCCAGCAGCTGGGATTACAGGCACGTGCCACAATGCCTGGCTAATTTTTGTATTTTTTAGTAGAGACGGGGTTTCACCATGTTGGCCGGACTGGTCTCAAACTCCTGACCTCAGGTGATCCGCCCGCCTTGGCCTCCCAAAGTGCTGAGATTACAGGCATGGGCCACTGCGCCCAGCCTTTCTTTTTTCTTTAAGGATGGGAGAATATGTGTTTTCTTCATTTTAATTTTACTGAAATAAAAGTATTTCATTAACTGCAAATATGGCTTAGAAAATATCACATGCACAAATGTGATTAGCCTGTCACAAAGCTTGTCAATATTGAAAAAAGGTTTTGTGACAGTCAGCCAACCAGAAGAAAAATCATACTTTACACAAGCTCATTAATGCACTGCTCTCCTTCACCTTCTCCTTTAGATGTTGATGGCGCACAGTTGCCATCATGAAAATCCCTTCCTCCACTTTACAGGATGCAATGTTGGCATCCTAAATGAATGAATAAGGCTCTCCATTCTTCCAGAGTGAACTTGCTTCCCTTTGGATAATCTCTATTTTGTTCATTCATTCATCAAACATTTATCAAGCATCTACTTTGTTCTGGACACTGAGCCAGGTGCTAGAGAAAGGACAACGAGCAAAAATGGCAAGAGCCTGGCCTTTCTCATGAGCCTAATGGCCTCGTGGTTCTCCTGGGCACATAATCTCATGCCACAAAACCACTTCTAGTTTTTCCCATTTTCAACTGGTTGGAAGTCCCATTTGCTGGAGTTTTATCATATGTCTCACATTTGTCCTCCGAGTCCAATTCCACTTCTACCGCCTGACCCAGGGCTCATCCAGCCTACTGTAAACCTCCTCACTTGGGCAACGCTTCCTGCCCAGTATATATATAATATACACACCACTGTCAAATATAAAATTCCTTGAATAAAATCCCTGTAATCAGTTAATCTCCATCCCACTTCAGGCATCCTGACCCTGAGCCTGCTTTTTGTCCTATAGCAGACTCCCAAGTCTCGTGATCAACAACTTCCAGCTGAAGCCCAAAATGAGAAAAGGCTTTCCAAAAAACAAACAAACAAAAAAACCTGCTGATAACACATAAGGGAAAGCAAGAAGGTGACAGAGAAAGAGAGGAGATCATGTTCAGGGCCCATGGAGAACCCATGGTCTCCACGACACCAGTGGGATTAGAAAAGGGCTCAAGTACCAGATGTGCAGCTGGCCTAAGGCCTTGCTGTAGGGCCCTGGGAGAGCCATGGCTTGTATGGCTCATTTGTACCTTGTTAGATCATACATTCCAGCAAGGTGAGGAGCACATCTGACTTTTCACCATTATACCCCCAGCCATGTACACAATGCCTCATATAATAAGTATTTGTAGAATCAATGCAGACTCTTTCTAGCCCTGAGAGTTCTGCGATCTCCTCCAGTCCAATACTTGAATTACTGTAGAACAGGATGGCCTCTATCTGCCTAAACTCGTGGGAATTCTCTATAAGTTAGCATAAGGCCCACCTCAGGTAGCAAGTAATTCATCACCACCTTCCACTGCCCCAGTGGTATCTGTTACAAAGATAAGCTGACCCCTTAGGGTCTTCCTTAGGGAAGAGAGTGCAGATTTTGGAAATCAGTCCTTAGTCACAGACTATAAATTCTAGCCCCAACTAACAACAAAAAAAACCAAAGACCCTTGAAGTATCAAGTTCAGATTTACCCAGAACAAAACAAGGGTCCAAAAGTCTTTCAACATGAAAGGATGCTTATCTTTCTGGAAAAATGACATTGAGAAGTCCAAGTAGATAGTCTGGTCCTGCCCATGTCACATCACCCCCTGAATACTAGCATCAGTCTTCAAAGAAGGGATTTATGAACAGGAGTGGTGGCAGGATTTGGTGGCTCCTGAGGTTCTTCTGACCCTAGGATGTTACAAACATTATCAATGATAACAGAAAAACTTATGAAGGAAGCTGGGAGTAGAATTTCTTTGACCCTAACTCTTGGAATTAGGTTTCTTCAAAACTCAACTTGAAACTCACCTTTAAGAAACTGACTATGATGAATGCCTTATCTTTTCTCTAATGCTCAGTACAGTGTTAATTTGCAATTAATGATATTCAATTCAATAAACATCTATTAAATGCAAAATATATTTAAGCTCTGTAAGCACCAAACCTTAAACATGCAGATGCAGAGAACATGATCTCTAACCCCAGGGAGCTTAGAGATGTATGGGAAAGACAGACATACAATATTACGCAAGGTCCTTTGGGTAACAGGGATCAAATGAGTGCTCTAGTACCAAAAGAGGAGAGAACCATTAACAGTTTTTGCAATAATCTGAAATCTTTACATGTGTGAATGGTTTGCTTAGCTGAGGACTGGTCTTCCTTCCACATTCATTTCAGGTCATCTGATACAGAACTATGCCCACAAAAGGCATTCAAAAAAAAACTATCTTTTTTTGCAGGGAGACAGAGTCACACTCTCATTGTCTAGGCTGGAGTGCAGTGGCATGATCTCGGCTCACTGCAGCCTTGACTTCTTGGGTTCAAGAGATCCTCCCACATCAGCCTCCTGAGTAGCTTGGACTACAGGCACATGCCACCATGCCTGGCTAATTTTTCATATTTTTAGTAGAGATGGGGTTTCGCCGTGCTGCCCAGGCTGGTCTTGAACTCCTGGGCTCAAGGGATCCATCTGCCTCGGCCTCCCAAAGTGCTGGGATTACAGGTGCGAGCTACCACACCTGGGCTCAAACTTTCTAAACAGTGTAAATCCATGCTTCATCTTAGTCTTATGCAAATAATAACCCAAGAACCTTTTTTGCTTCACATGTGAGAAAAACAATATAGAAAATGTTAATGAGCAAAAGCCCATCCAGAATAACTTTGGTTTTTTTTGTGGTTTTTTTGTTTGTTTTTGTTTTTGCTTTTGTTTTGAGACGCAGTCTCACTCTGTCGCCCAGGCTGGAGTGCAGTGGCGTGATCTCGGCTCACTGCAACCTCCGCCTCCCTGGTTCAAGCAATTCTCCTGCCTCAGCCTCCCAAGTAGCTGGGATTACAGGCATGTACTGCCACACCCGGCTAATTTTTATATTTTTAGTAGAGACAGGGTTTCACCATGTTGGCCAGGCTGGTCTCGAATTCCTGGACTCAGGTGATTCGCCCACCTTGGCCTCCCAAAGTGCTGGGATTATAGGTGTGAGCCACCGAGCCCGGCCCAGAATAACTTTAGATCCCATACACCCCTACGGGAGAAAATGGTACATAATGACATTGTATGTCTCATATTTCCCCTTGGTGATGACTGGCTTGGATGGCCCATCTATATTCTGCTTCTTAAGGAAAACACTAACAGTGCTACTCATTGCATAATTCAAAGAAGAGAAGGGAAGCATGAAGGGAGAACACAATATGTCTAATTGTTCTGATTGGTACAAGAATAAACACAAGGTCCATGGATGAGATAAGTACAGTCAAAAGAGAAAACTGCCAGTGTGATTTAGTGCTACTAGCAGAAGTAGAAAAAAAAAAAAAAAAAAAAAACAAGAAAAATAGCCAAAGAAAAGAGTCTGCTATAAGACAGAAAGTGGGCACAGGGTCAGGATGCCTGGAGTGGGATAGAGATTTACAGAGAAGCAAGGCATTTTTTTCCCCCAGCAATACAAGCTAATTTAAGGGAAATAGGAATAATTTTAACAGCAAAATGAGAAGTGAAAATAAGTCCTCTTCAACAAACCAGACAAAAGAACTAGTCTTTTGATGGCAGAGATGAAGAGACTTGTATGAGGGCTGTGCTTTCGAAAGTATAAAATAGCAGCAAATTCTATTTATTTGTTTGTTTATTTGAGACAGAGGCTGGCTCTGTTGCCCAGGCTGGAGTGCAATGGCATGATCTCGGCTCACTGCAACCTCTGTCTCCCAGGTTCAAGCGATTCTCCTGCGCCAGCCTCCCCAAGTAGCTGGGATTACAGGCACCTGCCACCACGCCTGGTTAATTTTTTTGTATTTTTAGTAGAGATGAGGTTTCATCATGTTGGCCAGGCTGGTCTTGAACTCCTGAACTCAGGTGATCTGCCTGCCTCGGCCTCCCAAAGTGCTGGAATTACAGGCGTGAGCCACAGCGCCTGGCCTCAGTTTATTTACTGAGAACCTAAAATGGCTCTCAAACCTGGCTGCACACTTAGAATCACCTGGGAATTTTAAAAAAAAATGCCAATGGCTGGGCTAGACTTCTAAAATGTGCAGGACAGGAGATGAATCCAGGGGAGAAAAGAAAACCATCATGTCCTTGTGGGGCTCCCAAGCTCAGAGTCTAGTGGGAGAGGCAGACACAGTGAATCAGAATGGCACAGAAACACTGGCAGAAGTGCTAGAATGGATTTACAAACAAGTGGGACCAAGACAAGCTGGGCAGCCTGGAAGCAGAGAACAAGGACAAGAACTGAGGCAATGAGAATGGTCAAGGGCAGACTTGCTGAGCGTAAAGGAAGAGAAGAGGGAGAGAGGAAAGCTGTGCTCATGGAAGAGAATATACAGGAATTAGAGCTTGGAACAAACCCTGCCCCTCCAACATCTACTGAACAGTGATATGAGGTGTGAGGCAAGACAGCACCCACTGAGTGACAGGGGCAGAAAGGAGGGGCAGGTGATCAACCGCTTGTGAGGCCCGACTGCCATCAGGGCGGAAGTGGATGTCCCCAAGGAAGACGGTAGAAGTTGAGTGAAGGCAGGATGGTGAGGCAGTAGCTGACCACTGAGGAGAGAGGTAACGTGGCCCAAGTACTACAATTTGTTTCCAAATCTGGGGCGCTATTAATAAATTACACCAGGACCCCAGGCATAACTCCAGACGACAGTCACCTTCATGGAGTTTTAGACTCTAATACAAATGAGAAAGAGCATTGTAGGCAGGTGAGGGGATGAACTCTGAATGAGGTGGGAGGTAGAAATGAGAAAAGGAGCAGCATGTAGATGACGCTTCCAGAAAGCTGCTGTTTAGACATAAGCTCTATTGGCATGAACTCAGGGGAAAGTAGACCTAAACCCTTAGCAAGAATATGGAAAGAAATCATATTTCTGACATATCATTTTTACTCTTTCAAACTCAAGTCCTTAAAATGGCCAAAATGGTTTCTCTATGCCTCAACACCAGGGAGATATTAGGGTAACATATACTTTTCCCTATAAAATGCAAATGATGTTTTTCCTTTTAAGGAATGAATGAATTGAGCATTAGGCGTTGTGTAGTCCAGCCTCTGCGTTCTGCTACATCTCAGGTTATCTACTCCCTCCTAGCATACTGCTTATAACAGGGAACTCACTTTGTCACAAGGGAGCCATTCCTTATTTTGCCTGACATGTTCAAGTGGAACTCAGAGAGAGGTGGAACAGAGCAAGCATGGGCCATGTGACACTTAAGCTGTTCCCTAGTGACGAAAGCTCCCTGGATCTCGGTTTCCTGACACATGTGAAAATCTTTGCAAAGTATAAAGAGTGACACAAGAGCTGGTTGTTGTTATTGTCATCATCGTGATTATATGGCCTGGTCCGAATCCCTGAGGGACAATGTGACCAGGAGAGCTGCTTAATTACACTCATGTGCATTTGTCATGCGACCCAGCGCCATCCTCGAGTGCCAAGGAGCCACTCCTAGTCCCTGCTGCCTCAGGTGAAACCCCCTGGCAGCAGCTCACACACTTGGAGGGGGTCCAAGGGGAGGGATGCCAAGGCCCCGGGGTGTGTCTGAGGAAGGAGGCCTTGCCCAGACTTCAGTATCGGGCCTCAGTCTGTTCAATCTTGCCAGCATGGCCCCGTGTAACCTGGCCGAAGTGCTCCACACAGCTGAGAGCGACTCCCTGACATACAACCTGTGGGCACAGAGAGGGCACGTGAGACCTGGTGTGCCTACCTCTAGTCTAGGCACTTCAAATCTGTAGAAAAGACAAACTTGCCACCTAGCTTGTACATTGGTTAACAGAATGAGCTACAATCTCATCTTGGGCTGTTTTGTCAAGAGTACAAAGCCATGTACTAGATGAGTGGCTCTCACACCTGTCTGCACATTTAGAATCACCTGGGAATTTAAAAGAAAATGCCGATGTCTGGGCCAGACTCCATACCCATTAAATCACAATTTGGGGGTGGGGAATGGGCACAGGAAATCAGTGCTTTTACAATGTCCCTAGGTTTTTCCAGTGTGTAGGCTGAGAATCAGTGATTTAAGAGGAACGCTTCTCAAGCTTTAATGTGCATGCTTCTCACTTAGGGATTTTGTGAAAATGCCAATTCAAATTCAGTAGGTCTGGGGCAAGTCTGAGATTCTACACTTCTAAGAGGTTCCCAGGTGATGCCAATGCCGCTACTCCGTGGACCATACTTTGAGTCACAAGGTTCCTGAAAACGATAAGCTCCTTGAAAATGAGGATTCTTATCTTCACACCTCTGTCTCCATCTAATTCCTGCCGTAGTGCCCGGAACATGTCAATTCTGAATAAATGTTGACTGAATAGATGAATGACCCAATCTTCCTCCAGACTGTTGTTCCACTTCTCTCCACTTTCAAACATCAGAAGTGAGGTCAAACTGAACAAGGGGGAAGCAGGTATAGAATTCCTACACAAAGGAAGCTTCATCTATATGATCAGGCTTTACCTGCTGATCTGTTCTGAATTTATTATTTATTCAAAATTGTGGCAAAAACTTTAAAATTACCCCAAAAAGGAAGGCTACATTTTCTCAGGCATTGTAAGTGTCTTCTTTGAGTTCAAATGGGAACATGCAGCTTAGAAACAGACATTTCAAACCAAAAACTGAAAACATAAAAATGGGTACACCACTTGATGCAAACGAAAAAGAAATGTATTCTGCTCAGTCACTTCTGGTGGTCAGCTGCCCCCAGGCTCCCCAGTCCCAATTTCCCAGAAGTTATCCAGCATGGCTGTTCTTCATGACCTTCCCTGATATCATTTGAGGAGAAAATGAGTGTTGGACAATTTGGGTGAGGCTGTTAAGTGAGCCTCAGCATGCCCCCAGAGGGCCTCACACCCTCAGCATCCACCAGCAGTATGGAAACAGGCATTTAATATTTGCTAATGAACGCCTTCTGCATAGAGCTTAGGGGTGGGGGCTATTGAGCGAAAGTTCCATGGAAGCCGGGGCCCAGAAGCACTCATCTCTGCCTCTGCTTGTTAACACCTCCCCAAGAGATGCAATTATTCTGCATGGCTGGGATTTCTCTCAGAATTTTCTACATCCCCATAAATCAGTTACTAAAGGAGGCTCAGCCACATATCATGGTTTATAAGGTAAGAAGAAAAAACGAGGACTACACTGACTACTATTCAGTGTCAGAAGCAATGCCTGGCAGGCCAAAAGTAAAGAAAGAAGCCTGAGGAGACAGTCCTAGGGACGAGCTTACTCAAGAAAACACTACATTCCAAATGCCAACATCACAGGATAACTAAGGCTTAGGCAGTCATTCACTTTTTTTTTTTTTTTTTAGACGGGGCCTCACTCTGTTGCCCAGGCTGGAGTGCAGTGGCATTCCAAAGTAGAGCCATTGTTGAACGTCTTTATACAGAAGGATAAATACATCATGGCTCACTGCAGCCTTGACCTCTCAGGCTCAAGCAATCCTTCCACTCAGTCTCTCGAGCAGCCAAGACTACAGGCATACTCCATCATGCATGGCTAATTTTTTAATTTTTTGTAGAGTCAGGGTCTTGCCATGTTACCCAGGCTAGTCTCAAATTCCTAAACTCAAGTGATCTGCCCGCCTCGGCCCTCCAAAGTGCTGGGATTACAGGTGTGAGCCACCACGCCTGACTGGCAGTCACTCACTCTTTTGTAATACAACGAAGTCATGACCCAGAGTGGAACTACTTACAAAAAATCCTGGCTTCTTAGCAGGCAACAATTTACAGGCTTTGCTATACTAACTTTTGCTTTTTTCTTTTTACATACTATATAACTAGCAACAAGAAACTGGGTGGATAACACACAAAAAAACAGTAAACACATTTCCTCTTGGGGATGCCAATATTAACTGAAGCAGGTATCAATGCCTGAAAACTGTACTCAGAAACACCCCTATGTCTTCTTCAAGCCACCTCACATTTTCCTGCTTCTTCACAGATCTAGTCATTTGCGATTATATTATCTCAACAGTTGCTGAGCAACTGTGCATGCTGTTGTTCAAAGACTGGATTTTGTTGTCTTCCCTGAAAGAGTGTTGAGTTCTGCTATGGTAGGCAGGTTACTTGCAGGTCAGCTTGACTGGTCAAGGCTTGGGTTTTTAGGCTTTGTTACAATGGGTCTAGGGTAGTGCTGTTCCTGTGGCTGGCTTTTCTGGGTTCTCAACTGGATGCCAGAAGTTCTCAACACGAGGATAGCACCTCGTGTTTTTCTACTCTGCTTAGCTAGAACTCTAACATCTCCCATTACTGGTGATCTCTGGGATATCCACTCAGCTCACAGCCCCTCCAAGTTCTTATTTTCTGCCAGGCCTCGTAGAGTCTTGCCCTACTGATGCCTGGCTTAGTATTTGGCCAAATCATCTAGATCTATACATTTCTGACACTCTTTCCTTGTGTAGCTCATTCTTTTGCAGTTCCCTGCCCTGAAAATTTGAGCCACCCCAGCAGTCCTGAATTACAGCTTGTTTCCTCTATCCAATAAATGAGTCTGCTACTCTTTGTTTGGGCTCCACTGCCCTGTGCTGCAATTTAGAAAGTGCCTCTAGGCAAAAAGCCAGGGTTGATGTAAAACTCACTTTTATGCTTCCCTTGTCTCCAGGATCACATTCTTGTGATATGTATTGTCCAATGCCTAAAAACAGCCACTTTGTATGTTTTGGCCAATGTTAGAGTTGTCTATGACAGGAAGGCAAGTCTAATTACCCTTTACTCTATAATAGCCGCAACCCCAAGTTATATATTCCCTCAAAAAGATTGTTTCTTCATTTAGACTGGACTTTTTCATTCTAGATATAATAGAACTTTCAGCTCTATCTTTAAAAGTCTGAGCTATTTCAAGGTCTAATTCCCAAAAGAAGTCCTAGAGAAAGAATGTGTGAAATGAAGACACATACAAGGGTTTTTAATTATCCTGGAGTTTCCTTTGCCAGTCATATGTTCCTTTCTCTAACAAGGAAGGTGAAGTATTCCCTAAAGTAGAGCCATTGTTGAACATCTTTATACAGAAGGATAAATACATGCAGTAAGTTAGTGCCACCTAGCTTTTTTCAGATAATGGCGCACACATAAAATAGTAGTTATTTTTATGACATACTGCTGGAGGCCAAAGGTTGTTGAAGGCCATCAGCCCAGAGGGGTGATTCCGGCCAGCTAAGGCCCTTCCCATCCACCCTGGAGAGCTGAAGAAATCACCACCCTACCCTCACAGCACATAGGTGAGGAAATGCTACAGAAGTAACCTTTGAGTTCAGATGTCATTAAGAAATGAGGGGAAAAAACAAAAACAAAAACAAAAAAACCTTAAACCAAATCTCAGTCCCTAGTAAGAGAACAGGACTTCCACAGGTGTTCAGTGTCACGAAGGCAGGAATCAGGAAGGCCCATGGGGATTTTCATAGAAGACAACCAAGGGCAGAAGCCCTAAAGGCCTCTGTGTGCTCAGCCTGTTTTCCTCTTAGAAAAAGATGTTTCTAGGGCTAGGCGCAGTGGCTCACGTCTGTAATCTAAGCACTTTGGGAGGCCAAGGTGGGTGGATCACAAGGTCAGGAGTTCATGACCAGCCTGACCAACATGGTGAATCCCCGTCTCTACTAAAAATACAAAAATTAGCCGGGCGTGGTGGCACACACATGTAATCCCAGCTACTCAGAAGGCTGAGGTAGGAGAATCGCTTGAACCCAGGAGGTGGAGGTTGCAGTGAGCCGAGATTTTGCCACTGTACTCCAGCCTGGGTGACAGACTGCGAGACTCTGTCTCAAAAAAAAAAAAAAAAAAAAAAAAACAGTTTCTATCTGGAGCCTCTTCAGAGAACAGCACCCAACAGATGCTGCCATGCTGGCCCAACTCCAGGGTGACCATTCATATTTGGTACTTCCTAGAGTTGTGGAACATGGCTATATAGTTTGTATACAAAAAAATACCAGAATTATTTATTGATTTCATAATTTCCTTTGCAACATATGCAATCTAAAGTCTTCTAAAAAATGTTTATGCTTTAGCCTTTTTTCTAATTGTGGAATGAAAGAATTTCTACTCCCATAAGTCCACTTCAAGGGTCAGTAATTGGCCGGGTGCAGTGGTTCACGCCTGTAATCCCAGCACTTTGGGAGGCTGAGGTGAGCGGATCACTTGAGTCTAGGAGTTTGAGACCAACCTGGACAACATGGCAAAACCCCATCTCTACAAAAAATTAGCCAGATGTGGTGGTATGCCTGTAGTCCCACCTACTTGGGAAGCTGAGGTAGGAGGATCACCTGAGCCCAGAAGGTCAAGGCTGCAGTGAGCTGCGATCACACCACCACACTCCAGCCTGGGTGACAAGAGTGAGACCCTGTCTTAAAAAACGAACAAAAAAAAAAAAAATCGGGCAGGAGCGGTGACTCACGCCTGTAATCCCAGCACTTTGGGAGGCCGAGGAGGGCAGATCACCTGAGGTCAGGAGTTTGAGACCAGCCTGGCCAACATGGCAAAACCCCATCCCTACTAAAAATACAAAAATTATCTGGATGTGGTAGCGGGCACCTGTAATCCCAGCTACTCGGGAGGCCGAGGCAGGAGAATTGCTTGAACCCAGGAGGCGGAGATTGCAGTAAGCCAAGATCGTGCCACTGCACTCCAGCCTGGGCAACAGAGCCAGACTCTGTCTCAAAACAAAACAAAACGAAACAAAACAAAAACCAAAAAACAGTAATCATGTGAAAAGGAGATCCTTATATAGACAGGACCTTCCCAATGTCCTCGTAAGATGGCTTTAAGTATTCCAAGAGACGTTAACTATATATAAGGGCATGTGAACAAGTCATACACAAAATCCAAATTATTAAGCTAGCACTTTTACATTTTTTTCCTGTCCATTTAAATATAATCAAGTATGTGGTTGGGTGCAGTGGCTCACACCTGAAATCCCAACACCTTGGGAGGCCAAGGTGGGCAGATCACTTGAGCTCAGGAGTTTGAGACTAGCCTGGCCAACATAAACCCCAGCTCCACTAAAAATACAAAAATTAGCCGGGTGTGGTGGCGCATGCCTATAATCCCAGCTATTTGAAAAGCTGAGGCATGAGAATCACTTGAACCCAGGAGGCAGAAGTTGCAGTGAGCCGAGATGGTGCCACTGTACTCCAGCCTGGGCGACAGAGTGAGACTTTGTCTCAAAAAAAATAAATAAATACAATTAAAAAAATATAAATAGATATAATCAAGAATGTAAACTTATGTAACAACATTTTCACAGAAACTTCTCATTTTGTGGGAAAGTTGCTAGGGACCTTGCTAGGTCATTTACATTGAGATGACCGCTTAATCGGAAATCTTAAAAGCTGTTTCTAATGGCACCTTCAGCTCATCCATAGCACATTGCTGAATATATAGTCTACTCCTCCAGGATGAGCATCCTATAGCTGAGTTTTTACCTTCATTTATGGTTTAGAGAACTGCATTGACTCTGCATCCAAATACATGCTTTTCTTCCATTAAAAGGATGGTAGCTATGAGAGAAAATCATTTTGCTTCACAGGTAGACAGTAGCGTTCATAAAGCATTTTTTATTATTATGTTTTAAGAGATTTTCTTAGCTCCTGCACCAATTCTAAGAGATACAAAGAAAGCTTTAAAAAAGGAGAAGGTGGTATTCTTCATTCCACAGATAAGGACTGGGAAGGAACAGGAGGTGAAGGGCATAGACATGATCATTTTGAAGGTCAAGAACATTGAAGCCAGCTGCAGCGACTATTAGTAAATTCCTATCTTCCACTTCCATTCTTCACCAGACAAATCCACACTTCTTTTAAGAAATTCTTCTACTAGGAAAACATATTTCTTAGCCTGAAAACTTGTTTGGTGGCTTTTAATCTATACTTAGCTGATTTAGCTTCTAGGCCTGTGCAGCGAGTAAAAAATACAATTCCAAAGTCAAATCCAGGCCCTCGGGCTGCTCAGCTGAGTCCAGAACAGACCACTGGAGTATGGCTCTGTCTGTCTGCCACCACAGGGGAGAAAGGGCACGGGGCAAGGAAAGGCTCCAATGTGAAAGATCCATGAATTACAAGAGGTATTCCCAGGAAGACTCAGAATGAAACCAAGGTCCTTCAAATCCACGCAATTACGTAGCAGGCAATTACTTACTGAACACTGGGGCTTAGATGGCCTTGTAGGAAAAATAGACTAGCCAATAACATTCTCTCAAGAGTGTCTTTGCAGAGCAAAAGTTTTTAATTTTGCTGAAGTTCAATTTGGCAAGTTTTTTCTTTTATGGATTGTGTTTTTGGTATCATGTCTAACAACTCTTTTCTCCAGTGTTTCATACATAACTTTTGATGTTTTATGTTTTACATGTAGATCTATGGTCCATTTTGAGTTAAATTTGTATAATAGGTTCAGGTTGGTTTTTTTTTTTTTTTTCTGCCTATGGGTGTCCAATTGTGCCAATACCATTTCTTTTCTTTCTTTTTTTTTTTTTTTTTTTGAGACGGAATCTTGCTCTGTTGCCCAGGCTGGAGTGCAGTGGCGCGATCTTGGCTCACTGCAAGCTCCGCCTTCTGGGTTCACGCCATTCTCCTGCCTCAGCCTTCCTAGTAGCTGGGACTACAGGTGCCCGCCACCACACCTGGCTAATTTTTTTTTTTTTTTTTTTTTGTATTTTTAGTGGAGACGGGGTTTCACCATGTTAGCCAGGATGGTCTCGATCTCCTGACCTCGTGATCCGCCCGTCTTGGCTTCCCAAAGTGCTGGGATTACAGGCGTGAGCCACCATGCCCGGTCGCCAACACCATTTCTTGAAAAGATTATCCTCTCTTAAACTGTCTTTGTATCTTTGTTGAAAATTAATCGGCTGGATTTTTTTATGAGTCTATTTCCAGATATTCTATTTCAAGGGCCAGCAAACTACAGCCCATGGGCCAGGTCTAGCCTGCCACCTATTTCTCTATGGTCCACAAACTAAGAATAGTTTTTACATTTTTGAATGGTTTTTAAAAATCAAAAGAAGAAGAATATTTCAAGAAATGTGAAAATTATATGACATTCAAATCTAAGTATCCATAAATAAAGTTTCATTGGAACTCTGCTACACCCATTCATTTACCTCTATGGCTGCTTTTGCTCTAAAATGGCAGAGTTGAGTAATTGTGACACAGACTGCATGACCCACAAAGCCTGAAATATTTACTCCCTGGCCCTCTGCAGAAGTTTGCCAAACCCTGTTCTAGGATATGAGGATCCTTATACGCATCCATGCAGAACCTCAGGGACTCTCTCAATGCCACTATAAAAAAAATACTGTAAAGACAGAAGCTTTAAATAAAAACACTGAAAGCCCTGAGGAAGGCAGAAAAAGAATGCATTTAATAGTTGGCTACCATTTCCAGCTAGAAATAAAATATAAAAACCTTAATCAAAACTATTTTTAAAAGGACACATTTTACTGCACTATACAGTTAACTATAAAATGAGGAAATTTTAAGCCTAAAAGGCACTTATTTTAATGACTTTTTTTCTTAAAGATCTCCATGAGTCATAAACTAAGAAAAAATATTTGTAATATGAAGATGACAGGTTAATGTCATGAATATAAGGTATTTTTATAAAAATCAATTGGAAATGATGCATAAAATGTTCAAGCTCGGTAATCATTTTTTAAAATGCAGAATTAGCAGAGCCCAAATCACATTAGCAGAGATTAAAAAGAATGATAATATCCAGGGATGACAAGAATAGGGAAATATATTTGCATGCACTCCTGTGAGGAGACTAAATTGGCACAATCTTTCAGGATGTATCCTCAATATGCCCTCAAAATGCATCAATACAGTATTACACTGAGCAATTTATCATCAGGAAATAGTAACTGCTAACATTTATGTAGCAGCTATTAGGACCCAGGCTTTCTAAATGCTTTACCTACTTCATCTCATTTAATCTTCACAACACCAGGATGTAGGTACTATTATTACTCTCATTTCACAGATGTGAAAACTGATGCACACAGAGATGAGTAACCTGCCAAGGTATCACAGCTAGAAGGAAGTGGCAGAAATGCACACAAAGACTGTTGAACAGGGTGACGACTATGTGCAACATGGTCTAACACAAAGAAAAACTGGAAACAAGCTAAGCATAAAAGAGGATTGTCGAGGGCCAGGCCGAGTGGCTCACGCCTGTAATCCCAGCACTTTGGGAGGCCAAGGCAGGCGGATCACTTGAGGTCAGGAGTTCAAGACCAGCCTGGCCAACATGGCGAAACCCCATCTCTACTAAAAATACAAAAATTAGCTGGGTGTGGTGGCACAGGCCTGTAGTCCCAGCTCATCAGTAGGCTGAGGCACGAGAATCGCTTGAACCCAGGAGGCAGAGGTGGCAGTGAGCCGAGATCATGCCACTGCACTCAAGCCTGGGCAAAAGAGTGACACTCTGACTCAAAAAAAAAAAAAAAAAAAAAAAAAGAGGATTTTGGTACTCTCTCCATACATTAGGATTCAGGATGCTAAGGAATCATTTACCCATGCTGCCAAGGATAATCATGATGTATTTTGGACAAAGAGGGTTATTATAAAATAGTGTATGTAATATGATCCTATTTTTATTTTAAACTGTAATTATGTGCACATATGGAAAAAGTCTGAAAGAATAATTGCGAAAATATTAAGAGGTATGTGAAGGTGGTAAGGTCACCGGTAATTTTGATTTTTCTTTGTATTTATTTGTCTGTTTTTCTCATTTTTTTTCCAAGAGTAAGTGTTATTTATACAATTTTAAAGTATGACTTAAAAGTGTATCCCCGCCAGGCGTGGTGGCTGATGCCTGTAATCCCAGCACTTTGGGAGGCCCAGGCGGGCGGATCACCCGAGGTCAGGAGTTCAAGACCAGCCTGGCCAACATGGTGAAACCCCGTCTCTACAAAAATACAAAAATTAGCCAGGCATGATGGCAGTTGCCTGTAATCCCAGCTACTCGGAGGCTGAGGCGGGAGAATCACTTGAACCCGGCAGGCGGAGGTTGCAGTGAGCCAAGATCACGCCATTGCACTCCAGCCTGGGTGACAGAGCGAGACTCCATCTCAAAAAACAAACAAACAAAAAAGTATATCCCATGCCACTTTCATCTCAGAAACCGTGTATTTTAATAAAATGCAAATATGAATGCAAAGCACTCTGAGATACTGAACAAGACAGGTTACACAACTGTAATACATTACTTTCATCCTAAGAAAAGCTAAAATAAATAATGAAAAGGAACTTCAGGGGAAGTACTGACCTTAATTTCAGGACAGTTCAATATACCAGGAAAGAACATTCAGTTACCAGGCATTTGTCTTTTCATCTTCTTCTAATAACTTATCATAGCAATAACTATGATTTAACCTTTAAAGAAAATATTGTGTGTGTAAAGACAGAGTCTCTCGCTATGTTGCCCAAGCTGGTCTCAAACTCCTTGGCTCAAGCAATCCTTCTACCTCAGCCTCCCCAAAGTGTTGGGATTACAGGTGTGAGCCACTACACCCAGCCCTGTGATTTAACCTTTATGTTTCCAAAGCACTTTTGAATACAACATGTCATTTAAGCCTCAGAACACCCCTAACAGAGTAATACAAATAGAAAGGGTGGAGATAGAAACAGAAAAAAAAGGGGAGTTTCTCTAATTCCTTAAGATACCTACAGATTTTTTTTTTCTGTGTGTTGCAGAGGGGAAAAAAAAGTATTCCAAGATGGGGGATTACTGATGTCCTGCCACTTTAGCACAACATTCTGCAGAGATATGACAATTAGGTTGAACAAACACAGGATCTCTTTAGACAGTTTTATATAATTTGTGTAGGCATATGCACCTGGGAATTTACATCAGCTGCAAGCTCATCTGTCCATGATACAAAGGAAAAATCTATAATAACGACCATCAAAATGTTGGGGTGGCCTTTCAACAACTGTCTACTGGTGAACTAAAACGATATTTTCTCCCACCCCAAGCCCTATGTTTACCATCCTCATGTAATTTAAAACTATGTCTGTGTGATGGTAATGATTCTTCTCACTGGTCCCAGTGTCCTGGCTACTTATAAAAGGAAGACAAAACAGCAACAAATTATACTCCTTTGGGTTTTAAATGCTCTGAGGAGGAGATATATTGTGACTTTTGTCTAGAATAAGGACATAAGCAGTCTAACAAGATAGGCCATGCTGCAAGAAATACATTCTATGACATCAATGACTCATTTGCTCAACACTGACATTTTCCAAATGTCTGTAAACCCAGATGATCCCAGACCTATGCTTAACTTCTTCATTCACTCATAAAACATGTCTGTCTAATGGGTCTGTCAGCATGTCATCATCTTCAGGGTGACACGTGCTAATTTACTCCTCACCCTTGGAACCACATTTAATCCTACCATTTGAGCTCTGCTAAAAGCTTCAGCAGTTCAGAGAGAAAGGGTCAGGGCCAGCAATCGATTTAGCTGATCGGCTTTCTTCCTGCCAAGCTAAGGATCTTGCTTGAGATTCCTGAGGCTGCTTCTCTTTGTGAAGGCAACCTTATTTTCCTGTGGGGTGGGAAGCAAGGAAGTCTGAAAACATTTTTCTCATGAATACATGTTTTAGTTCATTAATGAATTAATGGGAGGGAGGCAGGAAGGGGAAATAAACATTAGAACAAAAAAAATAACAGAGTTGATCACAGAATGTCTTAGGAAGGGCCTCAGGACTCCCGCCTGCATTTTTTTTTGCCCCCCGACAGCGAGTGGAAAGCTAAGTGGCAACCAGGCTAGGAAGAAAAGAGGAAGGCAAAATACTCTGGGCATGGGAAGAAACTGGAAGAAAGCAGTTGGGGAGGCAGGCCTCAGGCACAAAAAGAACCAATGTCAACCCTGAGCTGAACTCATCATTCCCTCTGCATGGACCATCATTTCACTCTTTTAGAGGTGGCAGTGGACTCCTACAGTCATGGATGATCCAGAAACCACCACAGTGATGTCCTGACCCTAACAGATCGGAAACATAGATTTCAAAACGCGAGCATCAGCAACAAAGGATGGGGTGATGGCATGGTAATACTGTTTTTCTGCTAAGTAACAATGATAATGTCATTACCTTACAAAGGAAACTCCACAGACACTTGCCCTGGATATCCAGTAACAATGAGGACTCTCAATGAGTAGACAAGAGTCACCTCTGGAAGTGACTCAGCCCCACAGGAAACACGAACTCCACCCGCAGTTACCACCTTGCCCAGCCCCCAAGTTCCAAGAGCACTTGGCCCAGGGTCAGCAGATGCCTCTGACCTGGCTCTGCCACTGACTTGCTGGGAGTCCCTCGGGAAAGCTGCTTCAGCACTCTGGGCCTCTGCTCCTCCTTTGTAATCTGCAGAGAACACGCATGGTCCCACCTAATTCCCGGGGTTGCTGTGAAGATGAGGGGAAATGCTGAGCTCCGGGGAGACTCCTGAGGAAAGGGGAATGGTGATGATGGTCCCGGGCTCTTGCTGCCAGTGGTTCAGAATCCTGTGCTGGGAAGCTGTGGTCCTGGAGAAAGATCTAGCTATCATTAAGTTAATTAAATGTTCAACTGTTGTCTGGGACAGGAGGGAGGAAAACATATTGAGGTAGAGATGAAAAGGAGCGGTTCTAACTGTGCCCTCACAGCATGTCTAGCTCCAAATACTTGGGGTCCCTACAAAGAAGCAAAATTCCTGGTTTGAATTTTTGGCTTACCATTGTATTCCAGCATTTTGCACAGCTCCTGGCACACCATAAATATTCTTCGATGTATGAATGAATGAATGAATGAATGAATGAATGAGTGAACGAACATTGTGAGGGGAAGAGGACAGGGTGCAAATTAAAATTGTTGTCAATAATCTTCAGTGGATAATCCTCATGGTCCAAGGAAAGATGACTGTACTACTGTGTTGGGGATGCCACTAACCGTCTTTAGCTAATATTCTGGGTCCCCTCTTTTTTGTGGTTTGGGGGACAGGGTCTCACTCTGTCCCCTAGGCCTGAGTGCAGTGGCACAATTATGGCTCACTGCAGCCTCAACCTCCTGGGCTCAGGCAACCCTCCCGCCTCAGCCTCCCAAGTAGCTGGAACTATAGGAACACAACACCACACCTGGCTAATTTTTGTATTTTTTGGTGAAGATGGGGTTTCACCATGTTGTTCAGGCTGGTCTCAAACTCCCAGGCTCAAGTGATCCTCCCGTCTCAGCCACTCAAACTGCTAGGATTAGAGACGGGAGCCACTGAGCCCGGCCTGGGTCCCCTCTTTCTCTAGGGTGTGTCTATCAGTTTCCTTCCATGAACATTAATGCTAGCTAATATTGCTTCCGTTCCCTTCCCTCCATCTCTACGACTCCACGATTTTGACCAATAACGTTAGCTTTCTAAGCGTTCATCTTGATGTCATCAAATAGGCTTAAAACAATGAAGACAGGGAGGTTGGGTATGCTTAAGGGTCAAAGACACAACTACCCAAGGAAGCCTGTTTGATAAGAAACACCTAAAGGTCCTTGTTTACAATAGGGTCACAGAGGAAGCCTTTCCTCCTAGGTTAGTGGGAGCTGTGAGGAATGGCTGTTGCTCTGAGGCCAGGAGGCTGTTGGCCAAGAGTGGGAACATGGCCACTCTCCACAGCTGGGCTCATTCTGCCCCAAGCGGCAGCGGCCACAGCGTGGGACACCTTCCAATGGCCATCTCACCCTTGCAGCTGAGCCCTGGCATAGCTCCTGCCAAGCTGCCCTCAGCCCTTCTCCAGGAAGCTTCTCCAGTTGGGATGAGACCCAGAAGCTTCGGAACCTTTTCAAACACACTCTGAGCACAAATCAGGAAGGCAGGGATGGGGGTGGCAGGAACACAGACACGGGAGTTATTTTTGAGTGACTGGAAATAAAAGCTAAACACAGGTGTGTTCTGCACGAGTGGAAATGTTCCTAAATTCACAAGAATTCTTTATAAATAAACTAGAAAACAAACCATTCAGGTTGCCACATTTCCTCCTGGCTTCCAGGGACATACAGAAATAGTTTGGGTCTTTGCACATTATTTCAGGAACTGCAGAGGGCTTATACACACCCACTAAAGGTGTCTGACTCATTTTCTAGAAAGCCACATGAACTGACAATCTGGGGCTAAAAATGAGGGCAAAGCCTGCTCTGTGACTCCTGCTACAGCACAGAAAAGCAGGGCAAAGGGAAACCACCTTCAATGATACCAAAGTAAATGTCAGAGGAATTCGGGGTCTATCAGGAACCTCTACGGCGAACACAGAATTTAGAGAACAGCAGTTCAGGTCTTTCACCTCAACTCCTACATCCAATAAATATGCGTATCAGAATGCATATTAAACAGATCATGGTGAAACCATTCATTTTATAATAGCAATAGTATACAATCATCTCAATGAACTTCTGGGCGATTCCTAACTTAGAGGAAGAGTAACAATCTTCTATAATGTCAGCAGGGTTTTACAGGCTCCGACTCCATTCTTCCCACTTTCAGCAAGCAAAATATTTATGGCATGTTTTCTTTCCAAATTCTTGCTAAAATCTCCTCCACTGTGAACACTTAACTATTTTAGGTGGATTTTTCACCATTTTAACCTACTTAACGTCATGGCATTCCAGCCTCAGCAGCAAACTGGGCTCAGACACAACAGCCCTTCCATTCCCACTTCCAGGGCCCAAGAAAGAGCAGCCAGGGTTGGGTGACAATTCCTAGAATTATGGGTGCCACTGACAGACTCCTCCCTGCCAGAGTAAATCCTCGCAGCAGCCCTGTGAGGTCAGCTTTATGGCCCTTGCTTTATGGCTGAGGAAACTCAGACTCAGAGGGGGTAAGCAACATGCCCGAAAAGACACAGCCAGGAACAGTGGAGCTGGGATTCAAACCCTGGTTCTGGGAGCTGGTAGCCTACATGGCACTTGTCATCTGAACACACCGCTTCCGGCAAACTGGAATGCTAGGTTAAGGCTGGCAGGCATTTTATGGAAATAAAAGTAAAAATCTGCACAAGCACAGGATAGCAAGAGATTTGATTTCCCAGCAGGTTGTATAAAAAAATAATAAAAGCAAAATGATAGAGCACAAAGGATTTTCTTAAGCAGCAAGCTCTAAAATGGGCCCAAGCAGCATGAGTTAAGACTGGCTGTGTGATTAGCTATCCAAAAAAACCCAGCAAACTGGAAGCCGGGTGCAGTGGCTAGGCCGGCTGCAGTGGCTCACGCCTGTAATCACAGCACTTTGGGAGGCTGAGGCGCGTGGATCACTTGAGGTCAGGAGTTCAAGACCAGCCTGAGCAACATGGTAAAACCCCGTCTCTACTAGAAATACAAAAATTAGCCAGGCATGATTTACTGTACAGGCACACACCTGTAATCCCAGCTACTCAGGAGGCTGAGGTGGGAGAATCGCACGAACCTGGGAGGTGGAAGTTGCAGTGAGCCGAGATCACACGATTGCACTCCAGCCTGGGCGACAGAGTGAGACCCTGTCTCAAAAACAAAATAAAGCAAAACAAACAAAAAATAGCAATGTGGGTAGGCAGAGGGCATCTCGGGCATCAGGAACATGGTCTGAGTCAAGTTAGTGAGGACACATAAGCAGGAGGGGGATATACGGGGGGTACCTGCAGAACAGCCACATGGACCAAGGCCACCAAGACAGACTGAGGTCAGGACGGGTGAAGGAGTGCTAGGATCATCTATCTGGATTTTACAATAAAGAAAAAGAAAGTTACTAAAGATTTTGATTGGTGCAGAAGGGTAAGTGAGCACAGCAGTGTTAGAGAATGACAAAAAGAAGGGGCTGAGGTGCTAGGGATGAAGTGGGTAGGGGACACTGGAGTGGGGGGAAACATCCCTCCATCCTTCACTACCCCAGGGCTCTCCTCCAGACCGGGTGCTATGGTGGGTGATAGAGAAAGAAGGATGGAGGAAGCCTGGTCCTTGCTCACCTGGCCTGGACAGATACAGAACAACTCAAGCCTGTGCTTAGCTCTGCAGGGCAGGAAGTGGCAGGGATAGAGAAAGGCTTGTGGGTGGGAGCAGGGTGGGACTAGGAGGACCAAGTGTCAAAATGGTGATATGAGAACTCTAGGCCTGAGGAGTTGGATCAATGTGAAAGTCAGGTCAACAGACCAAGTGTACAGCAGAGATGACAACGTCATGTTTTGCAAATATAATATTAATAGCAGTGCGCTGCTTCAGTTTCTAAATTGCTTTCAAATACGTTAATCTATGAAACCAGAGAAATGGGATGTAACCTTCACAACACTCTTGAAAGCAGCTTGCCACATCTACCTGTTCATTTATCTGTACCATGTGGATGGGACCGATAGATACTCCCTTTCTGACTAAGGTCATTAGAAAAATCACATTAATTTTTATCAGACTGGATCTCAGGCTGGGAGGTTAGGAACAAAATCATCAAGATGAATGTGTTCTCATTATGATATGTATTCAAATGGAAGGACTGGAGTATAATATGTCAAAATAGAAACAGATGTGTGTCTTTTCTCAGACCTCATTAAATATTATTGACATACCAGGTTTTCAACTAAAAAGAGGCTCCCTCTCTTCCAAAGACAAAACAAAAACAGGCTAGTGAGTCCCCCGCTCCCTCCCACTGCAAAGAATAGCAGTTATTTAATTCTCTGGTTGCTTTATCATCAAGGGGGAAAAAAGCACTCTAGCCCTTTCCCAGTATTTCTAAAACCAAATTATCTGTGCTAATTATTACAGCATTCGTATTGTGCTTCACACCCATTTAACAACTTCCTTATTCCGCTTGTTTGGTTACAGGTCTGATTAAAAATAGGAAATGCACTGTGTGTCAGAAAGCAATCTGAAAGAGACAGAAAAGAATCACTTCTGCCTCATTTGCAGAAAACAACAAGGGAAGCATTCTTCCCCTCATTTCCTCCTGCCATGTTCAACACCTACAGAGACATACTGAAATAACTTCAGGGGAGAATACTTTACAGGTAAAAAGATGGACGAGTTCTTGGGTGATCTGCAAAACAGGGAATGATTTGCTGTTCCAGAAAGCATTATATACTCCATACCACTGTTATATGGAGTCCATGAGAGGACCAGCTTTCTCCCTAAAACTCCTGACCTGTGGCAAGCTAGTTAACTTCTTGGGTCATTAGTTCCCTGACATGTTTGGATTTGGCTCTTAAAACACACAATCTCTAAAGCCATGTCTTAGAGGTAACCTCTTGATAACAAAGGCAAATCTTACTGATCACCTTATGGACAAGCCCTGGGGGAGGGGTAGGGCCAGGTGACACCACAGTCTCCACCCTCTCAGTAATGGCCACAGTCGGCGGGACCCTGGGCCTACTCCCACTCTATGCACCTGCAATCTCTTCCCCTTCCCTGCATCCTCCACCCTGCCAAGGCTTCCCAGCCCTGCGAGAGCGAGCGCAGGCAGCCACGATGATCTCCCAAGTCACACTTGTGCTAAGGGAACTGTGCTAAGTTCCCTGTCACTCCCCTGAATACAAGAATAAAACCACCATACACATCTTCAAGACCATTCAGCTTCTTACCATATTTGACCATCACAAAAATGCTGTTCTTCAGAGAAAAAGTCATATATTCTGGGTATTGCTTAAATAATATATCTTTCAACCACCTACTTGGTGAGTACCATTGTGTGAAAGCACACAAAGTACACAGCCAAGGCCCTTGTTCAATTGCATCACTTCACACAGATTTTATAGCTCTCTGTTTATTTACAGGGCTCTGGCTCTAATAATAATAAAATCATTCAATCTTCTTAGCCCAAACGAGACAGGAAAAATTCTCTCAGGCACTCTACCTGTCTTTGATCTGAACAGCAAACATTCTTTAAGCGTTTTCTGCCTGTGAGGCATGACCAGCGTTTTAAAAAAAAACTCCTCCTCGGATACCTCAGGACACAGAGCTCTGCAGCCTGGCTGCTGTGGAGGGCAGGATCTCCAGCCGAGCAGGCTGCCTTTTGGGTTATTCCTTCTGGAACAGACTTTTCTGAAGGACCATGCAAATCTGCAGCTGGTCCTAAGGCAAACAAATCTATTCTCGTCTCAACGAATGCATTCACTTGGATGCTGGGCTTAGCTTGATCAAAAGGAAAGATACAAGATTCTTCCTCACAAGTTCAGGACTGAGAAAACCAAGCTTTCAAGCGCTGAAGCAAAAGCTTATACTGTCCAGTCAACACCCCAAAGCAGTTCGCGATTTAGAAGGTAGGAGACAACCTTTGTTTACCTTATTGATGAGAGTGACTATATCTCCTTCTTTGATTGTCAATTCATCATCATTCTGTGCCTCATATGGAAATATTACTTTGCAGTAATCCTTGCCTATAAGAAAAACAGAAAACATAACCTTTAAAATGCTTTATCTAATGAGCTGGCCCAGGAGAAAATGATCTCTATCACATTAAGTTCAGGGAAAGGCACACTTAACAGGTAGCATATTACTGCTGCATGAAGAAAGGGTGACCCTCAGAAAATGACCCGAGAGTGCTCATTTTTGGCTCATGTATATTTATTGGCTTCCACTTTTTTTCCCCTTACAAATCATGTGACATCATGAGATGCCCCTGACTGCTTTGCTTTTCTCTGGCAGAAAGGTAAAAAGGTTTCCTTACTCAGGAAAACAGACATATACCATTTTATATACTCTTCAGGTGCATGCATAAACATATATAGTCTACAGAGGGCAAAAAAACCTTAAGTTTTGCCTCACTGCCTTTTCCCACACATTACTAAATTAGAAACAAGGTATTTATACATGTTACAAAGCTACCCAGGATACATAAAACAATGAAAAGTTACCCCATTATGGTACGTCTTAAGAGACAAATGTCAATGTATTTCTATGTAAGCACATGCCAACCATAAACAGCCAACAAGTATTGACTGAACATTCTTTACACACATATGTGTGGGGGTAAGCTTGTTCAAATATGTCCCATGGCCTTTCTGTGGGAACCTCCCTATGCATAGATGGCTGTTCCTCAGCAAAGAGATGCAATAGCCCTCACCAAAGAGGGAAAAATACTAAGGCCACTAAAAATCGATTTAAGTATGTCCTGAATTACATGCTTTTGAAAGTCCATGTGCTGTTAAATCATCTCTATTTATCTGAAAGCACAAGTTACGAAGATAGTGAAAACATTTGTATTTCGGAAATGGAGACTTGGAAAACTAGGCCTTGATGATTCAGGACAGAAGGTGGACAGAAAAATTCAAGAGAATTAGTATCTACTGGGACAGGCATCGATTATTCTGCATCAAAGTCAACAAACCTAATGGCTGTGAATGGCCTTAGATATTTCCCAAGCATCAGGCCCGTTCCTGCAGACGGATCACAACCTAGAGCTATGTCTTAGAGGTAACCTCTTGATGACAATTATACTGTCCCTAGTGTAATTTATATTACTGAAATGTGTTTATTTATTTTGGTTAACATCCCAACAACCAGAGATTGTGACATATAAAATAAAAGCAATTAAGAAATCCATAATACAGATACACTATGGTCTAGGGTTGGGATAGGACAGAGAAGAGAGGGAGGAAGGGGAAGGGGAAGGAGTGAAGGGAGGAGAGGCGGTATTCACTTTGCTTTTGTGCAGATGTTTTCATATTCTGTTACAATAGCTTGAAAATATTAGTTACATTCCCTGTCCTAGTGTTGGAAATCTTCCATCTTGGGTATTCTGGGCCTCTGATGGCTTTTGCCCCTTAACCTGTGCTGAGGGGCAATAGTTCTAAATTCCATCAATACCATATTCCTAAACCCATATAGTTACCAACGTTCTATCTCTCTTTACTTAGTAATAGCAAACCTCCCCAAATCTGAATTGGTCAAATGTTCTACAGAGACAGAAAAAGTTAAAACATGTTTAAATTGGATAATGACAGCTCCTCACCAATTTTCCTATTGACTGTGCTAGTGAAATATGACTGCCAATCTCAAAACTTACAACAACACAAACACAGTATCACTGAAGAACTGCACTACAGAGTCCTGGCTTTAAGAATAATTATTTGGATGGAAATCATGAAACAATTTTTACAAAGAATACAGAAACCCACAGCCAACAAAGAAAGAACAGGTCATGTTTCTGTTCCCTTCAGTCAAAAAAAGTTAATTAAGTGTAATAGAGACTGTTGGTTAACATCCCAGCAGACATTCCCCACCCTCTTCCTAGTTCACAGAATCCTAATTTGTTCAGGCATTACATTCAGGAACATGGAACCCTCTCACAGCCCTGGGGATAAAGCAAAATATGTCCAGGCAAATAATGTTAATCTCACTCTCTTTTGTTGGTGACTGGTTTAGGGATGGGCAGGTGCTCTATTTGCAGCCAATGAGATGTGAGAGGAAATCTGCTGGGGGTGGGAGAGGCTGTTAGATTTTGTTCCCTGGTGTGTGTGTGTGTGTGTGTGTGTGTGTGTGTGTGTGTGTGTGTGTGTGTGTGTGTGTGTGTGTGACAGAGGGAAAGAAAGAGAGAGAGACGGAGAGACCGAGAGACACAGAGAGACACAGAGAGAGAGAGACATGGAGAGACAGAGAGAGAGAGACAGACAGACACAGAGAGACAGACAGGCAGACTTGAGGAAGACAGTTGCCCCTGCCATTCTCCTTTTAACAGTTTTATCTTTGTTGGACGTCAGTACAGTGTTTGGTGCTCTTGAAATCATATTTCAACTGCAAGAGGAATGCCAAGAAAATCAGTGATAATTTGATGAGTTTTAATAAATTTATACAGTTGTGTAACCATCACCATAATCCAGCTTTAGAACACTTCGACTGTGCAGCTATGCTGTTTTATGTGTAAGGCATTAGACACAGAATTATCTGGAAAGCACCACTGTTAGAGAAAAAGAGGAGATCCTGGTGCCAGGGCTTGCTGCAGCATATCTCAGCCCTCTTTGCACCCCCCAAAACCGGACACAGAGCTCCCACTCAATGTTTCTTGATGATCTCCAAGTGACCCCTATAAAGTGGAGGAACACTTGGAGGGGCCACAAGGAGGAGGAGGAGAGGACGGTGGGCCAGAAGGCAGGATACTTGGGACTAGGTTGGGTTCCCAGCTGGGCTTTCGCAAGCACATGACCTGAGACAATCACACTACAACTCTGGATGACCTCAGTGTCCTCAGGTGTAAAATCAGGGACCAGCTAAGGAGGGGAGAGAGGAGAGTCTGGTTAACTTCAGCAGGACACTTAGCAAATTTCAAGGTATTCCAGAGCTCAAATATAAAGGAACTGAAAAAGAGCTGTTCTGGTTGGGGAGTAGGGCTGTCCCATCTCCCACCCAGGTCCCCAAAGACATGTCAGTGAAGCTCTGAGGGCTCCAAGGGGCACACTGGGCTAGACCTGAGTTCCTGGGAGCTCTGACTTTGAGCTGTGACTTTTCATGACTCTAGTCACAGGCACTATCACCCAGAACTCCTGACCAAACCCGGCAACCATTAGCTTCACACACTTTAATTTATTATGACATATTTTAAAACAGGAATGTATTTTTATTGATGAGGCATTTGAGCCTGAATTCAGTAGTATTAGAAAATAAAAATATTTCTGGATAAAGAAAATGTGGTACATATACACCATGGAATACTATGCAGCCATAAAAAGGAATGAGATCATGTCCTTTGCAGGGACATGGATGAAGCTGGAAGCCATCATCCTCAGCAGACTGACACAGGGACAGAAAACCAAGCACCGCATGTTCTCACTCATAAGTGGGAGTTGAACATTGAGAATACATGGACACAGAGAGGGGAACAACACATACCAGGGCCTGTTGGGGGGTGGGGGATGAGGGGAGGGAACTTAGAGGATGGGTCAACAGGTGCAGCAAACCACCATGGCACACATATACCTGTGTAACAAACCTGCACATTCTGCACGTGTATCCCGTTTTTTTTTTTTTAGAAGAAAGAAAAAAAATACTACGTTGCATTGGATGTATCAGTGGCTTTAAGACACTCAAAATTGTTATCTGCAAAAAAATTATTAACTCTGAGTTTGTGGTTTTAATGTTAAAGTATATGGAACAAAGATGTTCCTGACTTCCACTTAAATATTTATTGGACCACCACCATGAAAAAGACATTGCCAATTTGGGGGACTGTAATATACAAGTAAGCCCAACCACCCCCTCCTGTCCCTGCATGGAAGTGACAGTCTAATTCTTGGAGAAAAGCAAGGGGAGGAGAATGGCAGAAAGAAAAGACAAAGCCATGCATACACATAAACTCACTATGATGGAATATTGTTGTGTTTCAGAGAAAGGCAAGATTACATTCAGGAGAAAGTTCTCAAAAGAGGAGGCATTTGATATGTCTTAAAAGAAGGGTATAATTCCACATCCTTTGGATGTGGGAAGATTATAAATTTTAAATGAGTATCGGACAGAGTTGGAGAAGAAGGGAATTAAATTAATTTTGAGAGGCAGGCATTTTCCATCTATTCATCAATTGGATGGATTTAATTAGAGATCAAATAGGAATGAATAGACACACACACATAGAGAGAGAGAGAGAGAGAAAAAATAAAGCATAATTTATCCAGCAATTTGAGATGATTTTGTCTTTTTTCTTTAGAAAGGTTAAAAATGACTAATGAATTAGCATAAGACTGAAATCCTAAATCAGTTCATAAGCCTTTTTTTGTCTTAGAGTCCTTTAAGAATCTGATAAAAAGCAATGACTCTTTCCAGAAAAAAAAAAACACAACACAACAAACCATACACACACACACTCAAATGTGCAGAGAAAATGTATACAATATCAGAAGGTTTGAGGACCCCAAAGCTGTTAGTTACCTAGTTCCCACATCAAGAGCCCCAGTACTAATTATTGGCTTTCAAATTTTAAGAAGCTTGCTCTATTAAAATCACCAAAATGTCCAGTCATGATTTACACCCTCCCCAAAAAACATTATTTCAATCTCTAAACTTTTAGAAATTTACATAATATTAAAAACAGACTGTTAAAGGAATTGAACTCACATGCCCACATCACATGACTGCCTGCAGCTAGTTTTATAATCTATTCAATAAAAACAAACCAACTTCAAACAAACAAGCAAAAACCCTCTCAGCTTAAAAAAAAATAAAAGCAGAACCAACAGAATAAATATATCAGCAAGCTGAACATATACACAGAAGGAAATAACATTAAATCCAGGACAACTCTCTGAGTTCAGTTTTAGGGTATAAAGATCAAAACCCCATGTGTCATAGGCAGATTCTGCTAGGAAGACTTTCAGAGCTTTAAGCAGCATTTGGAAAGTACCAGGTCACACCTAAAACTGGAGTTTTCCTTTCCCTTGGGACAGTACAACAAAAGTATCAAGCTCAGGGATAATCTAGTTTCACGCACATCATAATCAGAAATTCTCTCGTTCAACTGACAAATATTATCTCAGACACTACTGGTTGGTAATCCCTCACTCAGAAGCCCTGGGGACAGGATTATTCAGATTTTAGAAAGGAAATATACTGCATATACCATATAATACGTAACATCCTCAGCTGGGGGCTGGGGCTGCACCCAACCATTAAAATTCTGCAGTAAATGGATGACTGGTCACTCCAAGTGGGAAAAATAAAGACTATGAGTAGGCATATGTCAGTCCAGAACAAGTTTTATCACCCAATGAGTAATAAAACATTTTAGTTTTCAGAGCTTTTTGTATTTTAGAATGGCACATAAGGGTGTGGACTTCTATCATGTTCTAGGAAAGAGAAATTAAGGTAAATAAGACACTATCTGCTCGAGGAGCTCAAGTAGCAGAAAAGGGTTTGCAAACATACAGTGTTGACCAGACAACAGTGAAGATAGGATGAGAGCCATGCATTCGGCTTAAAGTGTCAGAGTATCTGAAACGGGACAATCACTTCCCAAACAAGAGACTCAGGATCTTGTCAGAGAGGAAGAAAATGACAGTGGGCTTTGTACAATGTTCTAGGACACTGACCAGAGGAGTAGGATTGGGGTATGTTTCCCAATCAATCATCCCTGATAAGAATTTTGTGGGGCACCTGTTCATTCTATTATCTTCCCAGACCTCTTCCCTGCAGATGTGAATCTTCAGATCTGAGGTGGGACCGGGAATCCATTTACTAAACACATACTCTGGTGATTCTCATCATCAGAGAAGCTTTAAAAACCTTAGTCTGGCCGGGCGCGGTGGCTCACGTCTGTAATCCCAGCACTTTGGGAGGCCGAGGCAGGCAGATCACGAGGTCAGGAGCTCGAGACCAGCTTGGTCAACATAGTGAAACCCCATCTCTACTAAAAATACAAAAATTAGCCAGGCTTGGTGGTGAGTGCCTATAGTCCCAGCTACTCTGGAGGCTAAGGCAGGAGAATTGCTTAAACCAGGGAGGCAGAGGTTGCAATGAGCCGAGATTGCACCACTGCACTCCAGCCTAGGCGACACAGCAAAATTCCATCTCCAAAACAAAACAAAACAAAAAAAAACAAACAAACAAACAAAAAAAAACAAAAGGCCGGGTGCGGTGGCTCACACCTGTAATCCCAGCACTTTGGGAGGCCGAGGCAGGCGGATCATGAGGTCAGGAGATCGAGACCATCCTGGCTAACACGGTGAAACCCCGTCTCCACTAAAAATACAAAAAATTAGCCGGGCACGGTGGCGGGCGTCTGTAGTCCCAGCTACTAGGGAGGCTGAGGCAGGAGAATGGTGTGAACCCAGGAGGCGGAGCTTGCAGTGAGCCAAGATCGCGCCACTGCAGTCCAGCCTGGGCGAAAGAGCAGACTCCGTCTCAAAAAAAAAAAAAAAAAAAAGGCCTTAGTCTAGGTCAGTGGTTCTCAGGCTTGAGTGGGCATTGGCATCAGGTGGAGAGCTTGTAAAAATAGATCAACTGGGCCCCACCCCCAGGGGTTCTGATTCTGTAGGGCTGGTATTTGCATTTCTAACAAGTTCCTAGGTGATGCTCCTGCTGCTGCTAGTTCTGGGACCACGCTGTGAGAACCACTGGTCTAGTAATGGGTATTAGCAAATGTTTAATTCCAGGAAGGAGCAAAACAGTTGTGGGGACCTGGAGGGTGGACAAGTATGGTGGTAGCACTGGGGGTGGGTGTGCCATATGCTAGATTTAGACAGGAACTCCAGTTCTGGGTCAGATTCTGAGGATCTGGGGCTAGTGAGGAGTAGTGAAATACATACTAGGCTTGTCATCTATTCAGTAAATAATAACTGAGCGTCCACTGCATGCCAGGCAGCAGGGATGCCACAATGCCCTCGTGGGGCTTACTACAGTCTATACCAGCAGTTTGAAACTAGGGCTTCCCAGGAAATACTGGCAATACCTGGAGACAATTCTACTTATTAGAACTTGGCAGGGAATGGGGGTTGAGTGCTACTGGCATCTAGTGGGCAGAGGCCAGGGATGCTGCCAAACATTCTACAATGCACACAGAGGACAACGCCCACCAACAGACAATGATCCAGCCCAAATGTCAATACTGCTGAGGTGAAGAAGCCATGGTCTACATTTAAATTGAGACGGAGAAATGAAACACGATGTGTCCGTCAGTATGTCTGTCAACGCCAACCCAGTGTCTTCCTTTATGAAGAAGCTGACCATAACTCCAAACAACCACCTTCGGTCTCGGATGCTGTTGGGAATTTGACTTTCAAATTATTTCACAAGTATGAATTATGACACCATTTAACCTCCTCTAAAAAGAGAAGTATATTTTAAAAAGAAGAAATGAAAATCTGACAAGCAAAGCCCTTCTTGTCTCTACAATGCAGCAGAGGCTGGATCACTGCTCCTCTCGATGGTACTTTCAGATGAGAAGCTCAGATGAGAAGCTCCTTGGAGAGTCTTTGGGAGAAAGAAAACCTACCAGGAAAACACAAAGGGAGTTAACCTTTTTCTCAAGAGGACTGTATTTGAAATGCAGATCTTAAGCCACACGGGTAGGCTGGGCACCCTCCTGGGAAGGCTCCCACTCTGAATCCAGACAGCAATGTCTGTATTGGGGAGCAAGTGATGAAAGGTGCTTCTTAGGAAGAGGTGGGTACCCCTGGGACATCAAGCATGAGGGGCTTCAGTACATGACAGGCATGGGAGGCACTAAAGGGGTGAATATGAGACATGCTGCAGCAAATTGGATGTGCCCAAATCCCCAGGCCCAAGAATGAGTGAGTTTGGGGGAGGATATGTGAGCAAAACCACTGAGTCTGAAAAAATAGGATCAGAGTTCCTGGGTATATATTATGAAGCTGAGGAAAACCCAACACAAGAGAGTTGACTCTTTTTTTTTTTTTTTTTTTTCCTATTTAAACATGTGGTGAGAAAGCAAAAATGAGCTGCACTGAGTAAGTAGCAATCTGCCCAGCCATTCTTGAGGCTGGGGCAACAGACACAGATAAGGCCACCTGCAAAGTGATCAGGAAACAGTGTTTCTCTCCCAAGCATATGCAGTAGTTGCAAAGTGTCCTTAACAACCCTCTTCTTGGAGTGCTCCTACTTTCTCACTCCCTGACAAAGTATGTGATTTTAGAGACAAACTACCAGAAACTTGGTTTTTAAAAAAATTATATCAGGAAGAATGAAACAGTCCACTCTGGCCTGAAGGCGCTAAGCCACTTGACCCAGAGAAGCAGTCTTCATTTCCAGCCCAAGTGCAGCGCCTCATGTAACGGGTTTCTGGACACAGCACTACACATCTATCTTCACTTGGTAGCTGCCAAAGAAACAGGACCTGAGTCCACCTCACAGTCAAGACCTGATGCTGACCCCTTGCCGTGCAGCCCTGCTTTGCCTTGAGCCTATCAAAACATAATTTCATTTACATTTCACTAAATTCCACCCCTTCTCAAAATCTGCAACGACTTTTTTTTTTTTTTTAATTTTGCTTTTGCTTGGTGTAACATCCACACGTCCCCCGGTGTGCAGTCTCCCTGGTCACAACGAGCCAATAAACCTGAATTCGTCAGACTACAGCCTTGTCCCTGGTGGTCTTGAGGCAGAATAGGGTCTGGAGGCAGAGAACCTAAGGCCGATTCACGCTGACTTCCTAGAACTAAATCAAAAGGAAAATCCCAACTTTCCACACCTAAGTAACAAAAGGACCATAGGCTACTCCCTTTGCAAATCCCGCTCCTTTTCTGCGGGGCAGATGGAAAATTGAAAGTATCTCTGATTAGTTGCTTTCTGCAACCAATCAGATGTTTGCATAGAAGTGTAACTTTGTAGCTTCACTTCAGCCTCTGATTGGTTGCTTTCCACAACCAATCAGACTGACTGTGGGCCACCATATTATTTACATAGGGTGTGTACCAAGTAACCAATGGGAAACCTCTAGAGGGTATTTAAACCCCAGAAAATTCTGTAATTTGGCTGTTGAGCCCCTATGCTGCTGTCCGCTCTGACCCTGTGGAGTGTACTTTCATTTTCAATAATCTCTGCTTTTGTTGCTTTACTCTTTCCTTGCTTTGTTTGTGCGTTTTGTCCAATTATTTGTTCAAGACGCCAAGAACCTGGACACCCTCCACTGGTAACAGTCTTAGGCCGATTGGGAGAGCAGTGGCTGGTAAGAAGAGAGGGTCTGGCAAGCCCCAAGGAACACCGGCAAGCCAAGGAACACCAGCAACCACTGCTAACCACTCAGACTCCAGAACATGCTCAAGTGTCTTACAGGAACAAATGTATTTTGTTTTGATTTTTTGTTTTGTTTTGTTTTTTCCCCTAGCAGAGAGCTCTGTAAGCTGGTGTTCTGAACATACTTTTGAAGGATGTTCCTTACCATTGTATTTCAAGTTTCATTATATGTGGTTTCCATATACAACTTTAAAAGCTAAATCTACTTGCTTCTGTAGAGATGCATTATGTGCTGTTTTCATATAGCGAATGGAACTGTTTTCCAAGCATAAAATTTCGTAAGCAAGTGTTTCAAACATGTTTTTGGGAGATGTTTCTAGCATTGCATCTCATCGTGCATGAGGGCTTTATACATAAATGTTTTAGAGCTAAATCTAAGCATACTTTTTAAGAGATACATTATGTGCTGTTTTCCTACAGTGAATGGAACTGTTTTCCATGCAGAGGGCTCTTAAAGTAGGTGTTTGGAACATACTTTCGAAAGATGTTTCTTACCATTGTGTTTAAGGTCTCATTGTGAGGGGCTTACATATACAGGTATATGTACACTTGGCAAAGGGGACCAATGGCTAATAGCTTTTTAATTTTTATATATATTTTTGAGATAAGGTCTCACTCTGTCACCCAGACTGGAGTGCAGTGGCACGGTCGTGGCTCACCACAGCCTTGGACCTCCTGGGCTCAAGTGATCCTCCTGCCTCAGCCTCCCAAGGAGCTGGGACCACAGGCATGTGCCACCATGCACAACTAATTTTTTCTATTTTTTGTAGAGACAGGGTCTCACTGTGTTGTCCAGGCTGGCCTCAAGCTCCTGGGCTCAAGAGATCCTCCCGCCTCGGCCCCCACGAAGTGCTAGGATTACAGGCATGAGCCACCGTGCATGGTGCTAACGGCTTTTAAAAAACTGTGCAATCTACAGCCTGATAAATCATAAATCATTTATACTTCTCCATTTGCTCAACCACCACTTTTTATGTGCCCACTGAATCCATGGCACTTTTCTAGGCTGCATGGTGGGGATATCAAGTAGAAGATACAGCCTCAACCTAGAGGGACCAATGATCTAATGATAGCAACAAGGTTCCATTTGTTGCCATCACAGATGAGAACTCCTAAGAAGCAAGTCAATGAACAAAGGGATTGCAAAGGCGGTATGAGTGTCCAGTTAGGAAGTGAGATGAGGTTCAGCAGGGAAAACAGCCTTTGTCCTGCAGTCATAATTTATGCAGAAGCCTGATCTGCCCTTGTACAAATTCTGTCAAGGATTTTTCCCCCCAACCCACCTGTTCAGCTGGTCTTCTGAATCTGTAAGACTGAACTATTTTTCAGAAAAATATTCAATAGCCCTTTGGGCTATTTTTCTATCCCACAGAGGCCACAAATCTGTATCAATTATAATAAGAAAGAGGGAAACTCCAGATGTGGTGAGCTGGAGGAACCTCAGGGCACTTCATTATGAATATTTAGACAGTTTTCCTCTTGTTATGAAAATTATGTCAATCTGTTCCCCAGCATGAGTTTCTGATGAATTTCAATATCATAAAAGCTTTTTTTTTTGAGAGGGTGGGGATGATAATGTTGTTTAACTAAATCCTGATCAGCTGAGTTTCACTTTCACTCAGAAAATACCAACTCATATCAACATTTTTAAAATCATCACAACTCTTAACCCTGATGTGAGCTAGTATTTTAGCATGCTAAGGAGACAGACATCTACGCAGGAAGGAGCTGCCCTCTTCTGCACTGCTGGGCAATTTTTGTTATAGTTTGTCTTCTGGCCAGAAGGAAGAGGGAAGGAGGTTGCTCAGATCCCAAGCTCAGGGTCATTTCTAATATGTAGTTGTTCAGTTACTCTGTGGCCTGTTACCTAAACATAGGTGTCGTATCAAAATCCCGAAGCAGGGAAATGGTCCAAATGAAAGGGGCTTTTTAGGGGGCTTCTTAGGGGTCTGGGGTGGCACTAAATGGAAATCATGGAAGAACAATTACCCCAGAATTTGCTCTTGACAACTGGAGACAGTGTGTGTGGGCTGAAACTGAAGAATTTTTTATTTTTTTTTTTTTTATTTTTTTTTTTTTTTGAGACAGGGTCTCACTCTGCCACCCTGCTGGAGTGCAATGGTATGACCTTGGCTCAATCACTGCTGCTTCAACCTCCTGGGGTAATCCTCCCATGTCAGCCTTCCAAGAAGCTGGTCTCAAACTCCTGGGCTCAAGTGATCCACTTGCCTCACTCAGCCTCCTAAAGTGCTAGGACGACAGCTGTGAACCACTGTGCCCAGCCCAACTGTAGAAATTCTTATCCTGGTGTCTATGAAAAATGTCTGTCAATAAACATCCCTCAAGCCTTTGATGACAGTAATAATTCCCTTTCCTGACCTGCTACCATTTACAGGCATATTAACATCTATACCCAAAGACACCTTTCTCATATTCCTACTGAATTGTTCACATCTTCCTTTTGGCTCTTCCATCAGCTGTTTAATTTTTGAATGCAGAAACCTTCCCCTCTGAATTGTAAAGCTTTTAGAACTGAATGAGAGGATGAAGATGCTGGGATAAACCCTGGGGTTTATCTCTAGTATAACCCTCTGACTTCACAGACAATGCAGATGATGAAGAGGAAGGCCAAAGGAATAAAATGACTTGCCCAAGTTCACATGGCTAGCTAATAACAGAGCTGGTCCTAGAATATGGGCTTCCTATAAACCCACTCTTTTGAGTAACCCATCCCCCACCATGCTGTTCCTAGAGGGCCAGGTATGTGGATGTAGTTAATAGACGCTTTTAGGACTGAACAAGGCTTGGGCTGGAGCCAGGATTCTCCCACATGCTTAGGCAAGCTGAGCATTTGGAACTGTGTTCATTTTCAAGCCCAGGAAGCCCCTCTTGGACCCCAGAATTACTCTAAAACTATACTGTCCACAGGGAGTAGGCAGACAGTTACCAGAGGCTGGGAAGGGTAGTTGGGGGCTGGGGGGTAGGAGGGATGGTTAATGGGTACAAAAAATAGTAAGAATGAATGAGACCTAGTATTTGATAGCACAAGAGAGTGACTATGGTCAATAATAACTTAATTGTACATTTTAAAATAAAGAGTGTAACTGGATTGTTTGTAACTCAATGGATAAATGCTTGAGGGGATAGATACCCCATTCTCCATGATGTGCTTATTTCACATTGCATGCCTGTATCAAAACATCTCATGTACCCCATAAATATATACACTTACTATGTACCCACAACATTGTTTTAAAAAGAAAATATTTTAAAAAATAAAACTACACTTTCCAATATGGTTGCCACTAGGCACACATGACTATTGAGTGCTTGAAATGTAGCTACTCCAAATTGAGGTATACTATGCCTATGAAATACATATGGGATTGTGAAGACTTCACATGAAGAGAGCAATGAAAGTATCTCATTTAATAATTTTACGTAGATAACATGTGGCGATAATATTTGGATATATTGAGTTAAATAAAAATACATTAAAATTAAGTCCAATTGTTTTTCCTTTTTTTTTAAACATGGCTACTAGAAAATTTAGAATTACATATGTGGCTCACACATGATATTTCTATTGGCTAGCACTGTTCTAAAACACAGTTAACCCCTCCCATTCATTAGCCTAATCCTTCCAAAAAGACTTGAGCCTCCTGCCTGCAGACATGCAGTGGTATCTGGAGATATTCAAGCAGAGATGTGTTGAAGATACCAGTGGGAAGTCAAGGGTAAGTAAAATTGGTCAAGTTCAAGTGGTTAGGCCTCTCCGACCTGAGGGCTCGTGAATCCCTAAAGCGCTTAATTTGCCACTCTCTAAAATCTTTCAGCCACCTTAACTGTGCAAAGTGCTTGTTATATATGGATAAACCCTAGCTCTTCATACGAGTGAGATACATATAGCAGGAGAGAACCACGTTCTGTAATAAGGGGAAAGAAAAAAACAAAAACAGGAGTTCTGAATCTAACCTGTGCCCACCCTAATGGTGGGGAATTGAATGAAATACAATTGTGTACATTTTTCTGATGCGTTTGCAAAAGCTATCAAGGTTATATAGGGATTTCTAAAAAACATTTCTGTTATTGGGAAATCCTTAAATGCTTTTAAATGTGAAACAGATAACTAAGGAAACTCACTCTTTGTCCTGCTGTCCATTTCTGTTTTTGATGAGTCTGGAGTTGCTGTAGTTGCAGGTAACTTCTTCCCAATAGTCTGAGGGGAAAAACAGATGATTTTACTTATCAAGATGATTGTCTCCATTAAGCAAAGGAATAAGATCCAGATCATAATGACAAAATGCTCGAAATTGGTTTAAAAAGCCACATTCTTTGGTTTATGCCCTGCTCTGTATACTGGCTGCCCCCCTTTAATAGGTTTCATCCTCAATGACAAACAAGGGAGAAAAATAGGTAAAAAGGGCTTTATCCTTGTAGGCACTTAGTAGCGTTTATTCTCTTTCTTCCTTTATACTCTTATAAAAGGTTGACTATTTTTAGCAAAGAAAACAGGCATAGTTCCCCTCAGTTTATGAGAAGCTGACTCAGTCTATGGAGGTACAATAGCTGGCCCAACGGAGATGCTCAAAAGTCACTGCAGGCTGGAAAAATGGAAGTAGGAGGGAAGAAATCAAAAGGAAGGGATACAGGAATGGAGGCCCAGGAGGGCAGGACGGGCAGGCAGGTGGATGGGCAGGCAGAAGTCAGGATGTCCAGGACAGTGTACCCTATTGCATCTCTGTCTAGCCATCTAGAATTCCACCTGCCTCCCAGAGAAAGGGGAGATACTCTCATGTCCTCTAAACAGATCTACCTGCCTGCCACAAAGGCAAAAATGAGTCCACCAAGCAGCTCTTTTCCTTATAGTCTTTTAAGCCTCCAAGGGCTTAGAAAAAATCCAGCGCCTCAGACCCTATGCTTCCACTGACTAGTTCAAAAAAAGAAAGATTATGAGTTTGTTTTGAGTTCATTTCCTTTCCTTCATTTGCGGCTAATTCTATTAACATTATTTATGAACTGTCCATAGAGAAGACTGGATCTTATCTCTGCCTAAAGATGTTCCTAAAAACACAGGCAACTCAGCAGCTCAAAAATAGAAAGAAATATACAGATCCATTGGTTCCCAAGGCGAGGTCTGTTCCCACTCTTCCCCTTTGCTACCACACGTGTGTGATCATGATTGATGCCTGAGGGAAAATGTCTATTGATACCAGGGCAACAGCTGTCACGACCACGTAGCTGGGGAAATCAACCTCTCCTGCAACAATGAAGGGTTTTGCCAGTGAGAATTCCAGCCACTGGGAAAATCAAACATCTCTGGCCCTTGAACACATGAAGAGGAATGAACTGCATAATTCAAAAACTGGCATGGTAGAATTTTTCTTCAAAAAAAACTGATTCACCACAGTTTTTAATTTGAAAAAGTTATTCATGCTTCAAACGTTGAACCCAACATTAAATATGAATAAATCACAGAAAGAGGATAAGATAAATCAAATCCTCAGCCCTTCATGAATTTTTAAAAACATTTGTGACAGAAAGCCTTTACGTCTTACACGGTGACATTTTTATTTAGTGCCGCAGGGCCTTCTGTATTGGATAAAAAATGGAAACCAAAATAATATGCCACCTCTAAACTGCCGCTAAGTACTCAAACTAATAACATTTGATGATTCCAGGGGAACATCAGGGATGAAAAAAGCTTGATGTTATTCTGGCATCAGGTCAAATTTGATGAAAAACTGTTCTTAGAATTATTTTGAAAAATCAGGTACCGATAGTAAAAATAGCAGCTCTCAAAGTGTTCATTTCATTCACATTCCTGTTCACACTTCTAGCAGCATCCCTGCCAACATATTTGTTTTTCCCTTTGTGGGGCTGGAATAAAGCATCACCATTGTTAACACATTAGGAAGAGGAAAACAAAAACAACCAGTGCTTCTGGTATCACTGAACAAAGAATTCAGGAAAGGCAATAGTAAACACTGTCCCTACTCCTGACTTTGTTTGCTTCCCTGAAAAAAAAAAAAAAGGACACATGTAACGGTTTGGGCATTAAACCAACAGGTTTAGAGAGACCTTCAACAGGTTGCACATTTTTACAACTTCCCCTTCTTTAGTAACAGAAGAAAGTATTGCCCATCATCTTTGATATCCTGGCTTACCAAAACTTCCAAGCTACCAGACATCAAGCAAGGCCACCAATTCAATGCACTTACTTTGGTACAGAAGGACACAAAAAAGTAAGGCTCACTGTGGTTTGTTTCCTTCCTATTTCAGAAAACACAGCACACTGGCCTCTGCATGGATCCCAGCGACAGGGGTGATGGTGAAGCTGGTATTATCCTCATCTTCTGGGAAGTGCTGGCCTTAAATCTTCCCTTCTCCTTCATGGGCCATAGTTAAAAGTCTAGAATATGGCAAAGTTTCTCCCCATCTCAGCCTGTTCCTGCCAGTGCTCCGGAGATGGGAATTGGCCTAGTGTTTCTCTTGTCTCTAGGACCCAGACCTAGAGAAGTGTGGTCCCTGCACCAGCAGCACCTGAGAACTTGTTAGTAAAGCAAATTCCCAGGCCCCACCCCAGGCTTTCTCAATCAGAAACTCTGGGGATGGTTCCCAGCAGTCTCTAGGAACACACCCTCCGTGGGATTCTGATGCATGCTCACATTTGAGAACCACTGACCTAGATGTGGGAGGGAGTCCATTAGTATTAATCAAATGCCTTTTCTTGGATTAAAACTTCAGGGGCCTATTCTCATACCTAGATAAATTATGAAACATCTTTTTAACTCTTCTCCCTCTCTTCTCTCTCTCCTTTCCCACCAAACACATCTGCCTTCTCTATTCTCACTGGCCTAAGAACTTGTCATTGCTACTAAATGACTCAGTTCAGAGAGGAACTTGAGTACAGTAGATCAGACAATGTGACAACATTGCTGAGGGAAACATGGGGGAGGATAGTTGGCCACTGAAGGGATGGGTAGGTGGAAGGAAGGAGGAGGACAGAAAGAAAGAGAAAGAGGGAAGGAAAGAAGGAGAAGGAGGGAAGGAAGGAGAAGAAGAAAGGAAGGGAAGAAGAAAAGAGAAGGAGGGAAGGAAGGAAGGAAGGAGGGAAGGAGGGCAAGAGGGAGGAGGGAAGGAAGAAAGTTAGAAAGATGAAGGAAGGAAGGAGGGAAGGAAGGAAGGAGGGAAGGAGGGAGGGAAGGAGGGAGGGAAGGAAGGAAAGAAAGGAAGAAAGAAAGGTGGCTTTGAACCAAAACTGGAAGGCTGTATCTAGCCTCTCTGGGGACAGACTGCCCAGAAGGCTAAGCAGGCAGACTCTCATGACTGTATGAGCCTTCATAGAGGCCCAAATCCTGTTTCTCCTTCTCAGTGTTACCCTTTACTGGCATTTTAGGTGAGGTGTTTCTTCAGGTAGAAGACTGGCTCACACATTAAAGGACATTTAGCAACCCTTGCCACTACCCACTCAAAGTCTATAGTGTCCCCCAGTCATTGCATGTACCCTGAACACCACACACCTTTCCAAACATCCCTAGTTGAGAACCTCTAGCCCCCGCCCTTCCCTACATACAGGAGCAAAGAAAAACGGTGGTGAATTATTGCTTTCCCGTCAGCCTTCCAGCTTCCCTCTACCTCTGAAAACATCTTTGGCTAATTGGGCTTAAAATGAATAGAATCCCAAATTTCAAAGGGCATGCCTCATGAACGCAATGTCTAGCTCCAGTACACAGATATCTCATGGATAACTGAAGGTCAGCTACACTGCAGGGCTAAGTGGACAGAACAATCAGGAATCGCATCCATACATCTCTCCTCCAACTAGAAGGCAACAAAGAGGGATGTTAGGCTTGCAGTGGCTGGGGAAGAGGATACAGGATCTCCCCTTTGGCTTCCTCCACAGTGTTCTTGCTCCCCTGAGTGCCTTAAGGAAGGTGGCTTATCCACGACAAACACCAGCCATGCACTAAGGGGCTGTGTTGACATGCTCAGGACACAGCCCATTCACCTCCCGGGGGATCTGGAAACAGACCCATTTTGCCATATGACTTTATAGAACAGACTCTCAGGTTCTTCTCCCTAACTTGGCCCATTATTTCCTCTTCCTTCTGTGAGGCAGCTGAAGACTTCCCAGTACACACACCCACATTAGTCAGATCTGCTTGGTCTGGGAAAGGATGTGCATGTGGTTGGATGGATAGAGCTGTATCTGTATCACTGTGGATCTTCTTCTACACATGGTAATTACCAGGCTGCTGTCAACTTTTGTCTTTCTTGCCACATACCTATCTCCATTTAAAACCTGACTTTTAAAAATCAATAATTCAGAAAGTTCATTCCTTTGAACATTTAATAATGTAACTACCTCTCCAATTTGCTGTCTTGCCAAAAGCACTAAATAAACGTTTCAGGATTTTCGTGTACAGTGGGAGTATCATATGTACTCCTAGCGCTACAAGATCCAGTGGTACAGCATCAAGACAGATAACCACCATATGATTTCAGTTAGTGGAGCAACTAATTTGTTTTCTCTGCCAAAATGAAGAAACTAATGCTTACGGGAAAGGCAATCGCTGGATTGGAGTCCAGGGGAATCTAGTTCCCAAATGACTAATGTATTTGTTTCTTTGTGACTGCAGAACGTGAGACCAAGATCCTGCTCAAATCAAGAGTATAAAATTCCTTCTCCTACTTTATTCCAATTCACATGCAAACTCCAAGCTTCCAATTATAGGACAATGCTAAGGAGAAGAAAATCTCTGAAAATCTCCTCTCCAAGAATACCACATACAACTCTCATATCACAAAGGCAGCCAGGTTCAATGGGTAGTGGGAGCAGAGAGAGAGAGAGCTCCTTGCATTCTAGCAGCTGATAAAGCTCCCCTGTCCAGAGGCCTGGCTTTCTGGCAGCTATTATAAGAAGAAGATGGTGGTCTGAGAAGCTATCCATAGATAGTACTCAAACACTCACCTTATTAGTCCTTTCTCACGCTGCTAGTAAAGTTATGCCTGAGACTGGGTAATTAATAAAGGAAAGAGGTTTAATTGACTCACAGTTCAGCATGGCTGGGGAGGCCTCAGCAAACTTACAATCATGGCAGAAAGGGAAGCAAATATGTCCTTCTTCACATGGCCACAGGAAGGAGAAGAAAGAGTGACGTGGGGAAAAGCCCCTAATAAAACCATCAGATCTCATGAGAACTCACTCACTATCACGAGAACAGCATGGGGGGACCGCCCCCATAATCTAATCACCTCCCACAAGGTCCCTCCCCCAACACATGGGGATTACAATTCAAGATGAGATTTGGGTGGGGACACAGAGCCAGACCATATCACTCACACAAAGTCAAACACAAGAGATCACTTTTCAAACAGCTGCTAAGACACAAGATAAAGATGACTCTTTGATGGCATTCCTTTTACAACACTGGTATCTGAGAGGATTCCTTCCCTTTCTGTTCAGTACAGATTTATCAAGTGCCCATTCAGTGTGAGGCAGGAAAGTGGGGAAAAAAGGCAGGAGGATGGTGAACATCAAAGCAAACACTGAAACTGCAGTTGTGGGGTTGGTTCTCCAGAATGGTGTGCTGAGGGGTGCCCAACCATTCCACACAGTTATCCTGAATCCTGCTCATATATGGGATACAGAGAGCTACAGGACACAGTGACAGGAGGAGGGTCAAAACAGTTATCTATATATGACCATATCTGTAACTTTTCAGTTTTTGTTTACCATAATTCAGAAAGATCCCTAAACTGCTATTAAAACTCACTGTAAACTTTTTATATTTATTTTTACATGTCCCCTTCATGAACACCTATGACAGATGGCATTATGAAAAGTCTTCTTGGCTCTCGGTGAGGAGTGGTAGGCACAGAGCAGAAGCCCTGTGAGCCAGCTCAAGTCAAAGCCAGAAAAGAACTAGCACAAAGGAGTGTCCTTACAATGGGGTGCCTTGTGTGCTTCCCCGGAAGCTTTTCTGCTCCCTTAGAAATTTACATTAGAAACTGTCATCTCATCTACATTTGGTGGGCCCAGCTTAAACTATTTGATATCAATAGAAGATACACCAGAGTAAAATACAACGCAAAATTCTAAAAATAAAGCGTATGGTCCGGTAAAAGAAAAAAAACTACACTTGTAATTCCATTCCAGGACCAGGGTTTACCTTTGTAACACCTCACATACTGTTAGGCCAATTCCAACTTCTCCAAAGGGGTGTGCTTCCCAGTCTATTTTTAAACTTGGTTATAAGGAAAAATAAAATTTAAAAAGTAATTTTCTGATTACGAAATTGGGCTTAAGACTTAGAGCTATTCATATGATGTTTATTTCCTTGGTTGCCTCAAAAAGTTAGAGAATTCAAATATATTAAACCTCTTTGCCCACAGTTAAAGACCTTGTCAGATTCACAGCTGCTGTAGAAGCAGTTGTCAAGTATATCACACTTGCTGGGGGCATTGGCTCACACCTGTAATCCCAACACTTTGGGAAACTGAGGTGAGAGGATCACTTGAGCCAGGAAGTTCAAGACCAGCGTGGGCAACATAGCAAGACCTCATCTCTACAGTCAGTCAGTCAGTCAGTCAGTCAATCAATCAATCCATCAAATATGTCACAGTTAGCAGTTTAACTACCTTTCTTGCCCTTTTCCTTCAGAAATAGTGCCCACCTCGAGAGTAGGACCTAAATGCTCATTATTCTCTTATCCTTACAAAATGAGAGGTCGGTGAAGTGTCTGTTGAGTGGAGCAGGGAGTAGTGGGATACCATTCACTCACCCTTTGCCCTAGCATTAGCACCTACCACAACAGGCAGAAAGAGAGGAGACGTCCTCCTTGACAAACCAGAGAGCCTCTACGCCTCTTAGATTAGAGCCCTACTGTTTCAATCACTGCCATGTACCAGCTCTTTCCAACCTGGTTACTGGTGACAGCACATTTGTCTGGGATGTCTTCCGGGGCCTCGGTTGCCCTTGCCTTGCTTCCTCTTGTCCACCCCACCTCAACCCCCAACACACATCACCTATCCTCCTATTAATTATTGGTTGCTATAGAGAAGAATCTAATCTCAGCTATGTTTCCAGTGAACATCTCTCTGCCTGACTTCCAAATACTCCTCATATTAGCCTGCTCTCTCACATTCTCTCAAGTTCCATATCTATTATGATCAAAAGACTCTCACTTTGATGGGTGATTATCACCCACGTATGCGTACACACACACACGCCCCATTCTCTTGTTCTGAAATCATTTTCCAAAGTGTACCCTCCCTCCCTGACACAATCTCCAAAACACTTAACCCCATAATCTGATAAATTTGGCAAAGACTGAATACTCGGTCTAATCAATTCATCACAGCATATTAAAGGCTATGAAAAGTCCTTCAGTTACTGTTTAACTTTATCCTTAACTTTATCTCAGTATATTCCAAACTTACCTGACTACAGAATTCCTACTTCTTGTGACACCCATGAACACATCACAAGAATGAGTAGTCTATGGAATAGTTGAGTGAACATCATCACCTCCTCTTCCTAAAATTCTCTTGCCTATCCTGTCACCTAGGCTCATGACTTGAAATTCACCTCTTATTGCACCTTCTCATATCCAACCCATCACCAAGGCTGTGCTTTCAGATTTATCTCCTTCCTCTTTGATGCCAGTCTAGAGCCTTGTTACCATCATGGGGACTACTTCAATAATTTTCTTTTTGTTGTTGTTGGTTTTTTTTTGTTTGTTTTTGAGACAGGGTCTTGCTCTGATTCAGGCTGGAGTGCAGTGGCACAATCACTGCTCACTATAGTAGCCTTGGACTCTTGGACTCAAGCGATCCTCCCACCTCAGCCTCCCAAGTGGCTGGGACCACAGGTGTGTACCACCCTGCCTGGCTAATTTTATTTTTCAGTAGAGACAAAGTCACTATGTTGCCCAGGCTGGTCTCAAATTCCTGGGCTCAAGCGATCCTCCTGCCTTGGCCTCCCAAAGTGCCGGGATTACAGGCATGAGCCATCACACCAGCCTTTTCAATAATTTTATAGACAAAGATCCTATCCCCAGATTCCATCTTCTTCATTTGATCTCCCACAAGACTCAATTTTTAATCATCTTCTGCCATCATCTCTTACACACCCCTACACCAATGCACTCAGAATATATAATGCTTCTTGGCCAGGCACGGTGGCTTACGCCTGTAATCCCAGCACTTTGGGAGGCCGAGGCAGGCGGATCATGAGGTCAGGAGGTCGAGACTGGCCTGACCAACATGGTGAAACCCCGTCTCTACTAAAAATACAAAAATTAGCTGGGCGTGGTGTTGTGCACCTGTAATCCGAGCTACTCAGGAGGCTGAGGCAGGAGAATCACTTCAACCCGGGAGGCGGAGGTTGCAGTGAGCCAAGATCACACCACTGCACTCCAGCCTGGGTGACAGAGTAAGACTACGTCTGAATATATATATACACACACATATATATACATACACATATATATATGTCTAAATACACACACACACACACACACACACACACACACACACACACACACACACACAGCTTCTTAACAGCTGTTCATATAAATTCCCAAAGTTCAGAAGAAACTCCAGGGTTTACTTCTGATTGCTGCTGCAACTTGCCATGTCTCCTAACAGCTATCTTTCTCTTCAACTCTCAAGACTAATGGGAAACTTTCTCTGAATACAAAACACCTGGTCCCATCTTAGATTCTTCAATATTTATTTGTCTTTTAGGGTTTACTCTTTCAATCTGTCCAATAAAAACTTTAGTATCTATCATTCTACTGAACATATAGAGATGAAGTCTGTTTTATATTTGTATATTAGACATACACACACAGAGGGACATGTGTGTCTGTGTGTATACCAGTAGAATTTGAGCCAAATTCTATCATTTATCATGTAGTTTAACTTCTGCCAAAATCTGATCATTTGCTTCATTTGCTTGCTTTTTGAACACCTCTAGAGACCATGTTCTAAAAAACTGGAAAGAAGCATATGACAGTAACAGGAGGGGTGAGACTGTCTCTTCGTTGAAGCAAAATGACTTTCTAAGATTTAGTAGGGCCTTCTCATGATGGGGAAATGCAGTGTCGAAGATGGGATCAAAACCTACTCATGTGCTAAATGAAGTGGAGAAGGTACAGTCAGACAATATTAAAATCATGGAAGGCAGCCCTCTAAACGTCTGACAGTATATGAAAACACTGTTTATATTTTACCCCCACTGTTCCCGAGAGAGGAGCCTGCATGCTATTTTGTTGTAGGATCATCTTATTCACAGAGGATGAACGAGCCAGAGTAAATTTCCATTTCATATACCACATTGGCAAAACATAATTTGCCATCATGCTTTAAAATGTTTAAAATGCTATTTTCTGTTGTTATGACAGATAAAAGGAAATCATAAACATTCCTCCTACTAGAGGATTAGTTTTTTATCTTTTGATTAACAATGCCTTCCTTTTAGATATATTTTGAAAGTTTAAGATGGTGGGTAAGGGAGAGAGAAAGATGATATGGCTGGAATGAGTATCACGGGGCCAGTTGGGGTTTTATTTGTCCAGTGCTTTATCATGAAACATGCTGTACACATGTGGACTAAATCTTAATTTTCCCATGAAGTAGCTGTATGAATTCAACTAGCATACAAAGATCTTTTCAGATCCAAAATATTTTACGTATTCAATCATGACATAATCCAGGCCTTTACCTGGAGATGGCACCTCCTCCCCCAATATATTTGAATCCCATCTCACCTTTAAGAGTCAACTAAGGTCCAGTTGGCTAAAAGTAGCAGCTTTCAGGAATGTGTGGGACACACAGACTGACATGTATCCCACACTTGCTCATGACATTTCTATGTGTAAGAGATACCTGAGGTCAAAGCCATATTTTCTTCAGTTTTTCTTTATACCTCTAAAATGAAGGTTGGATTCAATTACCTTAATTCATTCATTCCTCATTCATTCATTCATTCATTCATTCATTCAGCATTCTTTTCTAGAACTACCATGAGCCTCAATCTAAGCCAGATGCTGTATCTACAAAGGTGAGATGGGCAGAGTCCTAGATCTTTAAAGGGTTCAAAATTTGGCAGCAGAAGCACTATTCACAATAGCAAAGTCATGGAATCAACCCAAGTGCTTATCAACAGTGGATTGGATAAAGAAAGGAGGTGCATATAGATCGTGAAATACTACACAGCCATAAAAAAGAATGAAATCATGTCCTTTGCAGCAACATGGATGCAGCTGGAGGCCATGATCCTAAGCAAATTAACATGGAAACAGAAAACCAAGTACTACATATTCTTATTTATTAGAGGGAGCTAAACAGTGGGTGCAGATGGACATAAAAATGGAAACAATAGACACTTGGGACTCCAAAAGTGGGGAGGAAGGGAGGGGGGCAAGGATTGAAAAACTATCTATTGGGTACTATGTTCACTATTTGGGCGATGGGTTCGATAGAAGCCCAAACTCCAGTATTATGCAATATACCCATGTAACAAACCTGCACATGTACCCCCGACCCTAAAATTAAAAAGAGAATATAGCAGCAGAGACAAAATCATTAACAGAGCATCACAATACAAAGGGATAAGCACTACGATAAAGGCACCTATAGAACAAGAAAACAAAGAGCTATTAACAAACGTTCATGGGAAAATATGCCTCACAGCAATGATGCAACTTGCATTAAATTCTAAAGGATGGGTAAAATTTTGCCAAGTAGAGACTGGTGGGAAGGGTATTCTAGCTGAAGAAAAGCAGGAGGCAAGGCAGGTATGTGTGCAGGGAATGGGGACTTCCCAGCACAGGATCGAGGGTGGCAGGGATTCGCAGTGGGAGTTGAAGGGAGGTGACTGGAGAGCTGCTTGGGCTCAAAAGGCCAGCAAGGTAAGTTAGGGCCAATGTTACAGTTTTTGCTTTTGCTTTGTCTTAAAAGCAACCAGTAGTGATGAAAAATAAGTAGAGGCATGGCCCAATCAAATTTGTGAATTTAAGACAGATGATCTGGTGGTATTGGGAGGAATGAAGAAGAAAAGCAAGGACATGCAAAAGCCAAGAAGACAATGGGGAGGTTGACACAATAATCCACCTAAGGCAGTAAAATTAAAGATGAAATTAAGGTTTGAGAGATACTTAGGCTGCCTATCTAAAGGCAGTTCATAGTTTACAGTCACTACAGGGATAAATCAGTTTTGGTGAATTGGTTTGACTATGATGGAAAAATTTCCAATTCTATTATGCCCTTAAGTCCACATATATGCATGCCACATAGTTACTGGGTGTCAATCAAGTGCAAACAACAATACTAAGTTCAGACTCCGATTTAGAGAGTTAGAGAGTCAGAGAGACAGATATGGTGGCTCAAGGAGGCATCGTGGAGAATATACCCTAATGGGAAGCATCACAGTGCAGGTGTCTCTCAGTGCTCTGATGCTAGTGTCGAAACGTTTAGTGGAAAAATAATGGGCCTGTAATCATTTTGAACAGTTAGCTTCCTGTTAAAACACCAATCAATCTACCATTTGAAAACTAAAACATTTTAAAAAACATAGACATGTGAGAAACTCCTGACACATATGAAAAAGCATCTTTCTAATCTGACAAATTTAAAGTAAACAGTTTAGTCAAATGTCTCCAAAAATGTCTTGAGCTGAAGACAAAAATGGGAAATTTCTTTCCCCAGCAGAAATTTCCAGAGCTTTTCTGTCTTTCAGAGTAGAGAAGGGAAACAAAATAGTTTCAATCAGAAAAGAGGTAAATGCCTGCAACAGTGTTTTGTTGTTTTGTTTTCAACCAAAAAACTGCTACTTAAAAGGCTTATTATGCCTGTAATCCCAACACTTTGGGAGGCTGAGGCAGGAGGATTGCTTAAGCTCAGGAGTTGGAGGCCAGCCTGGGCAACACAGTAAGACCTTATCTCTACTAAAAAATTCCAAAAAATTTAGCTGGATGTGGTGGTGCACACCTGTAGTCCCAGCTACTTGGAGGGCTGAGGCGGGAAGATCGCTTGAGCCAGGAAGTTGAGGTTGCAGTGAGCCCCGATCGTGCCACTGCACTCCAGCCTGGGTGACAGAGCAAGATCCTGCCTCGAAAAAAAAAAAAAAAAGACTTAGGGCATACAATCGAATATTATTCAGCCTTAAAAAGGAAGGAAATTGGCCGGGCATGGTGGCTCACGCCTGTAATCCCAGCACTTTGGGAGGCCGAGGTGGGTGGATCATGAGGTCAAGAGATCAAGACCAACCTGGCCAACATGGTGAAACCCTGTCTCTACAAAAAATACAAAATTTAGCTGGGCATGGTGGCATGCACCTGTAATCCCATCTACGCGGGAGGCTGAGGCAGGAGAATCGCTTGAACCCGGGAGGCGGAGGTTGCAGTGAGTCGACATCACACCACTGCACTCCAGCCTGGCAACAGAGCGAGACTCCATCTAAAATAATAATAATAATAATAATAATAATAGAAATTCTGACACATGCTGCAACATGAACCTAGAAGACATTAAAGTAAAAATAAGCCACTTACAAAAAAGACAAATACTGTATGATTTCACTTTTATATAAGGTACCTAGAGTAGTCAAAATTAGAGGCAGAAAGTAGACTGGTGGTTGCCAGGGGCTGGGGGTGGGGGCGGGTAGCTCAATGGGTATAGAGTTTCAATTTTGCAAGATAAAAAAAGTTCTGGAGATGGATGGTGGTGATGGTTGCACAGCAGTGTGAATGTCCTTAAAGCCACTGAACTACACACTTAAAAACGGCTAAGCTGCTTATGTTATGTATATTTTACCACATATTCTTCTTTTCCTGTAAGCCTCTCTCTGGCCAGGAATGTCGATTAGAATGGGTGGAAAAAAAAGTTGCTCATGAGGCTGTGATATCCTGATACTTAAGATTCGACCACAAAATAATCAGGGGTGTAGTCAGTATCTAATGAGGTGAGTCAGAGAACAAACCCATCTTTTTCCAGAAGCTTTCCATCTCAGGGATGCCTGCTGTGTTCATTCACCTCGGTCTTATCTGAAACACTCCTTCTACGGCTCTGAAAGATAACCTACTGCTTCCATAAAGACTACCTCTAAATCTCGCTAACACTAAATAGCTCTGACTTTAGTATCTTAGGACTCATTCTTTACTTTCATCATCTGCTCCACAGATTCCCAAAGAATAACATTTATTCCTTTTTTTCCCCATTTTCTGGGCTCCTCTATTTTATAGAAAAAAGGCAGAGAACATTACATCAGGTTACTTAAAAAGGCTCAATGATATCTTTCTTTCTTTCTTTCTTTTTTGAGATGGTGTCTTGCATTGTCACCCGGGATGGAGTGCAGTGGCGCGATCTCAGCTCACTGCAACCTCTGCCTCCTGGGTTCAAGTGATTCCCGTACCTCAGCCTCCCGAGTAGCTGCAGGCATCCACCACCACGCCCGGCTAATTTTTGTATTTTTAGTAGAGATGGGGTTTCACCATAATGGTCAGGCTGCTCTCGAACTCCTGACCTCGTGATCCACCTGCCTCGGCCTCCTAAAGCGCTGGGATTACAGGCGTGAGCCACCACACCCGGCCAATGATATCATTTTTATATTTTGTTTTTATTAGAAATAATGAGTTCAAGCCACATACTTATTCAAAAAAGGAGCTTCCTAAATACAGCCAGAGGTAAGGTACACTTTTTTTTTTTAGGAGACAGGATCTTGCTCTGTCACCCAGGCTGGAGTGCGGTGGTGCCATCATAGCTCACCGCAGCCTTGACCTCCTGGGCTCAAGCGAGCCTCTCAAGTAGCTGAGACTACAGATACACACCATCATGCCCAGCTAATTTTTTTTTTTTTTTTTTTTTTGAGACGGAGTTTCACTCTCATCGCCCAGGCTGGAGTGCAATGGCACAATCTCAGCTCACTGCAACCTCTGCCTCTCGGGTTCAGGTGATTCTCCTGTCACAGCCTCCTGAGTAGCTGGGAATACAGGTGCCCGCCACCACGCCTGGCTAATTTCTGTATTTTTAGTAGAGACAGGGTTTCACCGTGTTGGTCAGGCTGGTCTCGAACTCCTGACCTCAGGTGATCCGCCCGCCTTGGTCTCCCAAAGTGCTAGGATTACAAGCATGAGCCACTGTGCCCGGCCACATGCCCAGCTAATTTTTAATTTTTTTTTCTAGAGACAGGGTCTCACTATGTTGCCCAGGCTGGTCACCAACTCCTGGGCTTAAACAAGAGACCTTCCCACCTCGGCCTCCCAAAGTGCTGGGATTACAGGCATGAGCCGCTGCACCCAGCCAAGGTCCACATTTGATACGTCTTCTAGATGTATAGCAAAACATTTAGAAAGATGATTCAAAGGTGCTTCAAGAATGGAGATCCCAAAACAGATTAAATTAAACTCAGGACACTCCAGTTACCACTTAGTAAGACATATTCAACAATGAGGGGTAAACCCATATTGTATGCCTTTCACGAAAATATCCTAGATGTCAACTGTTGGAATTCTCTCTCACCTCCCCCATGTTCCTACTGAACTCACTTTGAATCTCTAAAACAGCATTCACTGTCCTCTGTCTTATATTTACGGCTGCTTCTCTATGTGCCTGTTGAATCAACTGGACTATAAATGCTGGAGGAGGAGGACTGGGTTCTGGTAATCTTTGTATCTACCCATGTGCCTTGCACAGGAGATGCTAAATATTCTTAATTTACTTCAGTCAACAGGAAACTCAACATCTATCACAAAATATTTAGATTTATGGAGCAAGGCCTGAGTGCAATGAGTTATCTAGGCACTAGGGACCTAAGAATGGAATGAATAAACCCGTGCCACTTTCAGCACCTAGTGGTAAGACTGAATTAGTATTAAGAAGACTTACAGTTATGCAATCTTGTGGAAGCTACTTAACCTCTCTGTGCCTCAGTTTTCACTTCTGAAATGGACATAACAATATACATCTCATAGGTTTTCTAGGTAGGTAACGTGCTTAGCTATTATTACTGTTATTGAATTTTACTGAATTAAAAACTCCATCTTCATAATGCTTCTTTATGAATTCTAGTTACAGAGAATGATGGTTTCGATTACAACTTTTTGAAACAGCAGGTTAACTGCTCCATTCCTCCGCTTGGGGACTTATGAGCAAGAAGCAACTTTTACAAGAGAATTACACAGCACAGACATGCTGGGAGGAAAGCGATAACTGAAAAATGGAAAGAGAAGGAAAGCAACAGCCATCACCACAGAAGTCATTGCTGAGGAGGAAAAAGCTAATGGAACAAAGAGCTTTCAGGTCAAGAAGGCATCAGTTAAGGTGGTGCCTACAGTGAGTGGCTGGAAGACCATCCCAGGAGCCCCTCAAGTGCGGGTCCATGCCAACCGCTTTTGGCTGCATCCAAACTTATCTACTGTCAATGATGGAAAAACAACAAGGCATGTGTCTGGGAAAAATGGGCTGTTGTCAGAGAACAGAAAGCCTTTTATTGAAACTTTTGATACTCAGGAGCAAACACACCACCATAGAAAATTACCCCAAGCCATCTTTTACAAAGCTTGGCATCCATTCAATAAGGGATGAAGAAATCCTAAATTGCCAGGCCAGATACTCCTCCCGATGCAGTTAAGAAACAGGGGCCAGATGAGACCATCAACTCATGTAGTACAGATTTCTAAAGCCACTAGTGGAAATAGCTGCCAGAATCTTAGACATGAAAAGTTGAATTCATAGTCCTTTACCTGGAATTGGCCAGGCCTCCTGCCAAAGGCTTCTCTTAAAGGCTTCTTTCAAGATTAGTAAGGAAGGGAGAACTGGAATCCTGTTCAGATCCTATAGGGAGTACATTAATTCAACAAGCCTTTGCAGAATGCAGCCCACAAGCCCAAACTGCTTTCCCACGGTATTTTTATGTTTATATTGTAAAGAAAATGTTGCGTTCTCAGCTATAACATGGTAGATTTAAACATAATATTGATGGGAATCTACACAACCACCAAATTCCAGTTCTCCCAGATCTGGTCCTCTATGTATCTAGAGCCTTAAAACTGAGCATTACACACAGCCTTTCAAAGAGATGTTTACAAAAAGTTTGTAATGACATGGGAAATTCTATATAATGCGAAGTGGAAAAGATACAAAGTTATGTGTGTGGAAAAAATTATGTGTGTGGTATGATCTCAACCAGTTAAAAATGTATGGCAAAAGGACTGAAAGTAAATATTTTAAAAAGTTAACAGTGATTGCCCCAGGGTGATTAAATTATCAGTTCTTTTTAGCTTTTTACTTTTTTTTTTTTTTTTTACTTTTAATGTTTCTACAAACTAGTTATTACTTTTAAAATCAGAAAAAATAAAGGTTGTTTTTTTTTTTTTTTTTGAGATGGAGTTTCGCTCTGTTGCCCAGGCTGGAGTGCAGTGGCGCAATCTCGGCTCACTGCAACCTCCGCCTCCCGGGTTCAAACAATTCTCCTGCCTCAGCCTCCTGAGTAGCTGGGATTACAGGCATGCGCCACCACGCCCAGCTAATTTTTGTATTTTTAGTAGAGACAGGGTTTCACCATGTTGGCCAGGCTGGTCTTGAGCTCCTGACCTCAGGTGATCGACCTGCCTTGGCCTCCCAAAGTGCTGGGATTACAGGTGTGAGCCACTGCGCCTGGCCAGAAAAAATAAAGTTCTAAGAAAATAGCATACACTGAGGTAGCGAAAAATGATGTTCTACCCCTCCACGTTATTGATGTCTTTCCATAAGGTCTGATTTGGTTTGCAACATCTCCCAACTAGAAATCATATGCAACTTTCGCTTGTGTGTCATTATATTTCCTTCTCCAAGTTATTAGTAAGGATGTTAAGAACATCAGATGTAAAATGAGTCATGACGGTAATTCGAAAGACACCACCCATATAGAATATTCCCTGCCATTTATCATCACCCTTTACTACTTATAGTTTTTCACAGTTAATATCTTCAGTGACTAGTAGATGACGTAATTTCCAATTCATGCTGTTCCAAATAAAGTATTGAGACATTGTATCAAAGGTTTTCAACCTCAAAAACATATTTCCTGCTCTTCTAATTAAACCCATGGATTCCTTATTCATACATCTGTAAGGGACTGAAAAAAAGAGTTAACTTCACTTTGTAACGTTTTTCATATATGCTCAAGGATAATGCTTATAGATTCCTTATCTCCCAGTATTTGAAGAAGTATTGATTTAAAGGCTGTGATCTATTTGCAGAGGATCCATAGCTTAATTGTTCAGTTTTCTAGCAGTTCTCTAGTTCTTCATGAGTAAAAATTCTTTTGAAACACAAATCAAAGTAATTACAGTTTCTCAAATGGGAGAAAAAACAAGTGTGATAAAAACCAGGCTCCCCAACTTTTGAGGTTCCACTTTTTTTCTCTATTACTCTTAGAACTATTTACTTCAGTATATCATAATTTTAAAATTATACAGATTTCACAGATACTTTCATTTCTCAGCTATTTGACAAGCATCTCCACTTAACATGAACATACTTTGATTTTGCTGACTTCAAAAACCAGGACTGACTTTTTTTTTTTTTTTTTAATGGGATTCAAGTTTGAGGTGGGGACAGATTCAGTAAATGTAGTTAAGATGAACCTTTTTGTAGAGTAAATTCTGGTCTGGTGAAGCAAAAGGTCAATAAAGTCTATACTTGGCTGTCATTCATATTCATTCATTCTTCCATTCATTTTAACTTCAGTTTAACAGCAAGTCTTGGGAGGAACAGGAGTCTTAAGGTTGTAAGTTATCTTTTAAGATGCCTGAGTTTTAGGCAAATTAAATCCTCATTATCTGAATAAATGGTAAGTCTTTCATTATTCATTTTGCATGTTCTCATCTTCCTGTACTAAAATATTTCCCCATTATTTTCTGCTTTCTCTGTAACACACACAAAGGCACCAAGCCACACAAAATGCAAAAGAAAACCCTCATTTAAAAAAACAAAACATGAAATCACCTATTTTAATCACGTGCTTCTTAAATGGTGCTTTTCGTGGTTGTTATTTTTTAAGAGGGATATTTTGTTTTTTCAGGAAGAGTAGGGGAGACAATGTGCACAGTAAAATATCCCAATTGATACATTTTTCTGGTCTTGAGAAATTCCTTGTCCTTTTCTATTACAATGGAGAATGTTCATTTCAATGTTCTCCACTTATAAGTTCCGGAGAGCAGCAGTCCTTCTTTGTGCCTTCCACAAAGACCTGCTATAGGCTCCGCACAGAGAAAACACAATAGAGATTCACGGAACATGGTGACAAAGGAAGATAAAGACCAGGAATGGTACTGTTGGAACTGACAACACATTCCCTACTCCTGAGATATTACATTTTATCTATTTCAGACATATAGGTTTCGGTTGGTTATCTACCCAAATTTATAGGGACTTTCAGTAAAAGATTTCCACATACTCCCCCCATAGGACAACGAAGAGTTTATCGACTCTCATTATTGGCTACTTCTCCATTATTTGCAATCTGATCACTATGCTTCAAGTTAAATGGGGCTCCCTGCTGGGCACAGTGGCTCACGCCTGTAATCCTAGCATTTTGGGAAGCCAAGGCAAGAGGACCACCTGACGCCAGGAGTTCAAGACCAGCTTGAACAATGTGGCAAAAACTCATCTCCACAAAAAATTTAAAAATTAGCTGGGCATGGTGGTGCACACACACCTGTAGTCCCAGCTATACAGGAGGCTGAGGCAGAAGATGGCTTAAGCCTGGGAGGTCGAGGAGGCTGCAATGAGCCATGATCATGTCAGTGCCCTCTAACCTGGGCAACAAAGCAAGACCCTCTCTCAATCAATCAATCAATGGGACGCCTCTTTCTCAGTCACCAGAGAGACCACAGAACAGTCAACTGTCAAATCCTACATAATATATCTCCTCATGGACTCCGTTTACTTGTCTCTCTCTACTGCAACGACCACTGTTTCTCTACCACTCCTGATTTCTAATTTCTTAACCATCTTCACTGCCTTATATCATCATGCCCTAGGATACCCTTACTTCTTTCTAGCCACTCAATTTCATGCCAAGATGATCAACTGCCAGTCTTCAACTGATATGGAAAAGTCAGGGTTGGGCTACACACAAACACACTGCTGCTCTATGGCCCCATAGAATGAATTTTATTACTTGGAAACTTAGTGATCACTCCCTGACCCAGCTGTATCTCTTTCAGCCTCTCATTAATTTTCTCAAGACCCCTTTTCATCTCTTATCCAGACCACTTTTCTCTTCTCCTGCCAGATGACCTATGACTAAAGGTCATAGAAACCTAGAGTTGTTTGAAATTTTGGGCACTGCGTACGAAAATAATACCAAAATGTCACAGATCCTATAACCCTTCACTGGAAAGTACAGCAAGGTTGTCCATGAATTACATTCTGCTCACCTCTACTGCATGTTGATATTGTGACAGGTATTGCTCAGGCAGATTACTTCCATGTGTGGGCATAGAGTTACCAGCTTCATAATGTTTTAGCCTCTTCTGAATTGAAAAAACAACAGTATTGTATGTCTACTTTCTCAGCTTCTAACAATGCCTGAATGTAAAGGGAGTAAAGGGGTTTGAGGCAAGATGAATATATGATTAGACACGTAAAATATACAAGGCATCTTGTTCTTCCAATGTAGTAACTAGACAATGCTAAGCACTGCATCAAGAGGACAGTTTTGCACGACTCTAGGATCTAAAAATATTGACACTTTTTACATCACTACTCCTCTTGTTATCGACTTTGTGAATAATCTAGAAAAGTTACCCAAGAAGTTCCAGAAAAGCTGCTTCTAATAGAGAGAGACAATGAGAACCCAACTAAGAATTCAAAATAAAAAGAACAGACTGAGCAGACGTTACCAAAACAAATGGAGCAAAACATATTAAAGTCACTGGTGGGTGAAAATTCTTAGCAAGTAAAAGAAGAAAAAGAAAATGAGGCAGTAAATCCATCTTTAGCATTTCTACCTTCCTCATTTTAAATGACAAAACAGAAATACAACTTCTGAGTGATACAGACCTCAACTTTCTGCCTTCACTTTGCCAAACCATGCCTATTTGATTCCTAAGAGTTCAAGGATAACTTTAATTGAGGTGACACTTCTGAGTCACAGGGCATTCGTAAAATGGCTTGAGGATGGCCTTTTGATAAAGAAGTGTCTTTTAGAGGCAATTCCAGCACACTTTTATTTTGTGAATTGCTCATTTTATAGCCCGGGTTTAGAGAGAGAGAAAAATATCTATTAGAGGTGTAAGTATAGCTTATTGTGATGTTTCCATTTGTTTCTAGAGCATTTATGGCTATACATTTATTTGGGATCTAGCCTCCAACATTAAGAGCCTGAGCTGGGAATAAGGCTGTCATCCTGTAGCTTTTAAATGGCCTCCAATGCCACAGAGAAGTACAAAACAGGCTGCTGACTGACTGATCTCTGTGATCTAAATGCTTTAAGTGTAAGAAAAGACACACCACCATGCAGTCAAAGTAAGCTGGATAGCTTCTTTTAAAGTTGCCAGTTTTTACATAGCATTAAACTCATTCCATCCCACTGAAAGCCAGTTGGCTAGAATATCATTTTACAACTAGTGAGAATATCAGAGAGAAAAAGACAGCTACGTACAAAGACATGATAGTTTTAATGGCCAAATTTTTAAAACTGGATTTCAGGAACCAAATGCATCTGCATACTTCAGGATATAAATATTATGAAAACAATTATTAATACAAGTAAAGAACAAAAGAGGGTCACAATTAAATACTTAGACTTTAGTACACTCCACTAAAGGCTACCAACTGAATCATTAAATAAACGATTCAGCAAATAATTTGTAAAAAAAAAAAAAAGGACTTTCATTTTCTACCCCTAAGGAATTCCAGAGTAGAAGGTGAAGAGGAAAAAAAAAATCAATCACAAAACTAGCTTTATCCACTACGTAAGATGAATAAGATACCATCGCTTAGAATTATTAATAACAGTTGCACAAAAGATAAATTCATCTTTTTTCGAGAGAACTGTTTTAAATCTACTCTCCAACAAACCTTTGACTATAGATTCAGGTAAGCGGATGGGGCAACATGAAAAGCCAGTCCTGGTCACCATTAAACCTCTGAAACCAAGTAACTACCTGGGCACTCCACTCATTTTTTTCTTTGGGGCTATGGGAACAGTGGGGCTGTGTTCTTCCTTTAAGCGATTTGTAGTCTCTTCAGATTACATGACTGATCAGCTAGTTAATGGTGATTCTAAGACTATTTCCCAACTCATCATTTCAAGATGAGAATAATAATAATTTCCTTCCCCCTCAGTGACAGGCAACATGAACACCAACTCTAATTGCAATGAGATACCACTTCACACCCATTAGGATGGCTACAAGAAGAAAAAAAAGCAAACAGAAAATAACAAGTGAGGACATGGAGAAATTGGAACTCTCATGCATTGCTGAGACTTCCACCGAGTGAAACAATGCAGCCACTGTAGAAAACAGTAGGGCAGTTCCCCCAAAAATTTAAATCGGAGTTGCCCTATGATCCAGCAATTCTACTTCTGGAGATATATCTAAAAAATTGAAAGCAAGGACTCAAACAAGTATTGGTATGCCAATGTACATTGTAGCATTATTCACAACAGCCAAAAGATAGAAAAAACCCAAATGTCCATCAACAGATGAATAGATAAACAAAATGCATTATATCCATAGAATGAAATAATACTCAGCCTTAAAAACGAAAGAAATTCTGATATGTGCCACAACATGAAGGAACTTTGAAGACATCATGGTAAGTGAAATAAGTCAGTCATAAGAGGACAATAAATATCCCCACGAATCCACATATGTGAAGTACCTAGTCAAATTCATAGAGACAGAAAGTAGAACAGTAGCTGCCGGGGTCAGGGGTAGGAGGCATGGGAGGTTATTGTTTAATGGGTATGGAGTTTCATTTTTGCAAGATGAAAAAGTTCTGGAGATGGATAGTGATGACGGTTGCACAAATATATGAATGTACTTAATATCACTGAACTACACACTTAAAAATGGTTAAGGTGGCTAGGCACAGTGGCTCATGCCTGTAATCCCAGCACTTTGGAAGGCTGAGGTGAGAGAATTCTTTGAGGCTAGGAGTTCAAAACCTGTCTGGGGGCAACATAGTAAGACCCTGTCTCTACAAAAGGAATAAAAAAAGTCAGCTAGGCATGGTGGCTCATGTCTGCACTCCCAGCTACTTGGGAGGCTGAGGCAGGAGGATCACTTGAGCCCAGGAGGTCAAGACTGCAGTGAGCTGTGATCACACCACTGCACTCCAGCCTGGGTGACAGAGTGAGACTCTGTCTCAAAAAACAAAGCAAAGCATAAAATGGCAAAGGCAGTAAAATTTATGATGTTAAATATATTTTACAACAATAAAAAACCAATTCCACATATCTGCAAGAGTGCATATAACTTTTATGGTGATTTCCACCAGGAAGTAAAGTTAAGTGTATAGGATTCAGAAAGTCTTACTTTTGTTCTGTTGGGATTTTTTTTTTTTTTTTTTTTTTTTTTTACCGTATACTTGAATTATTTTCATTAAAAACAAAACTAGCCAGAATTAAGTCGACCTTTAACCTAGAAATTCCTCTTTTAAAAATTCAGCCTAAGGAAATAATCAGGGAAGAAACAACGATGGATTTACAAGAATGTTGTTTGTAATGTTAAAAATGGGGGAGCAACTTAAATAGTTATCCTTGGGAGATTGTTTCAACAAATGGTGCTGCATCTCTACAACGGACAGAGACCCTAGGGATATCATGAGGCTATCTGACAGAAGAAGGGGTCCCATAGTACATTAAGTTTTTAAAAACAGGCAACATTTGATATAACTTCATCATTTAATGAAGAGTGATGTGTGTACTGCATGCATATTCAGGCTCAAAAAAAAGTCTGGAAGAGGCTGGGTGCGGTGGCTCATGCCTGTAATCCCAGCACTTTGGGAGGCCAAGGCGGGTGGATCAACTGAGGTCAGGAGTTCGAGACCAGCCTGGCCAACATGGTGAAATCCCATCCCTACTAAAAATACAAAAATTAGCCAGGTGTGGTGGCGGGCGCCTATAGTCCCAGCTACTCAGGAGGCTGAGGCAGGAGAATCGAGGGAAATCATGAGGCTACCTGATAGAAAAAGGGGTCTCATAGAAAGTTTTTAAAAACAGGCAACATTTGATATGACTTCATTATTTAGTGAAGAGTGATGTGTGTACTGCATGCATATTCAGGCTCAAAAAAAAGTCTGGAAGAGGTCAGGTGTGGTGGCTTATGCCTGTAATCCCAGCACTTTGGGAGGCCAAGGTAGGTGGATCATCTGAGGTCACGAGTTTGAGACCAGCCTGGCCAACATGGTGAAACCCCATCCCTACTAAAAATACAAAAATTAGCCGGGCATGGTGGTGGGCGCCTGTAGTCCCAGCTACTCAGGAGGCTGAGGCAGGAGAATCGCTTGAACCTGGGAGGCAGAGGTTGCAGTGAGCCAAGATTACGTCACTGCACTCCAGCCAGCCTGGGCGACAGGGTGAGACTGTGTCTCAAAAAAAAAAAAAAAAAAAAGTCTGGAAGGATACATATAAAATGTTAACTATGGTTGTTCCTGAATGATAGGATTGAGGGTAATATATATATATATATATATATATATATATATATATATATTTTTTGAGACAGGCTGTCACTCTGTCACCCAGGCTGGAGTGCAGTGACACGATCTCAGCTCACTGCAGCCTCAACCTCCCGGGCTCAGGCGATCCTCCCACCTCAGCCTCCCGAGTAGCTGGGGACTACAGGTGTGCATGCCACCACACCCAGCTAATTTTTGTATTTTTCGTAGAGTTGGGGTTTTGCCATGTTGCCGAGGCTAGTCTCAAACTCCTGACCTCAAGTGATCCAACTGCCTCAGCCTCCCAAAGTGCTGGGATTACAAGCATTAGCCACTGCACTCAGCTGAGGATGATTTCTATTTATTTCTTTGTATTCTTCAACTTTGAATAATAATAATAATAATAATTATTATTATTATTACAAAGAGCTCTTGTAATGAGAGAAGTAACAGAGCTACCTCCATTTTGAGAAACAAACAAGCAAAGGGTTCAGGGAGCACTTACCAGTGCAACAAGTAGCTCAGACATCACAGGACCAAGGCAAAACCTGTCAGGCCCCCCAGGGGCTACCATTCCTCTCCCATCTCCAGGCCCTAGCTGCTGAGACTTTCCCACGTTTTTCACACCTTACAATCAATCATGCTTTCACTCATTTCCCCAAGGAAGAAGATTCACCATCTTTATTTTGCATATAAATACCTCATTCAGATTTCTACTCATCAGAACTCAGAACAAAGACATCCAGCATAAGATCAGCAAACATAAGCTATCTTTCCCTAGGAAAATCCTCTCAAGCCATTGCCGATGAATATATTTTTATCCTAGCCAACCCCTAACGGCACTCTCCTCATATATCTGCCTCTGTCCTCCTTTCTAGGCAAGCAACAGATGCCATTTAAAAACCTTTCAAGAAGTTCCCCTACTCTTAAAATGATATGTTAAAACAATGTGTTTCCTTTTGGCCACGCTATTTTTTTTTTTTTGTAATTTTGAAAATAGTATAAGTTAAAGCCAACAGAAAAAGACATAAAGGGACATATTTTACAGACCTCATCAATTCTCCCCTTAAAATTTTTTTTTCAATGAGAGACAGGGATATGGAAGACATATGACACACTGTAAGCCTTACTTATCCTGTGGTTTATTTAGGGAATTTTGTGTTTGGAAAATGACAGACTTCTGCTTTTAGGTAGACAAATATGAACAACTCACAGAGAAAAACAAGACCACTTATTTCTAGCAAACTTTTATAAAATCAAAATAATTTAGTGTCTTAATTTTTCTCCATACATGAGTACATACCTATAAATGCCCCGCACTACAAAACTAGCCAAATATCTTTACCCCATCATAAAAAAAGCAGTTCAATAGCACCCAGAAGTCACTACTCACAGCTGCTCCACTCACAAAGAAAACTCCAAATGTCGGTGACCCTCAAGAGTGAAACGCCCCACAGCTGGCTTGCTCTGCATGGACATACCCTTCTCTCTAAGCTAACCTGAAAAGCAAGCTGGATTTGTTTACTGCACAAACATCTGTAATTGCTAAACATCTCTGTGACATGGTGTAACAGTTACCGCTTGTGCAAACTGCCCATCTAAATTTCTCTCTGCAATATGAGCACATGAAAACCCAAGACACAGAGAGATTGGAAACATCTGTAAAAATTAATGGCCAAATTGACCAAAGTGGGAGGGATTAAAACGGCTAAATAGCTCCAGAGTGACATTCAGCTTTAGCAAATAATCCGTATACTTGATAGGTTCCTCCTCAGCTTATCCATAGCTCCCCTCTGTGGGATCCTAGCTGGCACACACATTGTTTCAACCCACTAATGCAAACCCATTACCCAGTCTTGCTACAAAATGTTATATACAGATAAGATACAGGTTAACTGGATTTATTACAACTCTAAAAGCAAAAAAAAAAAAAAAGAAATACCTCTTCTCCCATGATGCAGCCAGCCTCCTCTCTTCAGTTTGAAAAGGTCCCAGAACTCCCCTGGAATCCTCCCACTTCCTTCCAACAGCACGGAGCCTGAGGACCCAGCCTAACCCTGAGTCATACTTGGGACCAAATGAGGAATGGGGAGAACAAAGCTCGCATTTGTTTATGGTTCAGGAAGCCAGGGCCAATTCATGGCTTGGGTGGCTTCGAGAGAAGTCCTCCTCCCTCGCCTATGTTGCTGCTGCAATCTGGGCTCCCTCCTGGGGCCCCCAGGTGTGACCATTCGGACAAGGAACACACTGAGGGAGTGTTTATTTGGCAAGACCTAGTGATCACGTCTGTTTAAAAATGCCAGAGAAGAAATAAAAAGCCCACTATCTTTCAACAGATCACATGGCTAGAGAGTGAGGGATATCTAGAATATAGTCTGTATATGACATATCAATCATGAACATGCCTGTATTTTAAATGCAATTAGTTGCACTACACAAAAATTACTCATAAACACACACACACACACACACACACATACACACACACACACACAGAAGAAGGAAAAACAGCCGTGGCTTTATGGAAATACTCCCCCTAGGAAAAATACAGCAACATTGCTGCCATGTCATCAGGAGCATCCTAACAGGTTGAAATGAAATATTTAAATCACAATTTTGTTCTTTCCCCCAAAAGAGATACCATTTTAATCACCACTTCAATGAATCTAGAGCGCAGTGGTTAAGTGTTCAAAACTCTGGAGCCGGAGTGTTTGAGATCAAAATCCCAGTTGAGCTACTTCCTGGCTTTGTGATCCTGAACAACTTATTCAACCTTTGTTCATCTCAGTTTCCTTATCTATAAAATGGGGATAATGGCACCAACCTACAGGGCTGTCTGGAAAATTAAATAATATATGTAAAGTACTTACAAAAGTGCTTGGCACACAGTAAATATCATATTAGCCACAATTACAAGTTCAGGACAATTTCACAAATCAGGATGCCAAGTAAACAGTATCCTTATCTTACCACATTTCTCATATGCTTAGACTTTGATGACCTGTTTCAGTTAACTATGGTTAATATTTAAATTTTTAATTAAACTAATTTAAAAACCATTTGCTTACTATTTATTAACTGCCTGCACTGTATCTAACTCTGTAAGGGGCTTTAAATAAGATGCTGTCCCAGTCCTCAAGAAATTTACAATCTCCTTGGGTAAATAAGACATAAATCTGTTTACTTATCACACACACACACAAATGTAGGTGATGTCACTAGGTAGTAAATGACAAATATAATACAAGTGCTACAGAATTAGCATTTGGAATTCAGAGAACAGATAAAAAAAATTCCCTTATCAAAACCCAACTAGGACGGAGGAGAATAAACAAATCTCCTGTGTAGAAGGATTCCAAATCATTTCTTTAGATACTCCTCCCTCAAGGAGGTAGAATGAAACTCCCCACTCTTTAAGTGGGAGGGGCACAGAGTACCCTTTTTCCAAAGAGTCAAGTATGGAAAGAGGGAAAAAACCAGAACTTTCGAGCGGAGAAACCTGACTAACACCTACGTCAGCCAAGGTGACTAAGGTTAACATCTATAGCGATAAGTATGGAATTAATATGATGTAATGAGAGCACTTCACCTCTGTGGCCTTCCTCCCAAAAACCCACGACTCCAATCTACTCATGAGAATAACTTCAGACAAATGCTTATTTAAGGACATTCTACAAAACTGAAAATTGCCATGGTCATCAAAAATAAAGAAAGTCTGGGAAACTGTTAAAGCCTAACAAGATGAGAAAACTAAATGTGGTATTCTGGATGGGATCCTGCAACAGAAAAAGGACACTGGATAAAAACTGAGGACATCTGAATAAAGCATGGATGTTAGTCAATAATGATAATATGGGCCAGGCATGGTGGCTCACGCCTGTAATCCTAGCACTTTGGGAGGCCAAGGTGTGCGGATTACTTGAGGTCAGGAGTTCAAGACCAGCCTGGCCAACATGGTGAAACCTCGTCTCTACTAAAAATACAAAAATTAGCCAGGCCTGGTGGCAGGTGCCTGTAATCCCAGCTACTCAGGAGGCTGAGGCAGAAGAATTGCTTGAATCGGGTGGGGGTGGGGGGCGGAGGTTGCAGTGAGCCGAGATGGCGCCACTGCACTCCAGCCTGGGCAACAGAGCAAGATTCTGTCTCAAAAAAAAAAAAAAAAAAAAAGATAATATGAAACGTACCACGTTAATGCAAGACGTTAACAAGAGAGGAAGCCGGGTGTGAGGTATGTGGGAACTCTATTATCTTCACAACTTTTCCATAAATCTAAAACTACTCTAAAATTAAAAGTTGATTAAAAAACTAATTAGAAAGATAAACCTGCTGAATGCAAAGGTATATATAAATAAACACATATCTGTGATTTATAGCTATACATGTTTATGCCCATGTGTATATCTATGTAAATCTATTTAACAAGGCCCTCTCAACTTCAAATTTAAAAATTGTCTCTATCTTCTTAGCCTATCTATTAATGAAGATAGTAGAATGCTGACTCCTGGCTTTTTCATTCCCAAAATACACAAAAGAATTTTCTTTGAAAGGAAACTTGGCTCTTTTGTCAGTGTTGCTGCCAACCCAGGCAACGGCGATCCAGCTTAAAGAGTGTGCATGAGGTGGGCCCATCTGCCCCTTTCCAAGAGCTACTAGAAGTTCCTGGTGCCTGGCCAATTAGTCATCGACCATGGAGCCCCGGGGCTGGCAAGTCTCCCAGCTACTTCCTCTCCCATCTCCAGTCCACATTCCTCAGCACCTCCCCAGTTATCTCTCTAAAGTATAAATCTGATCATGCTGCTGCCCAACTGAACTCCTTCACCAACTTGCCCACCCACCCAGAAGAAGGGCAGCTTGTGAGTGGGCTGGCAGAGCCCTGCAGGAAGAGGCACCACCTCCCCTTCAGCTGCCCACTTCCTCCACTACCACCACCACAGCCCCTGCACCCCAGCCCAACCCACCTCTTCCTTCAACATACTCATGCTCACTCCTTGTCCACATGCACACTGCTAGTACCATGAATTCCCAACGTCTTTTAACACCTTGCTCAAATACCACATTCCTTAAAAAGAGACCAAGGATATCCCATCCCTTCCTTCTTGACCTGGAGGAAAGTTAGTAGTTTCTTCCTTTCTATTCTCATTGATGCTTTGGACATGCGTCTGCTAGTCTTTCCCCTTACATTATAATGACTTTTATACATACCCCCTTTCTCTCCAATGTAGGGACAATCCAAAGCATTAAATGAGAAACCTGTATATGACAGCTGATCCAAGGTGTGACTTAGGGTAGGAGGTGTTAACTCCATTCCGATGAACCACACCAGATCTGCTCCACCCCAAATAAATAACCTGTCAGGTTAAAAAAAAACCGCACTTACTATGCAAATACAACATCTAGACATGCCATTTAGCCAATCCCTTTCCAAATGGATTGCCACCCCTTTGTTCATTTACATACAAATCCCAGAGATACCACTGCTAATCCATAAAAGGCATTCAATAAAGCTTCACACTGCTGATCCATAAAAGGCATTCAATAAAGCTTCAGTGAATGAATGAATGAGTGAATTAATGAACAAATGGAAGAGTGAATCTTAGCTAGACCACAAGCAGATCCCAACCAGAATTGGATTAGCACAAAACAGTATCTTCATTCATCCAGTCCACAAATATTTACTGAGGGCCAACTATCATTTGACAACTATTTTCATAAACTGTAAATGGTGACTAACACAGACAAGGTCCCAAATTATGGCACTTACTTTCTAGTGGCTGACATTTAAGACTTGGTGATATGAAACAAACAGCTAACACAGATATAGCAAAATTCAATTGTACTTCTTGCAGTTTGAAATTTGCCATAATAAAAAATTAAAGAGGCCAGGCATGGTGGCTCATGCCTGTAATCCCAGCACTTTGGAAGGCTGAGGGAGGTGGATCACCGGAGGTCAGGAGTTCAAGACCAGCCTGGCCAACATGGTGAAACCCCGTCTCTACTAAAAATACAAAAATCAGCCGGGCGTGGTGGCCCACACCTATAATCCCAGCTACTCGGGAGGCTGAGGCAGAAGAATTGCTTGAACCCGGGAGGCAGAGGTTGCAGTGAGCCAAGATCATGCCACTGCACTCCAGCCTGGGTGACAGAGCAAGACCCTGCCTCAAATAAATAAATAAATAAATAAATAAATAAATAGAAATAACCCTGGAAAATGTACTGTCATTTATAGGTACTCTTTCTACTCTAATAACAATAAGGACAACAATAATAATAACTAACGTTAATCAAGTGATTACTATGTGCCAGGCACTTCTCTAACCATTACATGTTACTTAATCCTCACAACAACCCTCTGGGGTAGATTCTCTTGTTACTCTAATTTTACAGATGAGGAATCAAAAGCACTGAGTGGTTAAGTAACTTGTCCCAGGAAGAGGCAGAGTTGAAGTCTGAACCTGGGCTATCTGTCCTCCATGTTTAATAACCACTATACTTTTTTTTTTTTTTTTCCAGAGTCTCGCTCTGTCGCCCAGGCTGGAGTACAGTGGCGCAATCTCAGCTCATTGCAACCTCCACCTCCCGGGTTCAAGCGATTCTCCTGCCTCAGGCTTCCAAGTAGCTGGGACTACAGGCGCATGCTACCATGCCCAGCTAATTTTTTGAATTTTTAGTAGAGACTGGGTTTCACAGTGTTAGCCAGGATGGTCTCCATTTCCTGAACTCATGATCCACCTGCCTTGGCTGGGATTATAGGCGTGAGCCACCACACCCGGCCAACCACTATACTCTTAACACAATTTGAAAACCTTCTGGGAATATGATTCTTGGTGACAATCTGGCTGCAACTAAATATTTCTTAGAAAATACGCTAGGCTGAGTGTTTTAGAAAGTTCACATCAAACATATATAAAACAGAAAGCAGCACCCAACATGACAAAGAATAATCCTGTAATACTGGTTCACTGTTTCTGTTTCCCTTTCCCTACCAACTCCCCTCCTCCTTCCTTACTTTTTCCAGATCAGGAAACAAAACTGAGACACTCTGAGGAGAGAGAAGCCAAAGTCTGAAAATCCCAAACACTTCATTCAACCCAGGCAACCAGTGGGCATCTTAATACCATCTGCTCATTAAAAACCACAGGTTTTCCAACAACTCAAGAGACACAATCTTATTTTTCAACCAAAACGAGGGACAGCCAATACTCTAGGTCTCAGATAATCACAACAAGGTTTTGACCCTTGTGTTTAATTAGTCAAAGAGTATATATCTCATTAGCTTCTGGAGTTCTCTAGAGCTTATTTCTAGTCTTCAAAGGATTAGGACATAGATCTCTCATTTTTAAGGAACTAAGATCATCACCTTATTGACATGTTTTAATTTTATATGATTATGCAGCTTAATAAATTTTTACTAGAATGGATAAAAAGACTACCTGGGTGGGGGCTGGGTGGGAGGCGGGGATGGTTAATGCGTACATAAAAAATAGAAAGAATGAATAAGACCTACTGTTTGGTAGCACAACAGGATTACTATAGTCAATAATAATTGCACATTTTAAAATAACTTAAAGAGTATAATTTTATTGTTTATAACTCAACGGATAAATGCTTGAGGGGATGGATACCCCATTCTCCATGATGTGCTTATTTCACAGTGCATGCCTGTATCAAAACATCTCATGTGCCACATAAATACACCTATTATGTACCCACAAAAATTAAATACAAAAAAAAAGACTACCTGAGATACGTATGAAAATACTTAAATTCTCTTACTGTAATTTGGCTAATTAAAAACTTGATTAGTCACTCTCATTTATACACAATTTTAATTCTAATTATCTGTCCCAAGTAAAAGCTACAATGTGGATACCATAAAGGCATTAATTTGGGTGACTATAATTCTATAAATGAGATTCAAGATGACAAGAGTTGAAAAAGAGGCTGTTACAAACACAACGCCTTGTAGAAAGTGTAGACAGAATTCAAGAGAGAGATGTCAGAAGTCACTAACGGAAATCAGCTAAGACAGGAAGACCATGGGAAAGAAGCTTCTTGAAAGATTTCTCCGCAGGGAATCCAGTAAACAACCAACCTGGCAAACCATTCAGTTTAGAAATCTTTCCAGTAAGGCAAAAAAGACTACTTTTTCCAATAATTAAGTGGGCCAAGACTGGTAGTGCCTAAAGAGCTAGGACACGGAATGAGCTGGCACCAAAAACCCAGCATTATTCTATATAAAGCCATGTCAGGTTAGGTCCTGAGACTCACTCGAGTATCTGTAACTTACCTATCCATGTGTAATACCTGACACTCCTTTCCCTAAGTGGTTGGTCAGAAGTGATCATCTAAGTGACTCATAAAAAGGGAAGGAGTTTAGAAACAGAGAGTAGGGCCAGACTGGGGTCACAGGAAAATAGCCTGATGAAGAAATTCCCTCTCAGGTCCACAGGTGGGAGACAGAGGTACCACCTGTATTCATGAGAATACAGTCTCGTCTGGGCTTGCCTTCTTGCTCAGAGTCTTCCAGCCCAATCTCTAGGCTGATGACTCTGAAACCTACATTTACAGTTCTCTCCCAATCACCAGACTTATGTATCCATCTGCCTGCTGGATGTCTCTACTTGATACAGTCCCACAAGAACTTCCAAATCCAGCTAGTCTAACCCATGTCCTTCCTCCCCAAATATCTTCTCTCTCCACTGTTTTCTAATCAGAAAATAGTACTCAGCTGCTTAAGCCAGTTGCCGAAGGCACAATCTTCAAGTCCTCCCTCTTCTTTATCCCCCACATACTATCAAACTTGATTCTATCTTCAAAATATTTCCCCAAACCATCCATTTCTCTCCATGACAATAGTTCAAGCTGTTAATACATCCCTTACCTTGATGTCCCCTTCTATGTAAAGAAATTCAAATGGACACTCTCTGGACACAATTAGACACTCCTGCCGTTCTCTTCCCCTTTATGTTTCCTTCCCTGGGAGAGTGAAATTACTTATCTGATAGGTGAATTTAAGAAAAATATACTGGGCGTGCTCAGCTTAGCTCTTCTCTTTCCTCCTCTTGGAAGTCAGCCTTCTCTGCTGTTCCTCAAGGGGCAGGTCTTTCTATCTCACATTGGCCTGAGTTAGTCCAATGTTGCTGAGATTGTGTGGGCAAATCTGTCTAATTCTGGGAATCAGCTGGCAGGCCCATTTGCCTCTCACACTAATCTATACCTTCCAACTTTGCCTTCATCAGTAATGACACTGAAATAAAACGTATGCACAGAGAGATCACAAATCATAAGTGTTCAGCTTGAGAACATTTCACAAAATAAAACATAATCTATACAAATAGAGGGATATACCATGTTCATGAATTAGAAAGGTACCAATTGTCATCAAAAGTGTCTATAGATTCAATGCAATCTCAATCAAAATTCCAGGAGGTTTTTTTTTTTTTTTATGATGATGGGGGATTGACAAACTGATTCTAAAATTTAAATTAAAATGCAAAGGGCCAAGAACAGCTTAGGTAATCTTGAAGAGGAATACATAGGCAGCATAGAATGGGCACAAGGAAAAAAAGACCAACAGAACAGAGTCCAGAAATAGGCCCACTTATATATAGCCACTTAGGTTATGACTAAGGTGATAGGGCTGTGCAGTGTAGAAAGGATAATCTTTTCAATAAACAGTGCTGGGTCAACTGGATATCTATAATGAAAAAAAAATCAGCAAAATATTTTGATTATCCATTCACTCACTCATCTAATTAATTAACTGGTTTAGAACCTAGATTTGGAGTGGGGGGCTATTTATCAGGAAAGCCAGTATGTTTCTGTTACCTCTCTTCTGAATTTTACTCACCCTGTCTTCTGTAATCCACTCCCCACACTGCAGTTGGAATACTTTCGCTAAACCACCTATCTGATCGTGTCACTCTCTTGCTTAAAACACTTTGATAGTTTCCCATTGCTCTCAAGATCAAGTCCAACTCCCTAACGAGTCTCACAAGACTCTTCATGATCTGGGCCCTGCTTCTTTCCCCGCTTCCTGCTGGAGCCTCTACACATCATCTGTGCTATCTCTTTCCCTCTTCAGGGCATTTATAGATATTGCTCTCCCTACCTTAATAACTCTACGCCTACTGGACCCATGGTTTTCAGCCTAAACATCACTTCCTGTAGGAAGCTGGTACACACACACATGAACGGACACACACCTTCCAGCCTCCCTAACAACTTACCACTTCCTGCCATGCCTGAGGGCTCCTACAGCACAACACTGTGTTCTCAGCCTGATTATGGCATTTCCTATACTCTATTATTATTGTTTATTTACTTTTCTGTAGCTCCCTGAGGGCAGTGACCTGGTCTCCCTCACGACTGTATCCTCAGTACTGAGCATATTTAGTGAGCACTCAATACATGCTAGTTGAAATGAGTCATATTTAGAAAGTATTTTCAGGTATATATTTTTTAAGTCCTGTGAGGTAAGATAGGTAAAAAAAAGTATTCCCATTTTACAGATGGCCCAGCTGAGGCCAACTTCATCGAGGTCAATCAGCTAGGATGAAGGTACTATGGCCCTATGATTTTCTAAGGTGTAACCTGGTTCATCTATAGCCATATAGCATTTTCCATTATTTTGATACAGCACATACTTACATCTGAGCTTGGTTTAAATGGTACATGTTTCTCCAAGGTTCTTCCCCACCCCCCTTTAACCTTTTATCAAGGGAAATTTCCAACATACACAAAAATAGAGTGTGATGAACCCCCATGTATACACCATCCAGTTTCAACAAATACCAACTCATGATCAATGTCTCCTCTATGCCCCACTCTTTCATCTTCTGGACTATAGGAAGCAAGTCCCAGACATTAAATCAACTCAGCTGTAAATATTTCAGTTAAATGGTACATTCAGCAAATCATTCGGAGACATATCCACTTGGTGGTATTTAAAAGATTCATAAACGGAATCCTTCCTTATAGCCTGATAAGAGAAACAAGAATACCTACATGAACTATTTATCTATTCACAGTTGGTGGAGGGATGTTATACAATATCTCTCCTGGTGTATAATCTAATCATTAACTCTGGGTAGGGTAATATAGATTAAAATATAAGATAAGCACAAGATTATCTACTGACTCAGACAAGTGGATCTTAATATTTCACAAACTTGGCCAGGTATGGTGGCTCAAACCTGTAATCCCAGCACTTTGGGAGGCCAAGGTGGGCGGATCACTTGAGGTCAGGAGTTCAAGACCAGCCTGGTCAACGTGGTGAAACCCCGTCTCTACTAAAAATACAAAAAAAAATTAAGCTGGGTGTGGTGGTGTGCACCTGTAATCCCAGCTACTTAGGAGACTGAGGCATGAGAATCACTTGAACCTGGGAGGCAGAGGTTGCTGTGAGCCAAGATTGTGCCACTGCACTCCAGCCTAGGCAACAGAGCAAGACTCTTGTTTCAAAAAAAAAAAAAAAAAAAAAACTTCACAAACCTGAACGAAAAGTATAATATGATGCTCACAGCTGTTAATAATGGTCAGATTCCCTTTTTCCCTCATCCAAGTTATCAAGCCAGACATTTCAGAAGGCCAACTGTCGCAGCCTGAGCAGACCTACTTGAGCCTCACCTACTGAATGCTATCACGCAAGATCCAATTTACACTTCTAAAAATGAAAACAGTGAGCTCAATTCTCAAAGGAAGCTTTCTTCCTTAGACATAAATCTTAGACACATAACCATCTCAAAAGTGATGAAAACCAGGTTGTATGCTAATAAAACAGAATCACACTTATCGGCTTTTGTGCCAGGTTGTACAATAACATGATAGATCCATAAATCTATGCAACTATCCATGGCGCCAACAACATGGGGTGGAGATAGTTTCAAATCCTCTTAGATGTTGTAAAAATTGTCCACACCCAGAAAGCAGGCTAGGAAGTTTATGTTTTCCCCAGAGGCTCCACATGAGAAATGGGTTTAGGGAGCTTCCAGCACATGGTTTCATTCTGCAGACAAATCAGGAATCAAGATGCATACACGAATGCGTACACACACACAAATGTCAAATATCCCTATCTGAAATGCTTGGGACCAGAAGTGTTTTGGATTTCAGATTTTTTTTTTTCTTTTTGCATTGTGGAGTATCAGCAGAATGCATCCAGGTTGAGCATCCCTAATCCAAAAATCCGAAATCCAAAATGCTCCGATGAACATTTACTTTGAGAATCATATTGGTGCCCAATAAGTTTCGATTTTGTAGCATTTTGGATTTTGGATTAGGGATGTTCAACGCACTTGCGCACACACATATATGTGTCTGATGAAGTTAACACTTCATGGCACCAATATCAATGCAATAAATGAACTATCTGCTTCACAGAGGTGCAGTGAACTATACAATTGATATATTTTCAACTACACAAGTGCTATATTATCTCACCCAATACTCTCATTCTAGAGATGTCTGTAATCTCTAAAGTGCAGCATTTATATTTTAATATTATTCATTCAACAATATTTATTGAGCACCTACAATGTGCCATGCACTGTTCTAAGCACATAGAATAGATTAGCAAACAAAATAAGTGACATATATAACAAAAATAAATCTGTTAGAAGATGGTATGTGCCACAGAGAACAAAATATTTAGTACCAGGAAGGGGGATGGGGTGAGGTTTCTGCTAAGATAGCAGGGAGGAAAGGGAGGCAGCCAAGTGGGCAGGTAGATGCAGAGTGGCCCAGGCTGAGGAGACCATTGCAGCAAATGCCCCCTGTAGGAGTGTGCATGGCATGTCTGAGGAAGAGCAAGGACCCAGAACGAAGAAAGTGAAGGGAGAGCAGTGGGGGAGGAAGTCCCAGCAGTAACGAGGGTCGGGTCTCACTTTTTTTCTCAGGAAAGCCTTGGTAGGGGTGTGAGCAGATGAGTAGCATGATGTGACTTGGGTTTTCAAAGGTTCTCCCTGGCTTCGCTCTTAAGACTAAACTCCAGGGGGATGGGGAGAGGCAGAAATCCCTATTAAGGAGCAGTGGAAGTGATGAGACCTAGGTGGATGATGGACATATTTAGGAGGCAGAGCTGAGAGAAAGAGCCAGGGACAACCTGAGGGTTTCTGTCCTGAGCGATAGGAGTGGGAGATGGCGCTGCCTTCAACTGAGATGGGGAAAGCTGTGGGTAGAGCAGTTGGAGGAGGACGATGAGTTCAGGTTTAGGCAAACGGATATGAATTTAAGATCTTCAAGTGGAGATACTGAAGTAAGCAGGCAGTTGGACATACAGCTCTGAGGTTCAGGAAAGAAATGTGCTGAGATAAAAACTTTCAAGTATTATATTTGACATTGACATTGCTATCAACAGTAACTCAATTTATTATTGGCAGCTAAAACTAATATTAATAGCAATAATAAGAGTCATACACACACACACACACACACACACACACACACACACACACACACAGTCCTCCTACACAAAGAAGATAAAGGCCAGGAATCATAAAACAAACAAAAGGAATGAACTGTTTGCTGACTGAGTCAATGGTCGTTTTCACTTCAACCACTTGAATAAAAGAAGAAAAACTGCATCCAGTGTTCCTTTCCAAGATGGGGACTTGCTCTTTTGTAAATGTTCACAGGAATCTGAATGTGACCATATGCAACAGAAGTGAGCTCAAGAGCTGGGACACTAGTTTTCAGATCTTGAAAAATATCATATATTGATTGCTGAAAGGAACAATGCTGACTCAAAGAAACTTCAACATTGAAAAAAAAAGTTTAAATGAAACGGTTTTTAATTTCTAGGTATCTGCCCTTTCTGCCTGACTCATCTCTAGAGGGATTCAGTGTTCGAAAAGTTTCCTTTTCAGATTCTGCTTCTAATGCATGATGACACTGGGCAAGGTTGCTGAGGGCGGGTGGAGGGGTGGATGTCCTACAGCTGCAGAAGATGATGCAACCTTTAAAATGTTATCCCACCAAAAAAAAAAAAAAAGAAAGAAAAAAAAACAACAACACTTAAAAGCCACCCATAAACCTGAATTAGAGAGGTTGCCAATACCCCGTCCCCCAAATCTGCTGGCACAAATGTCAAAGCAAAAATTTCAGCACTAAATCGAATTAACAAACATGCCTTAAGCACAGCACGAGAGTAGCTTATTATAATTTGGAAAATTCCACAGTATTTATCAACTCCTAAGCAAGGCTACAATGCTCAGAAGTATACCACAGTAGACGTCATCGGCAGCCACAAGCGCGAGGGCTCTGGGTGTGTTGCTGTGGTAACCGCGTACTCAGCAGCAACATGCTGCCTGCCTCTCACTAGCCCAGAACCAGAGGCAGAAGGAAACAGCCAGCTTCCTGAAGGGAACAACCCAGGGAGTCACAGCACAGGCCATCTCCATCATTCACACCTGCGGGAGACTTCCTTTCAACAGTCTGAAATTATCTCCAACTAACTCTTAGAGAAAAGGTGCACAATTCCTTCACTCTAGTGCAGAACCACAGTCAGCACACCCAAGCACAAAGCACTAGAGAAATGTACAAGGAGCGGAGAGAGATTGGCCAGTGTCTGAAAAGTGTCAGGGTCATGCACTTAGGCGGGTCCAGGAATGAGGGGTTTTTCTGGGAAGCAGATAGAGAAGTACTGGTCCATTTCCAAAGTCATCCTGAGAAGCATTCCCTAGAGAGATCAGCAAGAAAGAAAGCAGCAAACTAGAGCATGAGCCTTTTGAGGGAAGTCGTTCCCACACAGAGGGAGAGCTAAAAAAGAAGACAGGACAAACAACTAGTACATGAGGACATGGAAACCCTAAAAGAGGAATTGGAAGCCTCCAGCACCAAACCCCACAACGTACTTTTGGATATTCCACATTAAGTTGAAATCAAATAGAAACTGTCGAACATACCTTTTCTACCGGCAGAAAGTCATTTTCTACTTCAATTGACCTTGGTCTTAGTTTGATTGGCTTGTCTTTGAAAATGTCTCCAAAGCCCACTCCCTTAACTTTCTTGGGCTGGATTGCTGCAGTTGCCACTGTCCCGTTGGCACCTTCAGACTTGGTGCTGCTTGAGTCACCCCCATCACTCTCGGAGCCTGTGGTTTCCCTTAAACCTGTCAAGAGTGGGGATGGGGAGAGAAAGAGCTCAGAAATCAGCCAGAGCCCTGAAGAAGAACTTCACAACCAGCCAGGAACCACCTCTAAAAGTGTGACTGGGCACAGGATAACTTGCACTAGGCTTTTGTATTCAGTATGTTGAGTAGTTTGACTGGCTCTGAGTTTTGTTTGATCTCCCCACCCCTTACTTTTAATTTTAAGATGTGAATCAAAACAACTTTTCAGAAAATCTAATTCCAAAGCAGATATCTTTGTACATGTGAAATTCACCCCTCTTTAGCCGGGAGCCTGGTTTTGATCCAAATTTGTTTTCCCATAGCCTGTGCAATAGCAACCCTTCCCACCCACCTTGTTGCCTCCCCACCCAGTCAGTACCACATACTGTACCTCCAATCTCTATGACTCATGTCAATTAGCAATTAGCAATGAAAGTAACATTTCCTAAAGGGAAACTGTAAAGCTAAAAGCCATTTAAACAAATGAGCAATTAAAGAAACCACACAAAATTATAACTGCCAAAGAATTCAATCTTTTTGGATGGCTTCACAAGGAATAAATGCATGCAGACATGTTTCTCTAGGAAAGCATTAAACCAAACTTGACATTAAGACGGTTTCACTAGCAAGACGATCATGTTTGTTAAAGAGGGAAAGGAAGCCGTCCTCCCAGAGGCCAGAATCCCCCAAACCTACAGCCCTTCTTCTCTCCTTTAAACACCAGTGTTTTCCCAAAGCTGAATCCCTTTCCAAAGAAGAACACTGGGGACATGACACTCTTCCTTTGATCTTCTGTGGCATGTGTTTGGAAGTCATAAAATAGTTATTAGCAAGACAACATGGACACTTACCTCCCCAGATTCTTTTTTCCCAAGGCTCTGCCCACAATCATGTTCCTAAAAGGAAGAGCCTATTTGTGTCTAGTTAATTTCTGGGTGTATTCTTCCTTTGATGGTCAGTATATCAATTATGCCATCAAAGGGCAGGATTCAAAGAATATTTTATGGAATACTAAACTCTGTCATTAACCTGTCTCTGAAAGCCTCTAGATGTGTAGAATAGCTCCTGAACATTTACTACATAACTCCTGATCATAACCATGCCCTTGAAATGAAAGTACGCCATCAAATGTTGTTCTCTATTAGCCAATTGTGCATTATCTTCCTACAGGTAAGGTGGCCTCCTAGTCCATAAGAATGATACACCAAATACTTGCTCACATAAAATCTCATAAAATGTGGAAGTCATTCAAATAAGGAAGTCTCAGTGCAGGAAGAAACTGTTAAATGAAAACAGACAAAATATAGAAAGGTCATTATAAACTGCTAACACGTTTCAGAATCAAATCCTTAAAACAATGGTTTTGTTTGTTGTTGTTGTCATTTTCCATAAAATGGTATTTTTAAGCCAAAAGGGTGGGGGAGGAGGAAGGTCCCCAGTGTACATTTTAATTAACTGAAAACCAGCATTTGTGAGCAAAAACACAGGACCGAATGGGGAACAGCCCACAACAAGGGGGTCGGCTGCAATTCACAGGAAGGATTAGAGTGTGTAAACATCAAGAACCCTCCCCCATTAGCTATCCATCTATCCATTTGTGTGTTTATCTGTTCATTGTTTTTGCAAATATCCCTGCTGGAGATATAATTTTGGAGTCTAAATATTGTGTCATTTCCCCCTTAACATGTTCTCATTTTGCCGTATGGATTCTTTCTATGTGATAAATGACTTGTATATTCCTTTCTGGCTTGGAAAGAGCCATTCAAGGGTGAAATAAAGAAACCATTAGTGGAAAGAAACCATCACCACTCCCCTCCCTCAGCACGCTCCCCTCATCACCACCAGAAGGCAGCAGGGCAAACAGATTAGGGCAAGTCTATTTTAGTTTTTCAAAGAGAAGAATTTCAAGGGTTCTTCTATCATTCACCATTAGCTAGAACCATAATATTTTCAGCCACTGCCATCCTCATTTCACTGAGCTTCTGGTTTTTGGGATTTACTGTCTTCTGGGCTCATCTTAATATGTTTATACTAATCACCGTGAGAAATACTCTACGTTACACAGAGAGAGGTTGCACAGTCATTCAACCACACAAGCATGGCCCGGGAAGGAAACACACAGCAGATTTTTCTTCCAGAACTTCTGGCAGGCTGGTTCTATCACTTTTAAGTGTATAAATTAAATATCTAACTATCTGTGTTGGTAAAATAATTCAAAATCTAGTTCCTTCCCTTTAGAGGGAAAGAAAGGTGACTTTTCATTTTCATGTTCATTTAGTGATATATCTTTTAGTGACTCGTGCCCATCATGCACATTATCCCATAAAATGTCCCCATGTCAGGCCCAGAATGCCAGGTTACACTCTTGGGTGGTGCAACCCAGAGTGTGGACTGTGGACGGGGGCTGGTTCATGAAGGGCTCATTACAGGTAGGCAGTGGTGAGAGAACTACAGAAAGTGTGGTGTCTGGGGCGATGCTTTAGTGTTTTAACAGTGTGCACTGGTGTAACTTCCAGACATGTGGCTGGTGGTGGAGTCATCTAAATGACCAGGGCACAGAGCAATCTAGGTGCTGTCAAAACTCCCACGGTGAGGCACAGGCGGCACCCTGCATGTGTAGTGAGGTCATGTGCAGTAGGGCCATGCATCTTCCCATGGTGGAGTGGCAAGGAAAAAAAACTTGACCCCAGTTTGTGAAGCATGGCTCTGGTGTTCATGTTTCAACGTTCTCTCTCATCATATCCATACACGTAGGTATGTATGCATATGTGTATATGCACACAAAGGTGGATGCTTTTCCTTCAAGGTGAAAAAAAAGAACAAAGCCTCCTCAGTTTTGTTTCTGAGAGTCCTTTAACTGTCCAATTTTGTGGAATGTACCCAGTCTTCCAGCATTGATCAGTTGAGATCCATGAGATATTTTTATCTATTTTTAATTTAACACTCACATGGATGGAGCTCACTGTGTGGCAAGAACTGTTCTAAGGGCATCTCATTCATCTCCTTCCCCTCAACTTTTGGCAGCCTTATTTCACAACACAAAAGGCTACACATTGGTCCTGCCAAAAAAAGTCTGCCATGTGGTGATTGGCTGAGTGAGCAAAGCAAAATGCCATTTCTGGCATGGACTTTCATGCCAAATTCTTACTTCTTTGAACCACACAATGACAAAATGGTTTATTGGTTTCCAGTGACCCACTCAGAGAAAGCAATAACCATGAGAGGTTGACATCTCTGCAGGAAGCCATCTTACACCACCCCAGAAGCCCAGAGAAACTGGTACAAATACATATGCCACGACAAATGCTACTGCTCCTTTGTTTGCACGTATGGCTCATGCACGCATATCACATACATGATAGAGGCAGAAAGCAAACAAAAGCGCCAGGGGCTGGTGCTGGGAATGCTTCTTAGCACACACCAAGGAGATGGCACTTACTTAGACAAATAAGTCCATGTCCTTGGATCAGAAATTCACACAGACACTTGGCATAAGCATGAGCAGCTCAGGAAAGGGCAGCTGCATCAAAAAACACAAGTACCCAGATCTTATCTTTACAATTGCCTTCTGCTGTTAAGGTCACTCACTGTAATAGCGTCTGTGGCCCTCCGTCTTTCCCGGTGCAGCTCGGTACAGAATTGTCCCTTCAAAGGTAGTCTTTCCTGACAGTGAATGAGAGAAGAGAAGGGGAGAGAAAAACAAGAGAGGGGGGAGGAGGGAGCAAATGATGGCAAAAGAAGGAAGAGGAAGAGTCTTTAACTGAACTTGCCTTCAATGAATCTGCTGCAAGAGCTTCATCCACAAAATTAAGTAGAGACCATTAGGCAGGATTTAAGAATGTTACAGAATGAGCCCAAAGTCCCCATGCAACCAGTATGGCATAAGCACCCAGAAATTGGGGCTTGCCTCTGCAAATGACTGGCATGTACATTATGCCCAGTTTAAACCTGGAAGCCCTTTCAACATTGTAACTTAAAGAATAGGAAAACTTCAATTAACCAGAGGGAATCCAATCAATTGGACTCCTTAATTAACTCAATTGTACAGCACAAGCTTCTCTTTGGAGAATACGACCTATGCATAATACAGATTTAGACACATTATCCTTTATCTTCTACCCCTAGAGACCTACATGATAAAAACGAATATTCATGTCCCCAAGATTCTAAACAAGACACAGAATTCTCTTTAAAAGATCTGTCACCCTCAGTACCTTTAAGCAAGAAAATGTATTAATATACTGGTGAGGGGGGTTTCACCACTGAGGTTTGAAACCAACAGTGGCATCCACATAAACATACGGGGTTTTCTGCTTAGAACCAAGGACACCAGAAAACCCTATTTCTCAAAACATCTTAATTGGGATTCTGCTGTGTCAGTCATGAAACTGTACTTAAGCATGAGGACACAGGACTCACCCAGTGTCAAATGTCAAATTATCTTTTTTTGCTGTTACAGGTAGAGATTGTCAATAGCATAAGGCTGAACACTTGGCTAAAGCCCAAATATCTCTGGAACCATGAGCAACTATACAGAATACACACATACTGCCCTGGTTTGAGTGTACTCCAACCCATCCTCCCACCCTCCCACACCCACCCACACACACACCCACATACACGCACACACACAAATGCCCTACAGAGAGTACCACCGACAGGCAAAATGATTTGCTAAAGGCAAACTCAATTAATAAACATATTACTTTAAATTATCTGAGAAATAAATTTTATTATGGCTTGTTAATTAAATATTCAAACTGGAGGCCAGTCATACAGCTTCCTAATAAGTCTGGAGGATGAAAAAGCTAGGCTACATTTACAGAGAAGCAGGGAGTAGAACTAAGTGAAGGGAGAGAGCAACTTGTCTCACTTCTTAGAAACACTCCATGTTAAAATGGGAAACCCAAGAGAAACCACACTGTCAGCTTCTGGGCCTTGGCACTCCCCATATAGGAAAGGAATTGTGAATCATCAGAAGACCAACAACTTAAATGGGATCAGGTATTTCCAATTTCCGTGTCCTACAGCCATGGTGGTATACCCTCCTTTTGAAATGTGCCCTTTTTGACCGATGCATTCTATCCAATTAAAGCAAAAACTTAGGCATTCAAATCACTGGCTGTGTAAGAATAATCTGAAGACTAACAAAGTTTCAAATGTTCTTGCTAGATTTGAAGCTCTTGAGGACTTTGATGACAAAAGTGCAGCAAGTAATAGTGGCTAGTTTTTATTCGGGCAATTCTGCTTAACTTCAGTCATTAAGTCACCATTACTCCTCAGAACACAGCTGTTTTGTGAGCTAGGCCCTCCAAAAGTTAACAACAGCAGTCCTCTCAAGTGTCAGAAAAAAAGGAAGTGTAAGATTTTTTTTAAAGGCAGTATTTCGATAATGTTCCTTTAAGTACACTAAAACTTCCATGTGTTCTTCCCTAACACCAAGCCTGAGAGTCACTGAGGTAGACCATGGCTCTGATGTCTCTGAATGGTTAAGCCTTCCTGCAAAGTCTCTCTGTGCATTGGCAGCAAGGCAATTTGAGATGTAGTCTGGGCTGGGGCTGGGTGAGGACACATAGGTGTCCTGTGTGAAGAGCAAAAGAGGCAGCCAACTGGAAAGGTTATGAATATGAGTGACGTTGATCTTACTGGGGGAAATAGTATACTGTCACTGTTAAATATTAGTACTTGAAGGCAGCAAACACTATAAAAGGGAAGAGTTTTAAAATTTACACACAAAACTATACACTTATGCTAGCATCTAATTTTGCCTGAAACTATCACATCAATTTGCTCATCGTTCTTCATTGCTAATAGACCATCATACTCCAAACAAATATCATCTAATATTAAAAAGAAAAAAAGTCTAATGATGCCACAGAGTGGGATTTGTCAGACTGGCTCTCATTTTTATATGCAAGGGACGCTGAGCAATCCATTTCTTACAGCTAATGAAACACAATTATTTCTGCATCATGGCAGTGGTTTGCTATACATTTTTAAAAACCATCTTTCTCTCTCTCTCTCTCTCTCTCTTTTTTTTTTTTTTTTTGAGACAGGGTCTTGCTCTGTCGCCCAGGCTCGAGTGCAATGGCACAATCATAGTTCACTGCAGCCTCGACCTCCTGGGTTCAAGCAATCCTCCTTCCTCAGCCTCCTGAGTATCTGGGACCACAGGCAGATGCCACCATAGCTAGCTAATTTCTATTTTTTGTAGAGATGGGGTTTCACCATGTTGCCTAGGCCGGTCTCAAACTCCTGGGTTCAAGTGATCCTCCCACCTCAGCCTCCCAAAGTGCTGGGGTTACAGGTGTGAGCCACCACACCTGGCCTCCATCTTCATCTTTGTCTTAGCCTGACAAGTCACTAAATTATCAGAACCTCAACTTTTTAAATAAGGAATTAGGAAAATGAGAAATTCAATAACAACAGAAAACTCATGGTTATTAATGGTTACAGAAAGAAAATGCAAACTTTCTCCCTCTGAAGATTGTGAGAAATAACTGAAAATGTTTCTGTAGCTATAGAATTAAAAAACAGGGACACTTTTAGTTTTACAACTATTATTTGAAAGCAAATAATATCAAAGGATGTGAAAGAAAAGACATATTTATGTCTTAAATGTAAGGCAAAATATGTATGAAATTGAAATTGGACAACAGTCGTATCTGGATTTCTTTGCCACTGCACATTATTTAGTCAACAGTAGCATGTGCAAAACTGTAACTGAAAAGGCAATTAACTAATCATGATCCGTGACAATAAGAAGAAATAAGCTAAACTGTACTCAGGCTTGAAATTTGTCAGATGACCTGTGGAAAGGTAAACTATTTGTGTAATGGAGGCAGCACCAGAATGTGTATGGAAGGCTTGCATGTCATTTTCTCCCCATCACTCAGAAGCCTGGGAGTTAATTTCACTGGGCTTCAGTGTTCTCATCTGACACTGAGTTAAACAATATCTAAATTCCTTTCCACCTTAACATCATAAGATTCTGCCTACACTATTAGCACAACCACTTGGCTGTTTTGATTTTTAAAAACCTAATTTACTAAACACTTTTTTGGACTATTGATCTGTTACATGGGAGCCCATTTTATTATTATTTTTAAATTTCTGGTTGAAACCTCTTTGCAAGTCCTAATGAGTAACTAGGTTTGGGAGACAATTATCAATGGCTGCTAACATTCAAAAAGTAGGACGGCCAGACATTATGAGCCTCCAAGTGGATTATCCATCACCACCTAGGTGGCAGGTTTACTCTCGCACGCACGCACGCATGCGCACTCAATCTCTGTCGCTCTCTCTCTCTCTCTCTCTCTCTCTCTCTCTATATATATATATATCTTTTGAGATTATATATATATATATATATTTTCAGGTTTTATATATATATTCAGGTTTATATATATATATATATATTTTCAGGCTTTATATTTATATCTAATCTAATCAAGACCCCAGATCTAATGATCAATTTATAGGAATACAGATTTAATGACACAGCAGAGATGAAATCGGCAAAAGCCACGCTGTGAGAAATTAATAGACAAAGGGGCTCAGTTGCTTTAGCAAAAAAATTACAAGAAAAAAAGGAGATATGAAGGAGAAATCTATAGATTCAAACAGATTTGAGACATACTGACTAACTGCAACGTATGTACTTTATTTGGATACAGACTCAAATGAATTGCAATAAAGAAGACTTTAGGGGAAAGTGAACAGTGACCATGTGTTTAATTATTCTAAGGACTTGCCATAATTTTATGTGTGTGAGATAAATGGTATTTAAAGACACTCTTTTACTGATGCATGTTAAAATATTTATGAATGAAATTATATAATATCTGGGGTTTGCCTTCAAGATAATATGGACAAAGCGTGCAGAGGGCTATAATTTTAACAAATTGGCCAAAGGTTGATAATTGCTGAAGCTGAGTGATAGGTACACAGAGGTTCATTATACTATTATTATTTTTGTTGATGTTAGAAATTTTCAATAATAAAAAAGTTTATAAGAATCTTTTTTGAAAAACTACCTTTAAGGTTTCATAAGTTCTGAAAATGGTAAAGATGTTTTCAAATTTAAATATGCAGTGAAAAGTTTCTGCTACTACATAACTATAAATTTTCCTCTCTGAGATAAAATGGATAAAATATCCACCAATACAATCGTTGCAATTCTTTCCTTGATAGACTAGATTACCCTAAACAAAGATCTAAGAAAGTTTAGAGACTTTCATAACCAACCACGATATGGAAAAATACATCAGAATAAGAGAAAAGCAAGTTCAAAAGATTTTCACCTGTCATTCAAAAATAAAAATGCCTCCTTATAGTAAAAGGGGATTCAACAAGCATTTATTAAACACCTACCATGTGTCAAGCAGTCTTGGCATACTCCCTTATAAATATAATGCCAATGTTTCTTCTATCATATTCATCCATTGGTACACAAAATTCAACTCAGTAACTACTTCAAATACTTTCTGGAAGCAGAAATGTGAAGAATGCAAATACCAAATAAACATATATATACACATATATATACACACACATATATATACACACACATATACATATACACATATATACATACGTGTGTGTGTGTGTGTGTGTGTGTGTGTGTGTGTGTGTGTGTGTGTATGTATATATATATATATATTTTTTTTTTTTTTTAATAGTCTCTTTCTGTAGCCCAGGCTGGAATGCAGTCATGTGATCATGGCTCACTGCAACATCTGCCTCCCGGGTTCAAGCACTTCTCATGCCTCAGCCTCCTGTGTAGCTGGGATTACAGGTATGTGCCAGCACGCCCAGCTAATTTTTGTTTTTTTGTTTTTAGTAGAGACAGGGTTTCACCATGATGGCCAGGCTGGTCTCGAACTCCTGGGCTCAAGCTATCCACCTGTCTTGGCCTCCCAAAGTGCTGGGATTATAGGCATAAGCCACCATGCCTGGCCTGCTACTGGAAATTCTGTCAGAACACTGAGAGATACTATTTCTCTCTTTCAGGGAATTACTTCAATTTAGCAAGCTATTCATTATTCTCACATCTGCTCTTCTATGAAGCCCCACATCCCCATGGGACTGGCCTCTTTGTGCCCCACTCTTCTTCAGATGCTTACTTTGCAGAGCACCTGGACACTTTGCTGAACTCGGGTTTGCATGTCCCCTTTCTGCAGTGTGAGCTTACTGAAAGCAGGGACCCTGTCTGATTTGTCTCTGTATATCGTCAGTGCCTTGGACAGTGTTTTAGTAACAATGGGGTGCCAATAAAGACAGAATGAATGAAGAATAGAAGGAAGAAAGAAGGAAGGAGAGAAAGAAGGATGGATAGATAGATGGATATGAACCAACCGATGGAGAGATGGGCCCTCTTTTCCTTAACTGTACATGCAGGAAGATTACAAAAGCCATGTATCCTTTATCAGAAGCAGCCATCCTTGTTAGGGGACCATGCCTCTCCAGGGGATTCAAAATCCCCTCAAAAATGGCAACTAAACATGGCTGCTGAAACCACTGGGCTCTCCTGGTCTTGAAATGGAAGGCTTTTAATTCAGTAAGTGTGTTGGGGGGAACAGTCTCCAGAAGAGAAAATGCCCCTTCTGAGCAGGTGATGACATAATGCTAAATGGGAAGACCATTCCGCCCAACCTCCTAATCCTCTGTACCAGGAATTGCAGCACCATATGCCTTTAGCTGAGGGGTCAGACAGGGTGAACTGTCCATATTACTGACTTGGAATGAGAGAAGTCAATTTGTTTCAATAGTTCTAAAGATACAAGAGGCATTACTCCTCTGATCTTCCAGCTCTGAGAGCATAGCTAAAATGGCAGGACACCAATATGTCAAGACTTTTCCAAAGAGGTTGTCTAATACTTCCCCAGATCTCCTCCTCTGCATCAGTAGAGGAACTCCAAAGTAATTTCCAAATGCAGTCACAATGCCTCAGCCAACATGCTATCGCTCAGTATGCAAGCAACCTCCAAGCAACTGATACTAACTGGTTATGTCTCAACAGTTATCTTGACTAACAGTGAGAGCTACCATTTATTATGGGTCTGCTATGGAGCAAGGTGGTTTATGCACATTATTGCTACTGGAACTTGTAATGAATTTATTCATGGAAATAATGTTATAATGACCCAATTTGGTCCTCTCTCCAAAAAATCCCATTTAATCCACAATGTCCCTGACATAGAGTATTGTTATTATGGGATCTAATTACCAGGTACAATAGTTATTCCAGAGTACAGGAGAAGACACCAGGGCAGCTAGAATTCTAACACGGATTTTGAAAGCAATAGTAATTTCCACTAATGGGAGATCAAGGACACCTTCTCCCCTCCCAGTAGTACTCATCAGCTGGGCCATGTTAATAGAGAATCCCCCTGCCCTGAGCCAGAGAAGGCAACAGGAGCTCCAAGACACCTCGTTTCCCCCCCCAACCCCTTCCAGTGCTTCCTACCATAGACTCTAGGATGGAATGGGGTTCAGGGGTAGTAGGGTCCCAGGCTTTGGCACTGGAGGGAAGGAGCACTGCTGAAGCCACTGGATAACCAGCAAGTGCTGCTGTTTCTCGGTATGTCAGGCTACATCATCCAGAGCTGCTGAGACACCAAGTGAAGGAAGTCGCTTGAGCACTTCTCTGCAAATGGCGTTACCTCCAAATCAGACACTTGTCTAATCATACTACTGGTTAAATAAATGAGACACAAACTAACACGAGAACACCACTCAAGTCAGGTTTTTCCAAATGAAAAAGGAAGACATTTAAGAATGATTTGGGCAGGACTAAGCTGCCCTCCTCTTGTCAGAAAGGAAATTCTGCAACCCCAGGTAGTGCTGCACAGTCGAGCCTCCTACAACATTCATGCCCATGACCTTGGCTCAAGACAGCACAAGAGATACACAGACGCCCACAGTTGGGTTAGTGACTGGGAGAACGAAGTTTCCCGGTCCTGACCTTTTGCTCCGTGAGCTGGAAAGGGCAGCAGAGAAGCTGGAGGGAGACCTTCAGGCCCTGGAGAAAGAAAGACCTGAAGTTCGTTGTCACCATCGTAGAAGGACACACATGCTCACCACCCAAGGTGGGACCTGGACTCTCAGTTGTCTTGACCTACTTTTAAGGGGATTGGCATGCACTCATCTTGTCATAGCACTTCACTTCTCACCACCAGTAATTTTTTTTTCTTTGGTAATTTTTCTCCAAGTCCCTCAAGGGATGCTGAGAAATACTGACAATCCCATTTGGTTCATTTTTTAAATAATTATGAACTTACAGTAAGCAACACTCTAGAAGTATATGGAGGCACAGCAACATGGGCCACCCATGAGACAGTATTACCAGGGCATGAAGGCTGGCAGTTACCTATCCAGAGACATACAGAATGTGTGGCTACGGGTCACACCTTTATAGGGATCAACTTCCTAAACCACAGTGGGTTAAGGCAGTATAACCAAAAAAATACTCGTAAGCGTTTACTATAGCCTCTCGGCATAGGATACAGAACAGAAGGGAGGCTGGAGCACAGCCTGCCGGTCCCCCGCCCCTCTCCTGCTTGGTAGGGTAGACTTCCTTACTTGACTTGGATAGCTGCTCATCCTGGGAAATGCCAAGCTCATCCGACTCCCCTGACAGCTCCTTGATGAAGTTGGAAGGAAACATTCCAGTCTTCCCGTTGAGAACACCTTCCCACCATCCTTCCTCTACCTGCAGAGATACAAACAAAAGAGCAGAGATACATGGGTCAGGTTAGACATGGTGGTTTCCAATTTTGCCTCCCATATGTATAGTGTAGCATGCAGAGCCCACACAGGGAGACTGAATGGCTTTAAAGTTAACAGGGAACAAGAAAAAAAGACCACATAGAGCCTTGAGATTCAGGCTAAAGAAGGGGGTGTTTACCTGGGATCCACAAATGCAAACAGACAAAATTAATACTTCATTTTCATTAGCCTCTAACTGAAATTTGGCATCTGCTTTGGTTATGAACGTAGGGTAGGTAACACACCAATATTAGAAGGACCTGTGACTCATCACCAAACAAACCACAGATATTTTCATATCACATCATAGATGCTATGGGTATCTCAAAATATCGTATGTGCTCATTGCTGCTTTGAAATGGTGATAGTTATTACACCTACTGGGAGACCTTTGCTATTTAGTCTATTAATAAGGATACCCATAGATTACTATATCAAAATTTGGTCTTAAAATAATTTGATAACTAGTTCAATATAAATCATTCCCTTTATAATCTTATGCGTTTTATTTTATGCATTTAAAAGCATTATCTAAAAACTGAGAATGGTTTCCCCAGACTACCAAACTAACTAAACAGCCTAAAAAAATATAGTTAAGAATTTATCTGTAGGCTAAGAACTCAATCAGAAAGTGTAAGAGCTTCCTGTACATTTCTGAAGGGTTCTAAGTTACCCTAAGATGAACCGAAAGGGGGTAGGTAGGTAGGAAGGGCAGCGAGACTATGATATCTGGATAAGGAGGGAAGGCTGAGTCGGGGGAGCAGTGAGAATGGATGAGGCAGATTTGGATTCGAGGCCCTTTGAGGTCTGAGCTGGCCTTGAGTGATCAACTAGCAGGGATGGGTGACAGAAGCGTAAAAAAATTGGCCCTGGATTTTGTAATAGAGCCACTAGTAGTACAGCAGAAGTCAGAATAGCAAACTGGCTTCTTGGAGGAAAATAAGGGCAGTTTGAAAACAAGCAAGTATTAAGTTACAAGCTGTATGGTGTGGTATAATACAACCTTTGGAATTGTTTTACCATGTGCACGTACAGACAGTCTCCAATTTACAATAGGTCGACTTAGGATTTTTGACTTTATGATGATGCAAAAGTGATATGCATTCAGTAGGAACCATACGTCAAATTTTGAATTTTGATCTTTTTCTGGACTAGCAATAGGTAGTATGATACTTCTATAATGCTGGGCAGCAGAAGTAAACCTCAGCTCCCAGTCAGCCATGTGATCATGAGGGTAAACAACCGACACTCTTCAGTATACTGTTTTGCCAAATGACTTTGCCCAACTATAGGCTAATGGAAGTGTTGTCAACACATTTAAGGTAGGCTAGGCTGAGCTATGCTGTTTGGTAGGTTAGGTGTATTAAATACATTTTCAACTTATGATATTTTCAACTTATGATGGGTTTATTGGGACATAATCCCATTTTAAGTTGAGGAAAGTCTGTATTACCAATCCAAATTAATAAATACAATGTAAAAGCTAAAATAATTTAAACAAAAAAGAAAAAGAAAATTTGAGTCAAAAGTCCAGTTCGAATTTTTTCTATCCTGAAACTTAGTAGTTGTGTGACGTTATGCAAATTTGTCCTACCAAAATGAACCCCGTTTTATTCCTATCTGCATGATGGGAATAATTAACACACTTCACAGTTGTCGTCTTTAGGGCAGCATCTCAATCTGTGTTAGAAGTATATATGCATTACAAATCTTCACTAGGGGCTGCGGGACATAGAACTGTATAGGACAAGTCCTTAGTTCTCCTCAAGAAGTGAATACTCTACCAAGATAGAAAGGTATGACTAAACATTAGCAATGCAATGTAAACAGATGAGAAAAGACCATGACTTAGCACACATCAAACTTGTTACACAAAGTTGAGCTCACTGAGATCTGGGGTGCTAAAGGAAGGCTTTGAGAAAAAAGAAATCAAAATTAAGGTAGGCTTTTAGAAGAAGAAATGGCAGCCATACTTAGGGGACAGGTGTGTATGAGAAAGGGGGTTGCTGATGGAGCCTGTGGAATGGAGATAACCAGAACGATAAGTTTAGAGCATTTATAAGGAAACTTGTAGGATACAGACTTACAGAGTGGCAATTACATTTGCACAATCACAAAATCTTCGGGAGAGAATCCAGATGACGGCATTCATGCACAACTGTCCCAACGACTATTTGATACCAAATCGTGGCATTTCGCAGCATTTCCACTGAAATCATTCCATGTTTCTATGCCAACTCAACTGACACATATTATTTTTTCAAGGAGCTTTTTATAGGCTTAGATGGTTAGGAAGATTCACCATGAGTCTCAGTATCAATAGTCACAGGATTTGTGGAGTGGAGTCCTTTGTGCTGGTACTGAATAAGAAACCAGAAAATGTCCTTCTCTCTCCCAGGAGTCACATAGCAGGAGGAGAAAATCAAGGGCATGAACCACAAATGAGCAGTCCCTGGCATAATCCCCAACAGCACGGGGCAGCTGGGCCAATTCCAACCCACTTAGTTTGAAGATGTCTGGAACATTCCTATTCCTAGTAATAAGTGGCTCCTGCCCAAGATCCCTGAGGGAAGCCTTCCTGATGTGTAGGAAAAGCAGGCTGTCTGCTGGGAAAACAGACGTATCTTCACCTCACCACACCCTCAGATGCCAGTATCACTGTCACAGCACAGTCTGAGAAGAGTGGCCTATGGGAAAATGGCAGAGGCCTATCATTAACCACGCAGTAAGTGGAGGGGCAGACAATAAAACCACTGCTCATCGCCTGGGGACACACTTCCCATCACAGGTGCACCATGGGCACGATGCTCATTTTTCTGTGAGCTGGAGCCCTTCATGGGGGTGGTGGGGGTGGCCCCAGTACCAGTGAGAGTCGTTCAGTACTATTTCCTTCTATAGCCAGGCCAGCTGTTTTGGTCTCGAGACTGAGGCTGGAGATAAGAGAAAAATGATACCTCACACTATCCCTCTTCAGAGATATTCTAGTTCAACTTCCTGTGTAAAGACGAGGACACGGACACTGCCATGTGATTTCATTCATTCATTCATTCACTCATTCTAAGAGTAAAGCACAGTGCCTCACACATTGAATGAATGAATGAATGAATGAATGAATGAATGGCAGAGACATTATTGGGAAAAATCCTCCATGGGGGCCTAAAGAGCCCTGATTTCCCCCACAGAAAAAGGTTTCCTTCCTGTGAGGAGCAAAAGGAACTGAGAGATCCTAACTATATTTGCCACTGTTCTTAACTAGGTACTGCCACACCCAGGACTGTGTGGTCCTCCCAATTCCACCAATATTTAGTAAGCACCTATCTTGCACTGCCCCAGTACCTGGGGACAGATTCACTGCTGAACAAAACAGATAAAGACTCCATCCTTGAGAAGTTTCCAACAAGAGAGAGGCAGTTACAGAGCCTGAACAGCCCCTGCTTGGAAATCAAGCTTGCTTATGTTTGCATTTCTATAGTTAAGAAAAGAAAGAAATGCGTCTCTTTGTAACAAAGTAGGGATTACGAATACCACACCAAGGGCTTATAACTTCCACCCCAAGGAAAGGACAATAATAAAAGGGGGCAGATGCCGTTCCCCACTCATAAACAGTCTTCTGCAGGCCTTGGCTCTAGGCTGAGAACAAATCCCACCTGTGTCCCTCTACGACCAACCCAGTCAGCTCTGGAGCCCTTTGATTAGTTTTGCCTCTTCTAGAACTTCACATAAATGTGCTAAGATACAATTTCACCGTGCCCCAAGAGTGAATCTCACCTTTGGCCCAGAGCTGGGAGCAGAGCAGCTTACACCTGGTAGCGTTTGAGAACGATGGAATAAAACCACTTCAACAGTTTCTATCTGAGGGCCTTGCAATTTTCATGTCTTTACAATCAACAGCATCTAAGTGGGTTCAGGGTCCAAGGAAGTAGTTTTTAAATCTTAACCCTGTTGGAGATTGGGCAAACACCTGGGTGAACTTCAATACTCCCATCCCCACCCCTTCTTGCACCCCATTTGTAAGGCACTAAAGAGGAAGTCTGTGACTGAAAAGATGGCGTGCTCCCTGTGAGTGCTTGGCTATTCAGGCCAGTTCCTATTTATCACCCCTGAAGTTTTACCTGTCAACTGGACTGAGAAGGGGTATGGAGGCTTTATCAGGTCTACAGTCTACCCAAGGGCACAAGTAGCAAGACAGAAAAAGTTCATCTAAGGATGACTATAGCTTTTTTTCATCCAGTGAATACTTTGATACCCAAACCCCAGTCAGAAGCACACTGGAGGGGTGGGTTTGAGGGAAGCCTGGGGTTAGGGGGATGCACCCAGACAAACGAAGTCAGCTTCATTGTTTCAAGAGTTGTTTTACCATTCTTCCCATAAAAGAAAAGTGACACATCAAAGTCTAAGGAAAGGCCCACACCTTAAAGCTGCTAAAATTTTCCTCAAATTTTTTTTTCAGGAGTAACTAAATGAAAATTGTAATACTGTTCCTTTCTCTTACTTGGGAAAGGTGTTTTGAGAATTTTTAAAACGCTAAAAAAATGTTAAGACAGCTTTTAAAGCTTTTTTAAAATTGAAGTATAATTTACATAAATGCAGAACTTAACAATACAAGCTGATTAGTTTTGACAAACGCCCATTGTAGCCAACACCTCTATTAACATAAAAAGCATTTCCATCACTCCAGAAAGTTCCCTGTGCCCCTTCCTAGTCAATCCACCTCCAAGCAATCATTAATCTGATTTCTATCACCTTTGATTCATTTTACTTCTTCTAGAACTTCATATAAATGTGCTGAGACATAATTTAACTTTTTAAATATCGCTGAAAATAATACAAATTATTTCTGGTAAACATGTTTTTCTATCAGTAGAACTGGTGAAAAAAAAATATATCTTTAAGGGGGGCATTTCCTGAAGGCATAAACACCTACACTATTTTCAATCTCAGAGGATGTGGGAAAGCTGGCTATGCCAAATATAAACAAGCATTATCTAGGTCCTAAATGGCTGGACCAATATTTTCCCCTAATTCTTGTGTAGTTCATTGTATGATTACCTCTTTCTGGCTGGGCCAGAACATTCCATTCACATAGGGAAGCTGATTTTCATTCCCTCCCCTCACTCTTCTGAGAACAAGGCTATTCTACATGAGAGGCGGCCCTCGAAGAGAAATCTGTAGAGTAATTGGAAGGGAAGTCATTTAAGAAAACATATACAATTTCTATTTAAGACTTAGGCCAACTGCCCAACAAGACAGAGCAACATCCATGATTTTTCATCAGAGTGGAAAGGGTTTCTGGTAGAGCTTTCGGAAACTTCCTTCAGCAGTGCTTGATAATCCTGTCCTTCAAAAACAGCCACAGGTCCCCAAATTCCTAAGTGAGTCCAATACTAAGGTCTTTCTATCATTCCAATTAAAAAATATGAACAAATGGTAACACAAGCCAGCAAGATAACCTTTCTGATGAATCAAGATCCTCAAGTTTTCTCCCATTGCTATTTCCAGGTGAGAAAATGGTTATGGGGATATGTTCACCTGGGAAACCTCCAGATTAGGAATCTTTAAACAGGCGCTCCTTTGAAAGTTCAGTGTGGCCAGCACTATAACTTTGATCTCAACCCCATTTCATTGCATCCACCAGCACCTGCTTTCTATACTCTACACCTAAAGTATTAGGGGAGGTCTGCATTAGGGGAGGTCCCAAAGTTTCACAGGTCCTCCCCTAATGCAGAGCAAGGCTCTACTAACACCATGTCCTCCTTCCTCCAGCACCTAACACAAATACCACTCACCATCTGCATCTTCAGTTGAAACCTCACCTATTCTACAAAGCATCTTCTTCACCCTCTGTGACTACTCCTATTTTTAAATTCCTCTCTCGTTCGTCAATGCCATCATTTGCCACTCTGGTAACATCTTGGGTTGATAGTTACCTTAGCTGTGTATATCTTGCCCTCCCTCACTAGACTGAGCATGTTTCAAGGGACAGGTTCTGTTCAATCAATCCCCAAATCTCAATAAACACAGTTTCTCTCAGAGTGTAAGCACTGAAATATTTGATAAATCCCACAGCTATGCAAATCTATTATAAATACCTTTAAACTTGCAAATATGCTACTTTTATATGATTGCAGCCTGTTTTGCATGCTGATGATTCAAATCTAATCAACTTTCTCTTCTAAACACGGCTTCCTTCTCCTTAATATGAATGTTTTACCATCTCTGCACATTAGGAAATCAGAGGTTTTCACCTCAAAGTTATTTGGAGAAATAATTGTAGAACAGCCCAAGCTCTTTGGATTATCAAATTCCAATAAGCAGATATTTTATATTAATGTTATCTTCTTTTTGCAAAGAGATACACACCCTTCTAAAGCAAGGCGATTATCTTAACAGGTCAGAACTTCAGTATGCTTCGATCACCTATTAACTGATCAGCCTTTGAATAAACTTGACTTCTCATGGGCAAAAAATGACATGAGGATGTGGGCCTATCCACACCCACAAAAGTTGTCTGACTGATTTAAAGTTTTGATGACGTTCAAGGGCCTATTTAACTCTAGCTGAGTGGACCAAATATTCCATGGGCACAAGAAGGAAGATGCAAAAGTACTTTGAAAGTGGAAGTTATCATCTTTGCAAGCCACAAAACCAGGTTAGGCTTTAAGCCAGCCTGACTGGGGGCCACTGAGAAACACCCCAAAAAGTAACCATAAAGAACACATAAAAGCAAGAATCTTTGAACATCCCTTGGGCCACGACTGAGAGACTGGCTAAGACCAAGCTAATCCAACACAAGAGGAAAAGTGGCTCCTTTCCCAGGCTCTAGATAACATAGAAAAACAAAGTGGCTTCAATGCACTTTAAAAAAAAAACAAAAAACAAAACGAAACAACAACAATGACAAAAACACATCATAAGCCAAAAAGCCTGCATAAAAATTCCAGGGGCCTTCAAATGCCATTTCTCCTGTAAATCTCATTCACACGCCATCTCTGTTCTTCCTATAATTAGAACTTTGCCTGTATTTATTTGTCTTCTCCACTCAGGATAAAAATGACCCAGTGTGTATTCACAATGATTTCTTTAAAAATATCAATCCAGGAATTCACAGCCTGCTACTTTCCTTTTGAATTGGCAGTCTGGTTCCTTTAGGTTCACAATGATGATTTCTTTTCACAGCACAACCACCACTCTCCAGCCAGGAGCCAGAAGCATGGCAGGTGCTTTCTTGGCAGGTGCTTTGCTTTGCCAACTCCACTATGCCCACACTGCCCTGAGCACTCCCTTCCTTCCCTAAACCACGCTTTGGAGGCTGGCTCAGGCTGAGCATTCAGGGCTGGTAGACTCGCTCCTGCCAGGTGAGCAAGCTGTTCACCCGACTAAGGGTCAAGGTTGTTTCTACCTAAACCTGCTTAAGCCTTTTGCTCATTAATGGTAGCACACATTTGGTTAAATTGCACAAAAATATACAGGTGTGAAGAGAAAGAGTTGGTGGTGAGGAGGGATAAAGGTAATGATCTGAATGTTTAAAAAAAAAAAACTGTTGCCAAATTTGGTGTGAAGGCAACAACTAAAGAAGATAAGGGGTTGGAGGCGGGTGGGGGGCTGTAGAACTTGAGAAGGAAACCAATGGGAATCATAGAGGATGCACTATGGATGCAGAGATAGATGGAACTCAAACCAGCAAACCCATATTTAGGGAAGTGGCCTTGGCCCCATGTCATAAGATTGTATTGATAAATGATGAATGAATATTCATTTTGATATTTTAAGCTAAAATTAGATATTAAGGCAGATGTTTTAGGACTTTAGGATTCTCTACTTGATTCAACTCTTTCAAAAAAACTAGTCCATACATTCAAAATCCTCCTAAGGCTTATCTGTCAGGGCAAAAAGAGAAACTGTGTGTGTGTGTGTGTGTGTGTGTGTGTGTGTGTGTGTGTGTGTGTGTGTGTGTGTGTGTGTACAGCTTTGCAAAATTAGAGAAATCCATCTATTAATCAATAAAAATATAATATATACATACACAATACATGTTATATTTTATTAATAGATTAATCCTACAGTATTGCAAAACTATTATGTTCTTGCTTTGATCTCTCTGTGATTTAGGGGTTTTTGTTTATTGCTTTTTTCTGTTTATTTTTAATCATCAGTGGAATTAGAGAGGAGCTACATTTAGCATTTATATAACATTCACTATAAGAGAAAAGGACAGATTTTATATTATACAGTGACAAGGGCCCAGTCTCTGCAATATAACAAGTAAACTGGAACAATGGGGAGTTTTTGATCGTATTTTAAAACTTTGGATTAAAAGGCCAGCCTTTACGTTTTGTTTTATGTAAATATCATAGACTATATGGTTATTTTTTCCTTTTTCCTATTTGAAGCAAGTCCAGAATGACGAACAGGATTTAGCTGGCAGCGAATAATAGAAAGGAGGCTGGTATTGTAGATGATGGCAAAGGCCTATCAGCCTCTAGGCAAATCCAGTAACAGCTCTGCGAGTGCTCCTCTTTCTCCTTTAAGCAATCAACGTTCAGTTTCTCTGCAGCCAATAGGCAGGCAAAAGTGGGCAATATTTCTGAGAAATGTATTAATCATTTTCCTTGTCTTGACTTGTGGTTTTTCTTAATGCATTATTACAATATTAAAAGAAAAGTTATCTTCTATGACAGAAGCATTTTCAATTCTTGTTCCCTTTCAGTCTTTGATCACAAGCATATAGATATATTTTACATGGTTTTATCCTAGTGTATGCAATTTTGTGTTCTGATTTGTTCAATTTGCAAAAAACTCTTTTTGTATTTCCATTGATTCATTTACTTATTCAGCAAGCATTTATTAAAGTGCAGATTAGGTTTCAGGCACTATTCTAGGTACCACAAATATAAAAATAGATAAAAATCAGGTCCCTGCCATTGAAAAGCTCTCAGCTTAGAATATAACAGATCATTACAATGCAAAGTATCATAACAAATACATATCTAAAAACCTCTGTGTTTACCATCTTAATGGCTTCACAACGTTCTACTTGGAAAATACAACTTAATTCTCCTTCTTATTTTTCATTATCACAAATACTGCTGTAATTAACACGTTTCACATGTTTCTTCTTTCATTAATCAGTTTCTGTGGATAAATTCTCAGGAATGAGATCACTGAGTCAAAAAGTGTTATTCAGATATTGATAGCTTTTGACATACCTTGCCAAATAGCTTCATAATACAGACATACAAATTCACCAGTTCTTCTATGCCTTGCCAACAGCTTAACCACTAAATATTTTCTTAGGATTTTCATAAGTAAAAACCCATTATTGTCTTAATTTGTATTTATTTAATTAACAGTCGAGTGGAACATTTTCTTGTGGTTAAGACTTTTTTCTCCGTCTGGGATCTGTGTTTATGGCAAATTTATCTACTATTTATCATTGTTATAATAGCTTCCTAATATTTTCACATACTACATATATAATAACTTCTGTCATAATTTATTGCAAATGTTTTCCTATTTATTGTTCTCTTTCCTTAGCTGGACTAGCTTCAAATCGTACCAAAATCTTAACCATTTTTCTTATTAGTCACATCTGTTTATTTTTTCTTCTGGAATTTCTTTCCATGGTTACAGCCTTAAGAAATTTGTCATTCTACCACCGAAATAAATGTTCTCTGTTGTCCATTCATTTTTTCACTCATTCAACTTTCAATAAATGTCTCCTATGTGCCCTGCTTGCCACCAGGGGTAAAAAAGGATGAATGACATGTTAATTATCCAAAATTCGGAAGTAGGTAAAAGGGGTTCCTGCATGCCCTCCCAGTGCCACACTGGGGACCCCATTAATTGCTTCTGGAGGGACATGTATCTCTGCTTGGCACACTATGTACTATTTATGAGGCTAGTTTACAACTCTGTTACTGTGGATGTCAACTGGTGAAAACTGAGAGCACTGCAAATGATTCTTGCCAGGTAGTAACAAAAATAAATTTTGACGAGCAGAAATGCAAAGGATTTGTCCCCTAGAAAAGATAACCTCAAAGGTTACAGTTTTATTGCACTGTAGGGCACTATGTAGTTTTGCATGTAACTTAGCAATCTTAAATTTTTTCAGTCATTATCTTTGCTCTTTCACAATTCTCTTCAGGCCAGCCTTACCATCTTACAGATCCCTTCATTAATGAGTTAAATAAAACTCTGACACATGTTCACATTAGGTTATGTATGAGAGCTAGGAAATCTGGCTTCTAGCATCACCCCTGCCACTTCCACTCACATGACAGCTCCCTTAAAGTCATCCTCAACTTCTAGCTTCCTTTTCTATGAATTGTGGGTTTCTGTAAGGTCAGAGGGTATCAGCAAGCAATAAGCAAATGGAAAACTGTGTTTCTAGATATAGATACAACTGTTGAATCAGAATGAATGATAAGGTTCTAAGCCTGAAACCCAGGATCCCCTAGGCCTGAGGGAATCTGGAGGGACATTTCACTAGCAGGAATAAGAGAATGTGGTACAGCAGGAAGAGTGAGGGTCTCCAGTCACAGGGACCAGGCTTGGCCATCAGCCCTGCGTCTTCTAGGGTCTCTTGATCCTCCTTCCTCATCCCGCACAATAAACCGTGTGGGCTGAGGAAATGGGCTAATGCTTAAAGAATCTTGTCACATCTGCCACATACTAGGTCTTCTAAGAAATGTCACTCCTTTTTTTGCCCTCTAAATCCACAGCGTCCCCCACAATGAATACTAAATCCATGCTCTAAAGATGGATCTGGGTCACTCTGGATGCCCAGAGTCTATGCTCAATTCAAGTAGAAGAGAAACTTGGTGGCACTGCGTTGGAAATTCGGAGGTATTTAGTAAGCTGTGTTAGAGACAATGCTTTCCAATGGCCCCAGGTATGAACTCAGCTGGCTTGGGGGCATTCCTCTGGGGAAAGCCATTTTCTCAGACAGGAGACTCAACTAGAGGATCCCTAACTTCAAGGCCAAACAGCCTGTGAGTCTGTAGCAAGGCGTCTTCATGGGTGGGTAAGCAGTGACTATGACAGCCCATTCGAGGCCATTGCACTGCCCGGCCAGGTCGCTTACCTCTCCTACCACCTCTATGATGTCGCCAACTTTCAGCTCAAGTTCATCGTCATTCTGGGGCAGGTAGCTGAATGCCACCTGGCACCGGCGCCTCCGTCGCTCGCCTGGATGGGAAAAGCAAAATATTTAGAGACAGCTCTTCTCCCCAAATCAGATTTTAAAGAGAGGCTTCCTAGGCATGCAGGCAAATTAAGCTGACTTGTCTCAAATATGCTCTCTGGGACATGGCTTGAGGCACGGCAGCCCTGGTCTCTTAGAGAGAGGCAGTAGAAAGCAGAGCAATGCTTCTTGGTCTTTTAAAAGCTGCTGGGTCAGAAAGGCATGGATATGAGAAACCGATCCATTGGTGCAGAAGGCAAATACCCCACCCCTGAAGCACTGGAGCACAGTGTTGCCTTAAACGGTTTTCCATAGATGGGGCTTTGTATTTGCTGCTGTTGATTTTTAATGGAAGCTGATGTGATGTGGTAGAGAAAAAAGAATGGTCTGCTTCTAATGCTAGCAAGGCAGAGGGGATTTTTCTAAATGTGCAAAGGAAAGATAAAGTATCCTGGCCTTTTTCTTACTAATCGTCACCCTTTCAACATACGGGAACTCAAGCCTGATAAGTGAAGGCTGATTAGATTTCAGCCTGCTCTTGGTACCATTTCAAACACCCCCACAGGATTCAACAAATCTACTTCTGTCCTCTTCCCTCTGTCCCAGGGGATCCATTAACAGGATCCCCAGCTACTTACGCAGAACCAAGCCAGACAAATCAAGATAAGAGCCAGGGCCACACTTCACTCAACCAGAGGACACTCAGGGTTACAACATCTCACTCACCCAGCATGTCCTATCTGGGAGACCCTGGCTTAGAGCTGGTTCAAGTACAGACACAACTGTCCACAGCATATCCACACCACAGATGTGCACTATGTGGAGAAAGAACGTGTATGGGGGTGAGGGTGAGACAGACAGACAGACAGACAGACAGACAGACAGACAGACAGCAGTGGAGGCCCAAGCCAGGGAGGTGGATGGGAGGTAGGAAGTGAGACCGACATTGCTCAGAAGTTTGTCGTTCATGGCTGACCGCCTCACACCATTCCTTCATGCCACTGCATGGCCTAGAAAACCAAAGGGATCAATGACTTCAAAGAAACACATTTAGAAATGCTTAAATTATTTTTTAGCACTGCCTACAGGGATTCTTTTTCTTCTCTAATCTTTTCTCTGAGAAAGGAAGTCCATGCAGAGGTGATCACAGGGCACATTAAGGCCCCAATGCAGGATGACATCATATAAAGGGGAAGGTCTCTGTGCTACATCGGATGTGTGCCCTGATCAATATGTTTCAAAAGCCGGCAGCCTAGTTCTCTCTGTTCCATTTTTCTTGCCTGTACCTCACTAAGCAAGAACAGAGTTGAATAGAAGGAAGAGGGCAGAAGTTCAGAATCGATATCTTGTCTAATCACATCTTTGGTGACTCCACAAATACTCTCCACCCCTTTGTGCAAAATTACAAGCCTCTGGGTCTTAGGAACAAACACAGCATTTCCAGGGCAATTCCTAGATGCTGATGGCACTGTCAGCAGGCTGAGTAGTGCAACCCCAAGGAGGGCTTGGCTCTCCCTAGGACAGAGGGCCCACTCCAACTTGCTTTTCCAAGGAGGAAAGTCAGGAGGAATGGGTATTCCGATGCAAAGAACGCCACCACTATACCATGGCTTCCCATACAATGGAAGGCAAATCAAGTACCCTGTACCATAAAGGATATGGATTTCTCATTCTAGCAAAGAAAGTCTAGATTACAAGGCAATCTTGGCATCCCACTCCTGACCCCTGCGACTCCACTGGCCCCATAGATGCTTCTTAAAATGAAGTTCTACTACCAATCTTTAAAGGGCTTTCATTTGCTGGATGTTATGTTAAAAGCAAACTCTGCAGACACAAATCTGAACATGAAACAAGTGAAATGACAAACGTCTGAAAACCAACACTCACAACCACAGAAGTCAAAGTCCTGACCAAAGTGACTTAAAATAACACCATCTGAAGATCTAGTGTTAGCTGAAGCCATAAAACTTACAGTTGTATGTAAGTTCATATGTTCAAAAAACCCTCTGTAAAAAGTAGCATCTAATCCAACACTGCACAAATGGCAAAGGAGAGAGTGATCTATTCTTAGAGAAAAGACTAACCCAATGGATGTAGGACCTGAAACAGAATAATGAGACTGCTCTTAAACCAAATCCCCGCATCGGACTTCCATAAAGGCCTGCCTGGTGTCAGAAGAATGATGTCTTCGCTACTTTCTCTCTGCCAGGCTAGTCCAGCCTCATGACTGTTACTGTTTTGGTAGCATAAAGTCCTACAAAGCTCACTGCCAACATGCCAAAGAGTAAGCCCTACAGAGGGCACAGGGGAGGGACCCAGAGGTGGCTGGTGGTAAAGATCACGTGACCTGATGCCAAGCACAATCATTCGCCCTCGCACTGGGATAGCTCACAAACCCTTCTGATATCCATCACCCTCTCCTCCTGCCAACCACATGAGTTAAAAAATAAAAGCCAGAATGGGCAATCATTTTGCAAATGAGGAATCCAGGACTCAATGACTTACCCCAGGTCACCAAGCTAGTAAGTGGCAGCATTTCCTTAGCCTAAGTTCATAGTTCTCTCTCTAGTGCTGGATAAACTAATTCAATTCACATTTTGTGCCAAACTCTCTGCAATCTGTACTCAACTTCTTCCTGCAACACTGTACCACGTCACTTAGGTCTCTGCCATGGACCTCTCATTACAGAGAACACCAAACTCCTGGAATGCTGCTTTTCGAGGCCTCAACTATAGCCTGTCACTGATTTGAATTTGTTTGCCAGTACCACCTGACCTACAACCCAGTTCAAGGGGGATGCTTGAAGTTGGGAGAAATTGTATTTCAGTTGCATCCATCCATCTTAAACTTAAGGAAGTCTAAGAAAGTCATTTGTCATTTTTTTCCTCTCCTGGAATTTCACTGGTGTTTACTAGTGAGTCTTGACCTTCCTTAAAGAGGTAAGGAGATGACAATGCCACCTCATTTCAATAGCTCACATAAACTAAAGGAAAAAAACTTATGACTTGCCTATGCCTGAGGTTTGGAATTCCTTAGTTTGAGCCACCACCTTCATGTCCAAATGAACTGGGAGTGGAATTTTTACAGTAGTCCCCCCTTATCAACAGTTCCACTTTCTGCAGTTTCAGTTACCTGTGGCCACCTAAGGTCCAAAAATATTAAATGGAATATTCCAGAAATAAACAATTCATAACTTTTCAATTGCATGTCATTCTCAGTAGTGTGATGAAACCTCATGCCATCCTGCTCCATCCTGTCCGGGATGTGAATCATCCATTTGTCCAGCGTCTCCACGCTACGGATGTTCCCTGCCCCTGAGTCACTGACACTGTCTGCTCCTCACATCTAACCACAGACAGCGTTGTGACTCCACGATCCAGGATCACTCAAAACAGATGATCCTCATTCTCATAGATCATCAGAAGGTCAATAGTAGCCAAACGCTACGTCACAATGCCCACATCATTCACCTCGCTGCATTACATCATGTAGGCATTTTATCATCTCACACCATCATAAGAAGGCTAAGTACAGTACAATAAGATATTTTGAGAAAGAGAAAGAGAACACATTCCCATAACTTTTATTATAGTATATTGTTAGTGTTGTATTTTATTATTAGTGTTTTATTATTATTTATTGGTGTTAATCTCTTCCTGCGCTTAATTTATAAATTAATCTTTCTCATAGATATGTACGTATAGGGAAAGACATAGTATATATAGGACTTGGCACTATTCATGGTTTCAGGCATCCACTAGGGGTCTTGAAATGTAGCACCCACGGGTAAGGGGGAACAACTGTATTAAGTGAAATAAGGGTTCGTTGATCACAAGCACTATGATACCACAATAGCCGATCTAATGATAACTGAGACAGCACACCCTCAACTCTCTCACTAGACCCCACGGCCCCCTTCCATTTGTGACCATTTACTGTTTAATAAAATAGTAACATTTATTGAGCACCTACTATGTGCCATAGACTGCTAAGCACTTTACATATGCCACCCCATTTAATCCTCACACTGAACCTCTGGGGTAGATTACTAACCCCCTTTTTACAGACAAGAAGACCTCGGAGGCACATAGAGATCATGTATTTTACCAGAGGATTTCAAACCAGGCAACGCAACTCCAGAAGCACTATCTCCCTCCCACATCTGACTGTTCTTAAGCATTCTCAGTCCTGGGTCTTGAGATCACAGAAGGGACTAGCTGCACTAACATGGTATTTGTTTGAAAGGTGGAACCAGGAAGGGAAAAACCACAAATCAGGAGCTTTTCCTTACAGCTGCTGGGCACTTGGGCCCTACAGGCCCCAGATTTAATAAAATAAAGCTGGTTGGATGGGGAGGCAATGCAATTAATTGCCTTCTCAGAAAAGGAAATAGCAGAAACTGACTACGGTGTCATGACCCAGTCCCCAAAACAGCACACACAACTATATTTTAGAGCCTACATCCTAGGATCTTACAGCATGTGAAAACTTTACTAGGCCAATTCATTCAGTGTCCGTGAAAATAAACTAATAACAACAAATAATGTATTGGATGAAAAAAGTCTTTGGGTCAACTGAAAACTTCCAACACTTATAAAGCTTCCCACCCCACCCCCACCCCACCACCTCTTTTTTTCACATCCCCAATTCCCCATGATGGAACAAGAGTAAAGCTACAAGGGTTTAAATCATCTGATATTTTCAAAGAATCCATCAAATTAATCAATTAGATCCTTACCACATACCTGGGGAACGTGGCAGTATTCTGAAATCATATTGCAAGGTAGAAACCACTGATAAAAAGCAAAAGAGGAAAATCAAAAGAAACCCCTAATTCCCAGTTTCCAGGGTTACTTCTGGCATTTTCTACAGGTATGGCCTGGGGACCACCTGCACCAGACTGTTAAAATGCAAGGCAGAACTACTGAACTCACTCTTTGGGGTTGGGGCCAGGGACCTGCATTTAAAGCTATCTCTTGAGTAACACACATGAAAATCTAAATCTCAGCAACAAATCAGCACCACAAATAACAGGTGATTAAAAGAAAAGAAACACCTTGTGGGAACAGGTGGTCTCCCCTTGGAAGACTCTAATCTATGTCTCTTATTCTTTGCTGCATATTGAAATCGACTAGGGAGCTTTCACAAAACTACTGATGCCTTCCTAAATAGCAGCTCCAGAGGAACTAGGTCTCCATAGAAAAATGGCTTCTTCTAAGCCTACGGCAAAGAAGATACAAAGTGAGACTAAAATATCTGGTTGTGCTAAAATTCATGAAGTACTCAAACATTTAAGGGATAATTTCAAAAGGACACAGGAGTCAGCTAGACAGGGCTTCCACTGACCAAAGTTGGGACAATACGGTATGTACTGAGGGAATTTATTACAATACATTCATTAAAAAATTCATGAGTCCATATTAATATGTTTAACAGGTAGCTAGACAGCTAGCTAAAGAAGATCAGATAGATAGTTATGGGGTGAGAAGTGAAAGCTCCTTTTTTCTCTTTTTTTTAACAAAAGAACATTGACAAATACAGAAATGATAGAAATATCCAGACAATAGCCATTTTATAACCATCATAGTAATAATTGATTCTGGGAAGAATCAACGGTTGCTAAAACCACTGGGCGAAAGCTTGTTGGGGATTAAGATATTTACCAAATCTCAAAGTATCTCCCCACAGTTACAAAAGGAAAATGGTCCCCTTGGAATGAAGAGAGCTGGCAGATACAGCCTTACCCAAGTGATCCAAGTTAACATTGCTAATCATAGGACAAATTGACATCACGTGCCTCCTGATAGGCTGCACTGAGAAGGACCTATAGAATATCGTCACCTATAGAATACTTCTATAACATCACCTATAGAATACTTCTGCCACAACATTTACCTAAATCCAACCACGAGGAAACAATCATGCAAATTTAAAATGAGGAGCCGTTTACAAAAACTGATCTGGTCAGGCATGGTCGCTCAAGCCTGTAATCCCAGCACTTTGGGAGGCTGAGGCAGGAGGATCACCTGAGGCCAGGAGTTTGAGACCATCTGGCCAATGTGGTGAAACCCTGTCTCTACTAAAAATACAAAAATTAGCCAGGCATGGTGGCGCACTCCTGTAGTCTCAGCTACTCGGGAGGCTGAGGCAGGAGAAACACTTGAACCCAGGAGACTGCAGTGAGCCAAGATTGTCCCACTGCACTCCAATCTGGATAACAGAGCGAGACTCTGTCTCAAAAAAAACAAAACAAACAAACAAAAAAC